>NC_000001.11:181972465-182275496 GCF_000001405.40 Homo sapiens | reverse complement strand
ATGTGTGCTCCATCACACTTCTCCCTCGTAAATGCATCTCTCTCAAACTTCCAGAATGGTTCCTAGTCCTGTTATTTTTATACTGCTGGGTTTTGGCAGATTCTAAATTTACTCACTTCATATCCTTTGTGATTTTCTAGAATTTAGAAATATCCTCTCTCAGCTTTTAGCTTTTCAGATGGAATGGTCCCTGGCACAGCAGAAATATCCTGACCCGGGAGTCAGGAGATCTTGGTTCAAGCCTCAGTTCTACTGCAAACCAGCTTTGGACAAGTATCCTCAACTTTCTGAACTTCTGATTGTCCAGATAAAGACAGTGGGTGGGTGGGGGAGGGGAATGGATTAAGTGCTACAATTTAATATTCAGTGAACATTTCACAGAACATGGTAGATAAAAGCATGGACTTTGGACTCAAGACAGATGTGGCTTTAAATCCCACCTCTACTACTTTCTAGTTGAGTACCTTTGGGCAAGTTACTTGAGCCCCAGTTCCTCATCTGTAGAATGAGAATAATGGTACCTCCTTTCGTAGGGTTGCGGTGAGGCTTACATGAAATAATGCATATAGAGTTCCTTCAGTATAATGCTTGGATGTGCAAACTCCCTTCCTAGCTTCACTGTATTACTGAGCCATCTTTCCCTGGGCTTATCTTTCCAGAGAGCCAGCAACCAGACCACACACACTCTCTGCTCCAGGTGTAGCAAGAGATTGGTTTTGTCTGAAGAAAGAATAATGTTCTCCGTTTTGTTGCTGGTTCATAACGGTGTTCAGCATTTTGATTTTTTTTCACTAAAGTAATACATTAGTCTCATGCTCTCTGTGGGTCATAAATAGATCAATTCAACAGCAGGGGCCGGGTGCAGTGGCTAACGCCTGTAATCCCAGCACTTTGGGAGGCCAAGGTGGGTGGATCACCTGAGGTCGGGAGTTCAAGGCCAGCCTGGCCAACGTGGTGAAACCGTGTCTCTACTAAAAATACAAAAAAAAAAATTAGCTATGCATGGTGGCGGGCACCTGTAATCCTAGCTACTTGGGAGTCTGAGGCAGGAGAATAGCTTGAACCCGGGAGGCAGAGGTTGCAGTGAGCTGAGATCATGCCTTTGCACTCCAGCCTGGGTGACAAGAGCAAAATACCATCTCAAAAAAAAAAAAAAAAAAAAAAAAAAGAGAGAAAGGAAAAAGAAAAATTCAACAGCAGGGTGAACAGGCACACAACAGTGCAACTGCTCAGTTAAGGCCTTCATTATAATCAGGATATGAAAATCAGTGTCTGCAAGATTTTTTCACTGGGTTTTATTATCATACTTTTTATAGTTTCTTGTTATAGCAAAGTGTCAAATCATTTCTTTTAAAATTTTTGTCTAACCTTCATTGCAGTATATAATAAAAATTTACATGAAGAAGTAATATTAACTTTGCAGTATTAAATCCATTTTCCTTTCAATCCATAGAACAAATGAAAAAATAGAAAAAGTGTTATGCCCTCCTCGTTGTCAGTCAAGGAAAATATTTAATTAAAACTTTTTCTTGGTCCCATCTCAAGGGCTGACAGATGTCTAACCCCTAAGTACAAGTCACAGATCTATCCTAATAGCTCTTGAGATCATTGCTGGAAGATATGGTTGAAGGTGGTGGTAAGAAGTTGCATCCTGCTTAAAGTTAGTGACTCAATTTCAAACCAAACGGGTAACAGGTTTCAGTTGGGAGAACATTTTGAAGTTCCAGGTTTATTCCACTTAGTTGTTTTTAAAATCAGAGGTTTTAATGCAGCTGAATGTTCTTTAAAAAATACTTCTGGCATTTTGTAAAAAGAAAGTGCACCTAAAGGGATGTCAAATATTCATCTAAATTTGATTCCCAAATGATAGTTTCTCAAGCGTTTAAAGACAGTTGTTATGTCTTGTGGGCATCTGCAATTTTCCTGGCTAAATTCTTCAGCTCCTTCAATGACTTCTAATGTGACAGCATTGCCCAGTTCTGAATGTCTTGTTCAGTTGTCATTCAGTGTGCTTGTCAACCTGAAAGTGATGAAGGCACCCAGAGATGAACTTACCACTTCGGATGTGGATTGACCTGTGATAAATGAAGTCATTCTTCTCCCATCCCTCTGTGGAATTTTACACTTCCATGAACCCTAGCCACGTAAGCATTAGTTTGTCAACAACATCACAATATTAATTTATACTTTCTTTTAGTCAGCAAAAACCTCTAAATGATCTGCTGTTATTTCCTTCTCCCTAATAAGAGTAATTTAAAAAACCTTTGGTTTTGAAATAATGATAGATTTTCAGGAAGCTGGAAAGATAGTACTCAGAGGTCTGGAGTATCCCTCCCTCAGTTTCCCCCAATGGTTACATCTTACTTAGCTATAGTACAATAGCAAACCCAGGAAATTGATATTGGTACAATGTGTGGGTACAGTTTCATGCCACTTTATCTCTTTTTGCCTTAAAGGAATAATCTGAGCTCATTAAATAACAAACCCTATAACTACATAAGCATCTTCAGATGCCGTCCTCTTTTCTCCCATTTTGGAATCCTTTGTAACTATATTGTCAGAATTGAACTTTTGAGAGCTTCTCATTTAACTTGAACTTTCCTCTCTTAATATGTCTTAATCCTTCTCCAGACCGAAACAAAAAAAAAAAAAAAAAGAAAACAAAACAAACCAACCAATCAAGCAAAATCCTCCTCCCTCCGTTCTCCCCATATCGATAAATTGGCACCACCATTTGCTCAGTTACTCAAGCTCAGTTCTGAAAGACAAGCTTACTCCTCCCCTTCACTTATACCCTTTATCCAGTCCATTAGCAAATCATGGCAAATCTGCTTTCGGAATTCATCCAGAAGCCCCATCATGACCATCCCTGCCACATCGAAGCCACTGCCACTCTGGCCTCCACCACTGATCTCTGGCCTCCTCACTGACCTCTCCTCTTGCCTCCTTCCAGTCTGTTCTCCCCAGTGAGCATACAGAGAGCCTTCACAGGAGTAATCTAAGTCACTGGCACTCTTCAGCTTAACCTTGCCAGGGGCTTTCCACACAATAAAAGTTAAATACTTATTTATACCGCACTTATTATGTGCCGAAGGATGTTAGTGCTTTACAGATTGTCAGTCTTCACAACACTCCTGTGAGGCCAGCTGTGGCATGATCTACATCCTACAGCTATTATACATCCACCTATCAGAGAGGGCATATGACTATCCTGAGGTCTTACAGCTCCCATGTGGAAGAGTCAGGATAAGACCTCCACAGATTAGCTCTGGAGTGCACTCTATGCCGTCCTGCCTTGTGCCTCACCCACAAAAGAATTCACATTTGCGTGGCCTAAAGGACTGCAGCATCCTGCCCTAGTACCTACCTGACCCCATTTCCTACCACTCAGCCTCCTCTGTACACATTGGCATCTTTGCTGCTCCTTTGACATGCTAAGAGCATAGCAAAACCCTCTGCAGCAGCACCCTCCTGCAGCAGCACTTCCCTGCAGCAGCACCCTCCTGCCAACACCCCCCTGCAGCAGCACCTTAGTACCTGCTCTTCTCTCTGCCTGCAATACTCTTCCTCCAGAAAGACTCATGGCTTGGCCTCATTTTATTTAGGTCTCTGTGCAAATGTTTCTACCTCAGACAGATCTTCCCTGACCACCGAAAGAGCAGCCTTCCATCCTTGCCACTATCTCCCGAGCTTGCTTTATTTATTTTTAAAATAAACATTTTTTAGGAATAGCTCCTGATTTACAAAAAAAAAAAAAATTAAAAAGAATAGTACAGAGTTCCTATATGCCTCACATTGGGTTCTTCCAATTATTGACATCTTATTTTGGTATAATACATTTGTTATAATTAATGAACAAATATTCATACATTGTTACTAATGAAAGTCTACACTTTATCCAGATTTCCTTAGGTTTAACCTAGTATCATTTTCTGTTCCAGGATTCTATCCAGGGTACCACATGATATGTAACTGCGATCTCCTTAAGCACCTCTTAACTGCCACAGTTTCTCAGACTTTCCTTGTGTTTTATGACCTTGACAGTTTTGAGGAGTACTAATTGGGTATTTTATAGATTGTCTCTATATTGGGATTTGTCTGATGTTTTTCTCATGGTTAGATTGGAGTTATATGTTTTAGTTAGGAAGATCACGGGGGAAAGTGCCATTCTCATCATATCATATCAAGGGTACATACTATCGACATGACTTATCACTGTTGATGTTGACCTTGATCATCTGCCTGAGCTGTTCTTTGTCCTGTTTCTCTACTCTAAAGTTATTCAAGTTACTCCCCCACAACCCCTTTTCATACTGTACCTTTTTGGAGGAAGTCACCCTGCACAGCTCACACTTAAAGGATGGGGAATTAAGCTCCATCTCCTTGAGAGTGGATTATCTCCATGTGTTATTTGGAATTCCTCTCTGCCTGGAAGGTTTCTGTCTTCTCTCCCCTTATTTATTTATTTATTCAGTCATTTATGTGTACCAGTGTGGACTCATGGTTATTTATTCTGTACTTGGGTTATAATTCAATGCTACTTTATTTACTTTCCTGCTCAAATTGTTCCAGCTTTGGCCCTGGGAGCTCTTTCAGTTTGCTGCTGTGTCTCTTTGACGTACTGCCATCAGTGTGGGGTTGTTTTGTTTCTCCATTTTTGAGTACTTTCTTACTTTCTGGCACTGTGTTTTAAGCTTATCTTGTATATATCTACATTAGTCCTAGAATCAGCCATTTCTCCCAAGAGTTTGCTTTATTTTTCAGTAACACTTATCACTACCTGAAATTATATGGTATATTTGTTTGCAAATTTGCTTTTTATTACTCCCTCCCCCTATAAACAGCAGGTTCTGTGAGGATAGGAACTTTGCAGTATTCCTAGTTGTTGAGTAGTGCCTGATACAAAATATATGCTCAGTTAACTTTTTTGAATCAGCTTCAGAAGTTGGTTCTTCCTAACTCACAATTTACTTTTTGGCACATGGGAGTTTTGGCTGTCATGGTTATTTTTTCCTAAAGTTTTCCTCATCTTTGTAATCCTGATGCCTCCTTACTGGTTGATCAAAATTAATTCTGGAATAGCAGTTCCTTTATTGCTTCTTTAATTCTGTATCCAAAATAAGAATTTAGAGAAGTTCTGTTTTTTTTTTTTAAAAGAAAATGAGACATGCAACTTTTTTCCAGATAACTGAAAACAATTTCCTACCACATCTATATTTTCTTTCTTTTTTTAAGACACGGTCTTACTTTGTCACCTAGGCTGGAGTAAAGTGGCATGATCGTGGCTCACTGCAGCCTCGACCTCCACAGCTCAAGCAATCCTCCTGCCTCAGCCCTGTAAGTAGCTGGGACTACAGACAGGCTATATATATATATGTGTGTATATATACATATATGTATATATATACGTATATATATATACACATATATATATACACACAGAGTCTCACCCTGTCACCAGGCTGGAGTGCAGTGGCGCGATCTCAGCTCACTGCAACCTCCGCCTCCTGGGTTCAAGTGATTCTCCTACCTCATCCTCCCGAGTAGCTGGCATTACAGGCACACACCACCACACCCAGATAATTTTTATATTTTTAGTAGAGATGGGGTTTCACCATGTTGGCCAAGATGGTCTCGATCTCCTGACCTCGTGATCCGCCCGCCTCGGCCTCCTAAAGTGCTGGATTACAGGTGTGAGCCACCATGCTGGGCCGATTTTTGTATTTTTTTTCTGTAGGGATGGGATTTCACCATGTTGCCCAGGCTGGTCTTGAACACCTGGGCTTGAGCCATCCACCCGTTTCAGCCTCCCAAAGTGTTGGGATTACAGGCGTGAGCCACGGCGCCCAGCCCAAAATTCTGCTGGCATTCCCTCTTCTCTTCCTCTTTCCCTCTTCTCTTCCTCTTTCCCTTTCTAAAGAGGTGGCTACCAAATTGCCAATTTACCATGTGATAATTAAAACGCCCTTCAGGTTTCATAAATATTTATTGAGCACCTATTCTGTGCAAGGCCTTTATTAGGAATTACGGGTAAGGAAACTTTATGGCTCTTATAGTAGGGATTAATGGCAAGAAAGATATAGACAAAAATAATTAGAGCAAAGCAAAACATGTAAAATCCTAGTAAGGCAAAAGTAAAGTGCTTTGGAGGTTTGGGGCGCAGAAAACTGCATCTATTTGGCCAGCAGGGGAACTGGGAAACTGTCATTAATCCTGGGAATAGTTGTAAATGATGGTTATAGAAAGAAGATATATCTGGTAGAAGGTGCAGGATAACTCCTGACATGATGTTGGGAAATTTAGTTATGTTTTGAAAACAGCAAGGAAAATAGTTTGCCTAAAGTTTATGAGCACATGTAGAAAAGCAGTGACAGGCAGGACTCGAAGAAGCAAGGGATTACTTTGGAAAGAACTAGGAATGTAGGTAGAGGAATTTGAAGTCAGAGGTGTTTGAGTTTAAATCATACACAGGAATCCCAGAAGGCTTTTTAGGAAGGGGTTCTTTGAGGAAGAAGTTATCTTGGAGGAAGTTGAGGTGAAAGCAGAGAAAATGATCAGGCATGTTTTGCAATAGAGTTAGAGAGCATTAGTGAAGGCATAGACCAAGCTTGTGTCTGTGAGCATGGGAAGGTGAATAAAGATGCAAGGTGGAGCCTGACAGAAACTGACAGCCAGGGGGATCAAGAGGAAGGGGCACCAAGCATGACTGAAGAACTAAGAGTGACACCTAGGAGAGTGGTGGAAAGCCACAAACACAGACCAAGGGGAATGAAGAACAGGAAACTACGAAGAGCCCAGTTTTGCTCCTTGTTCCTCTGGTCTGTCCCATCGGGGCAGCCATTTAGAGGCCAGCTGTTTGGGAGGTCCAAATTCTGAGGACAGTGAGGGCCCTCTCTAGATAAGAGGCTGGAAGTTTTGCCTCTCCTCTCAACCACAGTGCTTCCAGAAATTTCTGATACAACTGACCACTTTGATTATACCTTCTGGTTCCTTAACTGCCTTAGGGAAAACTGCTGAAAAACAAGCCTCCTAATTCATTTGCCTAATGTTCCCAATAACATGGACTCTTTCTTTCAAGTCATAAAAACAATCTCCATGTACCTGTAGTACAACGACTGAACCACTCAGCTTCTTGGTATATATAAACTTGAACTATGGATTGCATTTTTCACATTGGAGTAAATATGCCTCCAGGATTACCTCATTTGAAGGTCCCCTACATTCAGTAAATGGATAAAGAGCTCCCAGTCTTGCTGACATACATCCCAAAACTGGGATTACCCTGGTCTACTTTAAAGGTAAAAGATTTTTTTAAAATGTAGTAAATTCCTATTTTTCACAGATTCTGTGTTTGCAAATTTTACTCACTAAAATTTATTTTCAGCCCCCAAATCTATGCTCAAGACACTTCCCTAATCATTCAGATGCATGTGCAGAGGGTAGAAATATTTGAGTAGCTGGACATACATGTTTCAAGCTAAGATGAAACAGGTGATGCTGTGCCTTCTTGTTCCAGCTCTCATACTATAAACAAGAGTCATTTTTGCAGTCTATTTAGTGCTAAATTTTCATACTTTTGCACTTTCTTTTGGTGATTGTGCTGTTAAAATGGCCCCCAAGCATAGGGCTAAATTGCTGTCTGGTGTTGCTAAGTGCAACAAGACTAAATGCCTTATGGAGAAAATACATGTGTTAGCTAAGCTTGGTTCAGGCATGAGTTATAGTGCTGTTGGCTGTGAGTTCAATGTTAATGAATCAACAATATATATTAAATAAGGTGTCTTTAAACAGAAACACACATAAAACAAAGGTATCTATTGATTGGTTAATGAAAATGTGGCCAGCGGCTTGTGGGAACACCATATTTCCCCTGGGAAAAATGGTTTGGCTGGCCTGGTGCAGTGGCTCACACCTGTAATCCCAGCACTTTGGGAGGCCGAGGCGGGTAGATCACCTGAGGTCAGGAGTTCAAGACCAGCCTGGCCAACATGGTGAAACCCTGTCTCTACTAAAAATACAAAAAAATTAGCCGGGTGTGGTGGTGGATGCCTGTAATCCCAGCTACTCGGGAGGCTGAGGCAGGAAAATTGCTTGAACCCAGGAATCGAAGGTAGCAGTGAGCAGAGATTGCACCGCTGCACTCCAGCCTGGGCAACTCTGTCTCAAAAGAAAAAAAAATAGTTTGGTATTCATACACTGAGGGCTTACAGAAACTTTATAGAACATAACTACTTCAAATGAGTATCAACTGTGATCCCTTCTAAAACCATAGCTACATGCTAAAACACAAGATGCGGACAGTCATAGATGGGCTTTGAGTTCATCTGAGCTGAAATCATTCCAGTGGATAGATAAAAATCTGTCCTATCCTGAAGATCCCATGAAAGAGGCATCAGTACCTCCATTCTTTCACCATTGTTTATGTATACATGTATGTACGTACATACACCTTCATCCAAAAAAAGGTTTGAAGTGACTTATTCAAAAGATAACATAAGCCAGAACTAGGTAAAATAAGAAGTGTTAAAGAGAAAGGAAAAGGAAACGCAGTGCTAGGCACAAGGTGGTACCAGGAATGAAGCAAATACAAAATGCACTCTTAGTCTGGGCCGTTGTGACAAATGTACCATAGACCGGATGGCTTGAGCAACAGACATTATTTATCATGGTTTTGGAGGCACTGAGATCAAGGTGCTGGGAGATCTGGTGTCCAGTGAGAGCCTGCTTCCTGCTGTGCAGATGGCTGTCTTCTTCTTGTAGCCTCATGTGGCAGAGAACAGAGAGGCAGAGCAAGCTCCCTCATGTCTCTTCTTATACGGGCACAAATCCCATTTCACCTCCCAATATCACCACATTGGGGATAAGGTTTCAACATATGAATTTGGGGGGCACAAACATTCAGTCCATAGCATACAGGATTGGATCCTAGGTATTTAACAAAGTTGGGTCATAAATCTAGCCCTAAGCTTTTGAGCAGGGAATGAGAAAAGGAAATGGATTCAGATATACAGGTCACAGGAATCATGAAACAAACATGACACTGTTTATTCAGAGTAGCTCAGATGTGTTTCCAAGTTCTAACAGCTTCCCACTGCACCTCTGATTCCTGCAAGTCCTTGCTGGACCCTGAAGCCTTGTCAGCCAGCACCTCCCTGCTTCTCCACCATGTTTCTCACCCCTCATCTCCTTTTTGTTCCTTGAACATGCCAAACTCATGCCTGACTTGAGGCCTTTACACCATGTTTTGTCTCTTCCTGGAATGCTTGTTCCCCACATCTTCACATGTCGAATTTGCCATTCAGGTCTCAGCTGAAAGTCCCATCTTCAAAGAAGTTTCTGACTTTCCAGTCTAAGAAGCCTCCCTTCCCTTATCTCCACCCTTGTCTTGCTTCACCTTCTTTAATTTTTTTTCATAACAGTTAATCACCACATAACATTCTTTTATTCACTTATTTAATCATTTGCTCATTATATATTTCTCCTATTATGTGAGGCCCATAAGCACAAAGACTGTACCTTCCAGAACACTGTCTGGCAAATAGTGGGATGCTCTGTAAATACTTGTTGAATAACGAACACTGAAACTAAAACTAGGGGAAACTTTTTCCAAAGGGTCCTCATTAAAAGGGACACTGAGCAATACAGTGGATATATTCTTAGCAGCACCCTCAAAGCAGACACAGTAAAGAGTCCCCAGAGATTCTTGTTTTGTTTTGTTTTGTTTTAAAGACAGGGTCTCTCTCTTTTGCGCAGGCTGGACTGCAGTGAGGTGATCGTAGCTCACTGTAGCCTAGAACTCTTGGGCTTAGGCAATCCTCCCACCTTGGCCTGCTGAGCCACTGGGAATACAGGCATGCACCACCACACCCAGCTTTTTTTTTTTGAGACAGAGTCTTGCCCTGTCACCCAAGCTGCAGCGCAGTGGCACGATCTCGGCTCACTGCAACCTGTGCCTCCCAGGCTCAAGCCATTCTCCTGCCTCGGCCTCCTGAGTAGGTGAGATTACAGGCACACCACCACACCTGGCTAATTTTTATATTTTTAGTAGAGACAGGTTTTGCCATGTTGGCCAGGCTAGTCTCCAACTCCTGACGTCAAGTGATCTGCCTGCCTTGGGCTCCCAAAGTGTTGGGATTACAGGTGTGAGCCACTGCACCCGGCCTAATTTAATTTTTTTTTTTTTTTTTTGTAGAGACAGGGTCTCGCTTTGTTGCCCAGGCTGGTCTTGAACTCCTGACTTGAAGTGATCCTCCCACCTTAGCCTCCCAAAGTTCCGGGATTACAGGCATGAGCCACGGCACCCAGCCCCCAGTGATGCTTAATTAGTGTCAAGTCAGCTCAGAGCAGGAGGCAGCCAAGACATACCAGAGTAGTTCTGTCTACACTTTCTAGTTCTACTTTCTCTCTGACTGTAATCTCTCTTGTTGCAACCAAAGTCTATTATGCCATTTCAATAGATTCAGATAATGGTAGGCTGTTATCATCTGCCTAAAAAAAAAAATCATTTTATAGATGTTTACAATGGCATCAATTTGCATTATTTGGAAGGTCCACTGAATTAATATAAAGGTGACTTTTTGGAATATATTTGAAAGAAGTATTTATTGTTATTGAGTAGACACTCAATAATTGATATAATTGCTAATACAAGCAGATATCTTCTGGGCCTATTCAAATTATTTAAACAAAACATTACGAATTAACTCATAACCCTATTTGTAAATTTATGTTTACTAAAGTCACTGACTATTCTGTACACTAGTAGTCATTAATATCTTTTTCATCAACTTTAAGATAGCACCAATTGTAAGCAACTCACATATTGATAAGAAAGAAAAAATCTAGCAAGTAACATTATAAGACTCAGTTTTAGGATGTATCTCAGTATCTATGAAAAAAATAAGAGCTAACATTTATTAAACACCTATTATCACTTAGGCACTGTGAGCTAAGCATTTTACATAAATGTTCTCTTTTATTCCCTGCAAAATACAAGGGATAGGTACCTTTATGATTTCCAGTTTACAGATGATGAAGCTGAGGATAGTTATTCCATTTCACAAAGCTGATATATGACAGAGAACTAGAGTGAGCTCAGAACTGTCTGACACTGGAGCCTGAGTTCCAAGCTACTATGTTTAGAATACCGTCTGTCTTAGTCTGTTTTCTGTTGCTATAGCAGAATAACTGAGACTGGATAATTTATAAAGAAAATATGTGTATTTCTTAGAGTTCTAGAGGCTGTGAAGTCCAGGGTATAGGGGCTGCATCTGGTGAGGGCCTTGTTGCTGCTGGGCACTCTCTGTGGGGTCCTGAGGTGGCTCAGGGCATTGCATGGTGAGGGGGCTCACGAGAGATGTCCAAACTGGCTTTTACAACAGATCCACTCCTGTGATAACTAACCCACCCCCTCCACAACCCATTAATCCATTAACCCATGAGTGGAATTAATCAATTTGTGAGGTTAGAGCACTCATAAACCAATCACCTCCCCAAAATCCCATCTCTCAACATTGCAGACATGAACTTGGAAGGTACACATTCAAACCGTGTCACCTTCTACAATCTTATTTACTCTATTGCTTTTCTTAGTCATATCCTCTTGGATCAGGGATGTGGAACCTTCTGTTTGTCTACCAAAAGAGTTAGTCAGTCTAATAGTGTATGCAAAATAAAAACAACCTAATTCAGTTTTCCCCCCTAAGAATCAAATTTATAAAGCCCTACACATTTTTCAAAATAAGAACTTAAAAATTTATTTAGTATGGCAGAGGCATTCTACAATGGCAGCTACTCTGAGTGATGGCATTGATTATTAGAGCAATATATTGAGAGAAATGAACCCAATGAAACTTTGGACCAACTTGCTCATTGTTCACAGACAGTGCTAAGAAAATTTTTAGCTCTAGGTTTTTCAAATGATGCAAATTTCTTAAAGGTGATGTTCACTCTAATGAGAAGAAACTGTATTTAAAGGCAGCCAAGTGACTTTCCTGTTTGTATTTCCTTGATTTATTTGTCCATTGCTCATAAATAGCTGGTGTAGGGATTCTCACATACTCCACTAACTTGGGTCTTACAGACATTACAATTAAACAACTATTCCATGGATTTAGAGGTTTGCAATTGGCTCCTTGACCAGGGGTGCACATCAGAATTACCTGGGAGCTTTCTCAAAATACGTGTGCCTGGGCCCTTCCCCCAGCCTACTTACATGGAGTTCCTAAGAATAGGCTGAAGTGTGTGCATTTTAAATCTCTCTTCTGGATACTTTTGATGCTAGCTCCAAGTTAAGTGGTCTGGTATTAATTTTCATCAGAGCCAAATTTCTAAAGAAAGTGGTGCCTAGAGATGCCACAGAGCTATCAGTCAAAAGACCTGGCTCTACTTTTCCAGTTACTCATGACAATTTTCTCGATCTATTTCTCTACCTGCAAACTTTAGAAATTATCAATAAACCAATCAACAAACATTCAACACATTCTCACAGTATGCACAGAACTAAACTATAGCCTGGAAACTGTTGCATACATGCATTCTCTCTTCTTCTTAATGACCTTGCTCTCTGCTTAAAAGGAAGAGTCCTTAACTCTTAGTCTGGCAAATTTAGCCTGGATCCACTTTTCCTGGATCATTCCAGGTACAAACCTCACAAACACATTCACATATACAATTTCTAATAGTATCTCCTCACTCCCCAGCATAGTAACACAAAATCCATATCATGATCTACATGACCTGCTTCTCCTCCTATGACCTCCCTGATTTAATCTCCTGCTGATTTCCTCCTCAGTCACTTGGCTTAAGCCACATTTTGCTATTTCTAAATCATGCCAGGCTTGCTCCTGGTTCAGGACCTTTGTGCTTGCTCTTCTGTCCGTCATGCTTGTTCCTAGATAACCACATGGCTCACTTCATCACTTCCTCCTGCACTTTACTTAAAGTGCTCCCCTCAGTGGGGCCTTACCTGGTCATGCTATCTACAATGTCAAACTCCATCCAGGCATTTCACATACTTCTTGCCTGTTTTACCTTTTCTCCCTATCCCTTATCACTATCAGCCTTCAAAGCCCATCTCAAATGTGAAAAGAGAGAAGATGCCTAAGAAAATGCAATAAAAACAAAAAATAGACAAAACCCCAACCAAAAACCCCACAGGAGTTTGGTATTTCATTGTATAATGAACAATGAGAGAGGATAAAATTCCAGCCAAAGGCAGAGTAAATCCAACAAAGATGAGGAAGAAGGCGACAGAAAGGATATTCATTTATATGAATAAGCAGATTTTCTACTTTCTTTTTCCTTTTTCTTTTTCTTTCTTTTTTCTTAGGGGGGACAGAGTCTCACTCTGTCACCCAGGCTGGAGTGCAGTGGTGCGATCTCAGCTCACTGCAACCTCTGCCTCCCGGGTTTAAGTGATTCTTGTGCCTCAGCCTCCCAAGTAGCTAAGATTACAGGTGTGTGCCACCATACCTGGCTAATTTTTGTATTTTTAATAAAGACAGGGTTTCACCATGTTGGCCAGGCTGGTCTTGAACTCGTGGCCTCAAGTGTTTCACCCACCTCAGCCTCCCAAAGTGTTGGGACTACAGGCATGAGCCACTGCACCTGGCCAGTTTATATGAATAAGCAGGTTTTCTACTTTCAGTACTACTTTATTTTTTTGCTCAAATTGTTCTAGTTTTGGACATTGGGAGCACTTTCAGTTTCCTCCTGTGTCTCTTTGACATAGCCCCATCAGTGTGTGTTTGTTTTGTTTATTTGGTTTTTTTTGTTTGTTTTTGTTTTTGAGCACTTTCTTACTTTCTGGCACTACAAGATGTTTTAAGCTTGTCTTGTATATATCCTGCCCTGGTCAAAATCTAGAATTTAAAGTATGAGAACACATCTCAAGGTAAAAGGACAAAATCAGATTCTATGAAGACTGTTAACAGTAGCAAAGAGAGAACACAGAAAATGGCCAACAAGAGGGCAGACATAAGAGTTCAGTAGTGATACTAGAGTTTAAGTAACAAAATAAGCAGTCAATTTCCATATAAGAATGCAAATGTGGCCGGGCGCAGTGGCTCACGCTTGTAATCCCAGCACTTTGGGAGGCTGAGGCGGGCAGATCACCTGAGGTTGGGAGTTCGAGACCAGCCTGACCAACATGGAGAAACCCTGTCTCTACCAAAAATACAAAATTAGCTGGGCGTGGTGGCATGCGCCTGTAATCCCAGCTACTTGGGAGGCTGAGGCCGGAGAATCACTTGAACCCGGGAGGCAGAGGTTGCCATGAGCTGAGATCGCACCATTGCACTCCAGCCTGAGCAACAAGAGCAAAACTCTATTTCAAAAAAAAAAAAAAAGAATGTAAATGCATTGTTATGGATTTCCCAGAGACTTGGTGGACAATGTTTGGTGACTGCAATGTTGCTGTGGGAGGGCATGCTTTTGCAGGTTTGCTGGGCCCAGCAGACATGGCAAGTCCTGGCTATCCATGAACTCAAGCACAGAAGCCCAGTGGGCACATTTAGGGGAAAGCTCAATACAAGGAAAACCAGTAGTAACAACATGGCAGGACTGAGGATGATGCTACCTTAATATAGCATAAAGAATACAGATGTGGCCAGGTGTGGTGGCTCGCGCCTGTCATCCCAGCACTTTGGGAGGCTGAGCAGTTGGATTAGATAACTTTAAAAGTTATCTGGAACTGCTGTGGGAGTCTCACAACTGTTGTAGTCTCCATAGGCCCTTAGCTCATGGGTCATTTCAGATGTGGCAAAGTCACTTCAGGCTGACCACAGCTCTCTGGTTCCCTCTATCCTTGGGCTGCATGAGCATTTGAGGCTTTGAGGAGAAGATACACAGGCCAGGGACCTTGTCAGGTAACGTCGACCACCCTGCTCCTTGTGCAAGCTGCCATCTTTTTTAAAAAAAATCTGTCATCAGTGAGTACAGAAAAATAAAATGTCAGCACTTCATATGGGTATATGACTGGGGATGGGGCAGGGGAGATTCACTTATGGATTAATAAAGATAGTGAACAAAGAAAGGGGACAGAGATTATTCTATGGTAATAAAGTAATTTATATCTGTTTTGCTATAAAATAACTATTTTTCTCTAAATCTAATGTTAATGTCAGCCAAAATCACCTCTATTCATTTATTCAATCATCAAGGGATATTTATAATCTCTTGAGTGTCAGTTTGGTACCAAGCACTTTTCTGGGCACTGGGATACATTATTGAACATGACAAGCTTCTCAGCCCTTCAGGACAGTTTGGAACATCTGGCTGTGGTGACCACAGTCTGTCAATGTTCCCTACTGTGCTGAACCTGGTGATTTCCTCTTGAGTATAAGACAATACCACTCAATGAACTGGACAGAGACTTCATGAAAGAGGACCCAGGTGAATGCAGGGAAAGAACTGGGATGTTGGTTTTGACTGGTGCAAACTTCTGCCATTTTAGTGTACAACTGAAAGGGCTGCACATTCCTTTGGCTAATTCCACAATGACACGACCTCTTCCTCTTCCAACCCGCTGTGAATCCTCTTTGCAAATTTTACACGGGCTTACATGTTAATTTTTCAAACCATCACCCCTTTCTTCTATTCCCTTTCCTCCAAAACAAATCCACAAAAACAAAGGAAAAAAAGCTCTAAAACAAGAAAGTGGAGGGTATATTTCCTTTTCATTATTTTGCCTTTTCATGCCCTTCACATCTGGCCTCTGCCACAACTGGTAGCAGAAATGCTAACCTATCATGAGAAAGGCTTTTCTGGGGGAGTGTGCCCCTGGCAGCAGCGACAGCAGTGGCAGGAAGTACAGGAAACCTCATGAGATGGCCTGTTCTTGAACACTTGCCAGCCTGCTTCTGCAGACTCATGAGGTTAAGAGAAACATGCAAGCTATCAGGGAGGTTATTGGGACAGAGCCCCAGTTGTCGATTGTTTGAGGTTCACTCATAACTGGCAAAATGACCACAGGGCACAACCACAAGAGTTCCAGTCATAGCCTGTGGCCCTGGTGCTACGTGTTGAGATGCTTCTGATGTTAAGCCCCCAGGAAGGCTTCTGGTTTGAAGCACCCAGGAAGCCCAGCAGTTAATGTTGGCAACAAAAGGCAGTTAAGTGAGGCTGGCTCTGCTAGTGCTGTGACACGTGGGCTCATGGTAAGACACTGTAACTGAAGCCTTGCAAGGTCATGTGAGAGGGGAGGGAGGCATGATAACCCCTCCCTGTTTTTATGAGGCAAGAAGGTGGCTGATTCTGAGGGAAAAGGGAAGAAGTCTGGGTCATAGACCAGAGTTAACCTCCGTGGAAGACTCAGGATGGGTCCCTGTGATTACTGTTTTGCATTTCTGGACAATTTAACTAACTGGTCACACGTGAATATAAGCTCTGAGATAAAGACACTGGGCCCAAGTCACCAAACTTCCAAAAGTTTCATCACTTATTATTTTTATTTTTATTATATTTTTGAGATGGAGTCTCACTCTGTTGCCCAGGCTGAAGTACAGTGGTCACGATCTTGGCTCACTGCAACCTCCACCTCCTGGGTTCAAGCAATTCTGCTGCCTCAGCCTCCTGAATAGCTGGGATTACAGGCTAATTTTTGTATTTTTAGGAGAGATGGGGTTTCACTATGTTGGCCAGGCTGGCCTTGAACTCCTGACCTCGGGTGATCCACCTGCATTGGCCCAAAGTGCTGGGATTACCGGTGTAGTCCCAAAGTGTTGGGATTACAGGCATGAGCCACCATGTCCAACATTCATCACTTATTTTTTTTATATTTATTAATTTATTTATTTTGAGATGGTGTCTAGCTCTGTCTCCCAGGCTGGAGTGCAGTGGCACGATCTCGGCTCACTGCAACTTCCGCCTCCCAGGTTCAAGAGATTCCCTGCCTAAGCCTCCCAAGTAGCTGGGATTACAGGCGGCCGCCACCATGCCCAGCTAATTTTTATATTTTTAGTAGAGACAGAGTTTCACTGTGTTGGCCAGGCTGGTCTCGAACTCCTGACCTCATGATCAGCCTGCCTCAGCCTCCCAAAGTGCTGGGATTACAAGCGTGAGCCACTGTGCCCGGCCTCATCACTTATTATTAAGAAATGGAAAGACAGAAAGAGAGGGAAGGAAGAAACGAAAGAAGAAGGGGAAGAAGGAAGGAGAGGAGGGAGGGAGGGAGAGAAGGAAGGAAGGAAGGAAGGAAGGAAGGAAGGAAGGAAGGAAGGAAGGAAAAGAAAGAAATAGAGAAAGAAAAGAAAAGAAAGAGAAAGAAATAAAGAGAAAGAAAGAAAAGAGGAAGGAAGAAAGAAAAAGGGAAGGGAAGGAAGGAAGAAAAAGGGAAGGGGTGGGAAGGGAAGGGGAAGGAAGGAAAAAGAAAGAAAGAAAGAAAATTATTCTGACAAATATTGTTTTCTGAACAGCAAGCTCCATTCTGAAAGTGCTGCATTAAAGCCAGCCCGGAAGGACTGGACCCAGACCTTAGCTCCACCCCATGTAAGTCCACCCAGGCACATGCCCAGCTACTGCACCCTTTGGTTTTCTGCCATATCTGGTCATCTGATTGCATACCTTGAGAGCTGGACCCCTGGGATGGTTTGGCTCTGCCTTTTGGACACAAAGGCACTAGGCCAGGCACAGCATTTAATGGGCCTAGGAGATGCCTTCTTCCAGCAATGCTGGTAGGTAGCCTAATTTGGAGGAAGAATGGGAGCCCAGCCATATCCCAAAGACTAGAGATAGGCCCTGGGCCAGTCACCGCTCAGGCCTTGGATTTTGAAAACCCACCCTGCCCCTCCTTTCTCTTGGAGGGGAACTCCCCCCAAGGCTGGAAACTTAAAGAGTAGAGCTGGGGATTGTGAGGCTGGATGAATGACAGCCCTGGAACTGGGCCTGTGAGTCAGGAGACTCAGAGTGGGGCCCAACATTGTTGTGCTCAGTTGAGAATTATCATCTGACTCCTATACTGGGGATGCTGATAAGGCCCTTAACCTGCTGGTGGGAGTGGTGAGAGGCTTTCTGGACTGCTGATAATTTGGACAGAGGTATTAAATAATTGAATTATAAAATGCAGTTGATGATATAGATGCTAAAACACTTAATTTGTCTTTTTAAAGCAAGCTCCAACATCATTATTAAGTGGATTCTCTTCTGTCTGCTCCCCACCTTACACAGCTGGCTTGGAGATTTGACTCATCTTACACACTCTTTCTCAATCTGCCGTCAAGCTCTAATAGGGAGCATTTCTTTAACAGATACCAATGCAGCTAATACAATTAAAGTGTATTAGAAAAAAAAAAAACAACGAAAAACAAAAAACTCTTTTCTAAAGCCTGGGTGTGACCCATTTATTTAAGATAAGAGGGGGGTGCTCAACTTCTGTTGGCTTGGGGTGGAAGATGCAGGGTTTATATCAGTATGTCTCCTTGGGCAACTACTAAAAATCAGCTGTCTCCACCACCATCACCACCAAAGACGTAAAAACACACGAGAAACCCTGCCACATAGATTGCTTACAGGCTGGCCAGGCAGATAGATTCTTTTGTTTTGTTTTGTTTTGTTTTTGAGATGGAGTCTCGTTCTGTTGCCCAGGCTGTAGTGCAGTGGTGCGATCTCAGCTCACTGCAACCTCCGCCACCTGGGTTCAAGCAATTCTCCTGCTTCAGCCTCCTGAGTAGCTGGGATTACAGGCGTGTGCTACCATGCCCAGCAATTTTTGTATTTTTAGTAGAGACGGGGTTTCACCATGTTGGCCAGGCTGGTCTCAAACTCCTGACCTCGTGATCTGCCTGCCTTGGCCTCCCAAAGTGCTGGGATTACAGGTGTGAGCCATCACGCCCGGCCTAGATTCTAAGCAGTATCTTCAACTAGAGCTATTGTTAAACATTGCTTTTTTGTTTTGCTTGAGATAAAATCCTTTTATAAGTAATACCATAGTCATCAAAAGGCTAGAATAAAAAAAAATTAAGTCTCTGCTCACCGCGAATGTATTTCCAAGCAACATCCAAAGTAACAATCTTTTCTGCAACAATAATGTTGTGATGGTATAATACTTTCACCAGCCTTATCTACTCTGATCCTTATGATGACTCCCGTGAGGTAAATTAACCCAGTTTTACCGTTCTCACTTTCCAGCGTGGATCAAAACCATGCAATATGCTGATGAAACATGTGCCTTTAAAAAAAATAACTCCAGACATGGTACTGGGCTAGAAACTATGATAGAAGCAGAATGCCTGCCCATGTGACACATCAGAACTGCTCTTTTTTTTTTTTTTCTGAGATGGGGGTCTCACTCTGTCACCCAGGCTGAAGTGCAGTGGCACAGTCACCACTCACTGCAGCCTTGACCTCCTGGGCTAAAGCGATCCTCCCACCTCAGCCTAGCTGGGACTATAGGCACACACAACCATCCCTGGCTAATTTATTATTTTTTTTTTTTAGAGACAGAGTCTCACTATGTTGCCCAGGCTGGTCTCTAGCTCCTGGGCTCAATGGATCCTCCCGCCTTGGCCTCCCACAGTGTGGGATTACAGGTGTGAGTTACTGCACCTGGTCAGAACTACTCTTCTTGAACTGGGTCCTGTCATATCCGTCAGTCATAAGGTCAGATGGGCCCAGCAAAATTCATTATACAATAGAAGTGGTATACACTTGGAACTGAGCAAAGCAGGAAGAGGGCACAGCAGGCTACACAGCCGAGAGCTCAGACTCCTGGCACCCACCACTGTTACACTGGCACCCATCCCTCTTCTAACACCCATGGCTATATGGGCAATTCTTAACCAACAGCTAAAGGAGGATCAAAAAGCCCAAGCTTGCTTTATGGATGGGTTGGCTTGGTACTCGTGCGCAAGTTGAATGTTGATGACAGCCGCACTTAGTGTCACTCAGGCCTGACCTTGAAAAAGACAGGGGTAAGAGAAAATCTTCCCAGTGAACAGAGCTTTGAACAATGCACATGCCTATCCACTTTGTCTGGAAAGAGAAGTGGTTCAAGGTTAGAATATATATAGAATTGTGTACTGGAGTATAACTCAGTCAGAGGTTTGGGATTTTATTTTCCAAAAAATGACCTTTGCCCCCTGGGGCAGCTTCCCTTAGCCCCCGGACTGGCCTGTCTCCTCTCTGGGGCCCTTGCTGTACTCAGAGTGCCCCTCATAGGGTTAGGTGGCCCACTCTCTCTTTCTAGGGAGCTGATGGGCCACGATGGCCTAGAGTCCATAGCTTATATAGAGAACATGTCACAGATACTTTCTGAAACTCTATCTCCAGCTCTGGGTTAGGGCCCCTCCTGGCACAGACTTCTGAGAAGCCTGAACAAGGCCCTGTCATTTTCTATACCAGAATTAGTTAAGAATAATACAGATCTAATGCAAACATATTTAGGGGCATGTGGCAAGTAGGTTTAAATTTGCATTTATTTATTCATTTTTAATTGTAATTATTATCTTTTTAGATGGAGACTCACTCTGTTGCCCAGGCTGGAGTGCAGTGGTGTGATCTCAGCTCACCGCAGCCTCCTGCTCCCAGTTCAAGGGATTCTTGTGCCTCAGCCTCCCAAGTAACTGGGATTACAGGCGCCTGCCACCACACCTAGCTAATTTTTGTATTTTTAGTAGAGATGGGGGTTTCACCATGTTGGTGAGTCTGGTCTTGAACTCCTGTCCTCAAGTGATTCATCCACCTTGGCCTCCCAAAGTGCTGGGATTACAGGCGTGAGCCACTGTGCCTGGACTAACTTTGCATTTATAACAGTCTGGTTGAGCTTTGCAGGGAGAAGGAGAAGGAGATTTCTCAATTAGCCACTTGATTGGTGATATAACTTAAATATTTCAGATTGCAATTTAGCTCACAGTCAGATTAAGGGAGAATGAAAAACTATGCGGAGATCTTTCAAGAAATTTATTTAATCGACAAGCGCCATTTCTTTATCATGGAAAGACTGGCCTAGGAAAGCCCTGACCCTTTCCTCTTCTGGTTCTGCAGCTGCCTCAACATCACCAAGCTACCGGGAAAGCATAATATAAAAAAGGGCTCATACTGGAGGATGATGCCCTTGTTGCCATTAATTCTTATAAAATTAAACTGGCAAACAAACAGGCAAGAATCATGATCATGATGACAGTAGTAATATTTAAAGTAATACTATAAGGTAAAATTGTTATCTGTGGTTTTCAGCCTTTACTTTATATAAGAAACACTTGGGGAGATTTAAAAGGCACAAACACCTGGCCTCTATTCCCTGCGATTCAGATTAAATTGCTGTTGAGAGAGGAGCTAGGCATCTATGTTTTGTTTTTTGATTGATAAATAATAGTGTTAGCAGCAGATCCATACAGATCTGCAGCAACCTCAATTCTTTTTCTTTTCTTTTTTTTTTTGAGATGGAGTCTCACTCTGTTGCCCAGGCTGGAGGGCAGTGGCACTGTCTCAGCTCACTGCAACCTCCGCCTCCCAGGTTCAAGCAATTCCCTGACTCAGCCTCCTGAGTAGCTGGGATTACAGGCGCCCGCCACCACGCCCGGCTAATTTTTGTATTTTTAGTAGAGACAGGGTTTCACCATCTTGGTCAGGCTAGTCTTGAACTCCTGACCTTGTGATCCACCTGCCTCCGCTTCCCAAAGTGCTGGGATTACAGGTGTGAGCCACTGCGCCTGGCCAGCAACCTCAGTTCTTGCCTCCTCAGAAAAAAGAATTCAACCCAGGGGCATAAGGCAGAAGGAGAGACCCAGGCAAGTTATACAGAGGGAGTGAAAGTTTATCAAAAAGTTTTAGAGCAGGAATGAAGAAAATACAGTACACTTGGAAGAGGGCCAATTGGGTGACTTGAGAGATCAAGTGCGCAGTTTGACCTTCAACTTGGTGTTATGTATGTTGGCAGGCTTTCCGGGTTGTGTTACATCTCTTCTGATTCTTCCCTTGGGGTGGGCTGTCCGCATGTGCAGTGGCCTGCTAGCACTTGGGAGGGGCCACATGCACAGTGTGTTTACTGGCGTTGTGCATGTGCTCACTCGAGGCTCTCTTCCCTTACCAGTTGGGTGTTCTAGAAGGTCATATACCAGTTAAACTCTGCCATTTTGCCCCTGAGTGTGCATGCTTGAGCCCACTCGCCCACCTCCTGAGATCTTATCAGGAAGCTGCTGCTCACCAGTTTCAGGTGTTTTCTGTCTATTGGGAGACACTAGCTGCAACCAATTATTATTGATTTAGCCACCACCTGACCATCAACTGATGGTCACCTGACATTCCTGGTGCAGGGGGAAGTGAGGGGGCACCTTGTCCTGCCCTTCTCATGTCTGCCTAACTACCTACTGCTATAACAATAGTTGAATCGTTGTACATGTAATTTTGGGGACCATGTGATATTCTGATACCTGTACACAATGTATAATGAGCAAATCAGGGTATTTGGGATGTCTATCACTCAAATAGTTATCTTTTCTTTGGGTTGGGACCATTATAATTCTTCTATTTTGAAATATGTAATAAATTATAGTTAACTATAATCTCTCTACTGTACTATCAAGTACCAGAAGTTATTCCTCATAATTGTATATTTGTACCCCTTAACCATCTTCTCTTTATTTCCCCTCCCTACTTTCCTTTCCAGCCTCCGGTAACCATGATTCTACTCTCTACCTCTATCAGATCCACTTTTTTAGCCCTTACATATGAATGAAAATATGCAGTATTTGTCTTTCTGTGCCTGGCTTATTTTGCATAACATAATGACTTCCAGTTCCATCTGTGTTGCTGCAAGTGACAGGATTTCATTCTTTTTTATGGCTGAATAATATTTCCTTGTGCATATATGCCATATTTTCTTTATCCATTTATCCATTGATGGACACAGGTTGATTCCATATCTTGGCTCTTGTGAATAGTGCTGCAATAAATATGGGAGTGCACATATGACTTTGATATACTGATTTCCATTCTTTTGGATATATACCCAGCAGTGGGATTCCTGAATCATATGGTAATTCTATTTTTAGTTTTTTGAGAAATCTCCATACTGTTTTCTATATGGCTATATTACCACACATTCCCACCAACAGCGTACAAGGGTTCCTCTTTCTCCACATCCTTACCAGCATTTGCCACTGTTTCTTTTATTTATTTTTTAACTTTTCTTTATTTATTAATATTAATTATTTTTTTGACGGCTCTCACTCTGTAGCCCAGGATGGAGTGCAGTGGCACGAACATGGCTCACTGCGTCCTTGACCTCCCAGGCTCAAACCATTCTCCTGCCTCAGCCACCTGAGTAGCTGGGAATACAGGCACACACACCATGTCCTCCTAAGTTTTTGTAGAAACAGTGTTTTGTCATATTGCCCAGGGTGGTCTTGAACTCCTGGACTCAAGTGATCCACCCACCTCGGCCTCCCAAAGTGTTGGGATTACAGGTGTGAGCCACCATACCTGGAATATTTTATTCTTTTAGAGACAGGGTCTACCTCTGTTGCAAGGCTGGAGTGCATTAATGCAATCATAGCTGACTGCAGCCGCAAACTCCTGGCCTCAAGTGATCCTCCTGCCTTGACCTCCCAAAGCACTGGGATTACAGATGTGAGATACCATGCCAGGCCTATTTTTTGTCTTTTTGATAATAGCCATTCTAACTGGAATGAAATTATATCTCATTGTGGTTTTGATTTGCATTTCCCTAATGATTGATGTTGGGCATTATACCTGTTGGCCATTTGTATATCTTCTTTTGAGAAATGTCTATTCAGGTCTTTTGCCCATTTTCAAATTGGATTATTTGTCTTTTGCTATTGAGTTGTTTGAGTTCCTTCTATATTCTGGTTACAAATCCCTTGTCGGGTGGATAGTTTACAAATATTTTTCTCCCATTCTGTAGGTTGTCTTTTTGCTTTGTTGATTGTTTCCATTGTTGTGCAGAAGCTTTTTAGCTTGATGTAATCTCATTTGGCCATTTTTGCTTTTATTGCCTGTGCTTCTGAGGCCTTATGCAGATAAATCTTTGCTCAAACCGATGTCCTGTACCATCTCCCCAGTGTTTTTCTTTTAGTTGTTTTATAGTTTAAGGTCTTACACTTAAGTCTTTAATCCATTTTGAGTTGATTTTTGTATATGGTAAAAATGAGGATCTAGTTTCATTATTCTGCATATGGATATCCAGTTTTCCCAAAACCATTTATTAATGAGGCCATTCTTTCTCCAATGTTCTTGGGGTTTTTGTCAAAAATGAGTTGGCTGTAAGTGCATGGATTTATTTCTGGGTTCTCTATTCTGTTCCATTGGTCTATGTGTCTGTTTTTATGCCAGGACCATGCTGTTCTGGTTACTAGAAGGTTTCTGTCTTTTTAAAAAGCCCACAGAAAATTTAATGTGCAGTCTAGGTGGGAAACCACTGAACCAGACCTTTACCTATTACTAGGTGATTCCTGTCCCCATAGAAGAAAATACACTTGTTGTGACTGGGGATGAGGTGGGAGGCAAAGATACAAAAACCACCAGAAACAGGCTCTACAGAAACCAGATAAATGAAGGCATATTTTCAATGATACCCCGTGAGTCTCTATATTCAACAAAGATCCTGTGAACCTTTCAACACACACTATTGTATAAAATCCACATTTCAAGCATTAATGTCAAATTGTTTATTAATAGACTGTAAAAGTAAGGATATTGTTTTAAAAATTTCTTTGATTTGAGTTTCTTAAATGGGCAAGAAAATTTCCTATTAGAGCTTTGTTCTGTTTCTTACATCAATGAGTTATTTAACTGAAATTCTTTTTTATCTTTAAAATGGAGATAATGATTATTTTAATAACTTGAAAGTAGTTGTGAGGCCAAATTAGACAAAAGCACTTTTCAAAGAGCTAAACATTTATATATAGTACTATTATTATTTACTATTATTTCATTACATTTTCATTCCACATATGACTTGACTCAGTGGGCCTTAGTCTTGTTTTTCAAAAGGAGAATTTGGGAAATTACTCTGGTTATTATAATCTATCTTCTTAATGTCCTTATTTTTATTTTGGTTAGCATCCTTAGTAGCAAAAAACTAGCAGAAGTGCTAAATAGGTGACCCCCACCAAGTGACTCACAAAGGCAAAGTATTATAAAGGGTTCTTCTCTCCTAGGTTATTTAATAGTACTTTTTCTGACCCTATCTCTACTCTCATACTATGAAAATACTCATTTGAAGGCCCAAGGAAAAGCCAGTGATTTTAGTACACATGATCACAACAACAGAGCTGTCCACAAAGGGCTGTTGTCAGCACAGAGTGAGAAGGTGAATACGAAAACACTTGGTAAACTATGAGGTGCTGGGCATGGTGGCAATGGTGGTGGTGGTGATGATGGAGATGATGATGTTAATGACAATGACACACACCAGTTTGCTAATCCTGCATAAATATGTAGGAACATGAACTACTGGTCCCCACTAGACTAATAGGTGTACCAAGGAGATAGGACAGCCTCAGTAAAAAGGATAAATCCTGTGGAGTGAAGCCAAGGACTGACCAGCTATGACGATGATAGTTCTAGGTCTCCACCCCATCCCTCTCCAACCTAGGAAATGCCAAACAACTTCTATAGCAGTCTTCATTGGGTTTTCTTCTGCATGTTACTATTTTTTTTTTTTTTTTTGAGCTGGAGTCTTGCTCTGTCACCAGGCTGGAGTGCAGTGGTGCGATCTTGGCTCATTGCAACCTCCGCCTCCCGGGTTCTAGCAATTCTCCTGCCTCAGGCTCCATAGTAGCTGAGATTACAGGCATGTGCCACCACGCCTGGCTAATTTTTTGTATTTTTAGTAGAGACAGGGTTTCACCATGTTGGCCAGGATGGTCTCGATCTCCTGACCGAGTGATCCTCCCGCCTCGGCTTCCCAAAGTTTTGGGATTACAGGCGTGAGCCACCGGGCCTGGCCTGCATGTTTCTTCTTAGCTAGTTCACTCGAAGCTTCATTATACATGCCTCTTGCTTAACTAAGCTCCTCCTCTCACACCATCTGGGCAGGTTCCACCCTGGAGACCTTAGGATGGGACGCAAACATTGTCAAAGGGCGGAGTGCAGGAAGGCAGGGGCGGCGGCGAAGGTCTGTTTACTGATCCTCTGGAAAGGTTCATGAATTACTTGTTCTTACCACCGACTGACTGCTCATTCTCTCACAGCTAAGCGCTCATAAAAGAGCCACACTTTTGAGAGGAAATCTGTGAGCTAAGACTAAAAGCCAGGATGCTTGTTCTGAGTCAGAAACTTTCAATGTGACTGCAAGAAAGTTAGTCTTAGGTTTCTCGCTTGGTAAATGGGAATGACAGTACCTACCTTTCAGAAGTTATAACCTAGAAGTTCATAGGTTGAAATTTTGTTTACAGTTGTATTTTAAGATTTAAAAAAAAAATGCTTTAAGCAGGACATATATTCAGACAGTCCTCATCATTCACTCCCTGTTGTTTTCCCAAAGTATTATCTAACTCAAAGCTTTAGTGAGGGGATACCTTGAGGTAATAAATGGAATGCCCAGGGGTTCATTCATTCCTTTAGCAAACATTTCACTGCTTACTAAATCCCAGAACCTAACCCAGCAAGGGCCCGGGGTTGCGGGGAGGAATGAGATGCCGTGGCCACCCTGGGGGAGTTTCCAGTTTTGTGGGGAAGGCAGACACAGAAAAGCACTGGAAATAGCAAACTAACGCAGGAACAGAAAACCAAACACCTCATGTTCTCACTAATAATTAGGAGCTAAATGATGAGAATTCATGAACGCAAAGAGGGGAACAATAGACACTGGGGTCTACTAGAGGGTGGAGGGTGGGAGGAGGGAGAGGAGCGGAAAAGATAACTATCGGGTACAGGGTTTAATACTGGGTGGTGAAATAACCTGTACAACAAACCCCCATGCCACGAGTTTAGTTATATAACAAACCTTCACATGTACCCCTGAACCTAAAATAAAACTTAAGAAGAAAAGTACATGCAGTTACCCCGAGTGCTCAGAGAAGGCAGCTGCAATTCCATTTTGGTGTGAAGATTTAAATGACTTCATAGGGGAACAGGAGTGGGAAAAATGGAAAAAATTGGGTTACAAACTAAACCAATGTGAAAGATTTATTAACCTTCCAAAGAAGTTCACTTGTTTTTTTTTTTTTTTTTTTGCAAATATAAGAAGTATCATTATCTCTTTTTTAAATATGGGGAAAGATGGTACTAAAATGATGTGAACTATATATAGGGTCAAGACAAAGAACATCTTGGCAGCCTAACTCCTAGCGAATGCTCTTTAAACAGTGCTCCTCAATTCTTGCACCTGCCTAAAAGTTGCCTTAACTTCTTCACCTCTTCTCTCTCTCACATTTGTATATCACCCTTCTCCGGGAATTTTTTTTTTTTTTTTTTTTTTTTTGAGACAGTCTTGCTCTGTCACTCAGGCTGGAGTGCAGTGGCATGATCATGACTCACTGCAGCCTCAAACTCCTGAGCTCAAGTGATCCTCCCACCTCAGCCTCTTGGGTAGCTGGAACTACAGGTGTGTGTCACTATGTTCAGCTAATTTGTTTTTGTTGTTTTGTAGAGATGGGTCTCACTATGTTGCCCAGGCTGGTCTCAAGTTGTCTCAACTCCTGGCTCAAGTGATCCTCCCACCTCGGCCTCCCAAAGTTTTGGGATTATAGGTATGAGCTGCTATGCCCAGCTTCCTCTCTTTTTTTTCCCCATGCAGATGTGGCCCAAGTTCTGCCTTCTTTCTCCCAACTCCATCACCTTCCTTTGACTCCCTCTGGGTATTCCTTTCAGGCTAAGCAGGTGGCTGGCTGTGAAATCAGGGAAAATAGTCACTCTCTCTAGCATCACAGCTTGTGGGGGCCTATGGCCATCCCACGCTGGTCTTATCTTTGAGGATTCTTCTGAGAAGTCCCATAGCTTCAGTAGCAGGTTTGAATGACTGAGGGGACGATTCTTTTGTTTCTTTAGGTCTCAGTGGCTCCTCTCTCTAAAGAACTTACATTGGATTGAGAAAGCAGAATCATCTCTATCTTGAGTGACCATTCCCGACTCTAGAGGGGACTTGATGTCATTCCTTCTTCTTCCTTTTTTTTTCATCAGAGTCTGGCTCTGTTGCCCAGGCTGGAGTGCAATGGCGCTATCTCGGCTCACTACAACCTATGCCTCCCGGGTTCAAGCAATTCTTGTGCCTCAGCCTCCAGAGTAGCTGGGATTACAGGTGTGTGCCACCATGCCCAGCTAATTTTTGTATTTTTAGTAGAGACAGGGTTTCACCGTGTTGGCCAGGCTAGTCTCAAACTCCTGACCTCAAGTGATTCTCCCTCCTCAGCCTCCCAAACTGTTGGGATTACAGGTGTGAGCCACCGTGCCCGGCCTCATTCCTGCTTCTCGAGGGAGACTTTCAATATACTCTGCACAAGCTTCCCATCCGATTTGCATATCACTCCTGAAAATTGGCTCCTAAAAGAAGCCAGCCAGTCATGTTGCGTGGTGTTTTTTCTGCATGGTCTAGCATGCCAAGTAGCAAGCTATACCTGCAGGCCAAATCTGGCCCACTGCCTGTTATGATGCAACCCATGAGCTTTGAATGGTTTTTACCTTTTGAAATGGTTGAAAATAATCAAAACAACTATAGTATTTAATGATGTGAAAATTATATAAATTCAAATTTCAGTGTTCCTAAAGTTTTGAATGTCATCAATAAAAGTTTGTGGAAATTTCTTTTCTCCTTTGCTATATAAGTATTTAAAGAATCTCTTTGAGTTTGTTTCTTTTCTTTTTTTTTTTTTTTTTTTTGAGACGGAGTTTCCACTCTTGTTGCCCAGGCTAGAGTGCAATGGCACGATCTCGGCTCACCGCAACCTCCGCCTCCTGGGTTCAAGCGATTCTCCTGCCTCAGCCTTCCAAGTAGCTGGGATTATAGGCATGTGCCACTATGCATGTATTTTTAGTAGAGATGGGGTTTCTCCATGTTGGTTAGGCTGTTCTCGAACTCCCGATCTCAGGTGATCTGCCCGCCTCGACCTCCCAAAGTGCTGGAATTACAGGCGTGAGCCACCACACCTTGCCTTGATTTTGTTTCTTAGCCTTTAAGGCCTAAAATATTTATTATCTGATTCTTTTTTTTTTTTTTTTTTTTTTGAGATGGAGTCTCGCTGTGTCTCGCCCAGGCTGGAGTGCAGTGGTGTGATCTCAGCTCATTGCAACCTCTGCCTCCTGGGTTCAAGCAATTCTCCTGTCTCAGCCTCCAGAGTAGCTGGGACTACAGGCATGTGCCACCACAGCTGGCTAATTTTGTATTTTTATAAAAATACTAGAGAAGGGGTTTCACCATTTTGGCCAGGCTGGTCTCGAACTCCTGACCTCAGGTGATCCACCCACCTTGGCCTCCCAAAGTGCTGGGATTACAGGCCTGAGCCACCGTGCCCAGCTATTATCTGATTCTTTATAGAAAATGTTTGTCAGCTCTGTCCTTTTTCCATTTCCTTCTCATTCCTCTTTTTCCAGGAAGGAGTTGAGCTTCAGCGGAAGAAGTTTATAAAACCTGCCTGAATGCCCTAAAAACTCCCCATTCTCTTCATGTGCTCCTAAATCCAAAATGTCTTTCTTCAGAAGGCTGAATCAGATGTGAAGGCTCTCTTCGACACTCTAGACCAGTGCTGCCCAATAGAACGTTGTGCAGTGATGGGAATGTTCTAGAATTGCTGCTGTTCAGTGTGGTAGCCACTAGCCACATGAGGGTATTGTGCATTTGAAAGGTGGCCAGTGTGACTGAGGAACTGAATTTTCAATTTCATTTAATTTTAATTAACTTAAATAGCCACATCTGTCTAGAAGCTAGTTTATTAGACAACATTACTTGTTCAGAGAACCTGAACAAGTGTCAGACTAATTCAAGAGGGAAGTAAGAGAAATTTTGGTGGTCAGCAATCTGAGTTCCTACAGAGAACCCTGATTTTTATACTGACTAGTTTTTAAGTTTGATTTGCTTATTTTGATTCTAATCAGCTTAGCAAACATTTATTGAGTACCTACTATGTTCCAGACATTCGCCCAACATTTACATATTAATGGTAGCATAGGTTCCTGATGTCAAGAGCTCTGAGTCTAGAAGTGAGATAACAAATTAGGCACTTATTCTCCAAAGCAGGAGTAGTGTTTCCTCAAGTGCCACAGCTTTTCTTGTTCTTCTCTCTCTTTTTTGTTTTTTTTTGTAGAGCCGGGGTCTTTATCTCATGCTCAGGCTGGAGCGCAGTGGCTCCTTCTAGGCTCACTGCATGCAATCTCAACATCTGGGGCTCAAGCTGTCCTCCCACTCAGGCTCCCAAGAAGCTGGGACCACAGGTGCGTACCACCACACCCGGCTAATTTTGTTTATGTTTTGTAGAGACAAGATTTCACATGTTGTCAAGACTGGCCTCAAACTCCTGGGCTCAAGCAATGTTCCTGCCTTGGCCTTCCAAAGTGCTGGGATTATAGGCACAAACCACTGCACCCAGCCTAGTCCCACAACTTTCTTCTCAGTGGCTGTACTGTCTCTTCACAATGGCGGTCTTACCCCTTGCTTGAACCTTCACTTTCTCAATTCTGGAAACTTCTACATTGCTCAGTGCTTCTTCCACATCTTGTAGATTCCTTATGCTTGGCGTTGGAAACTTCTTCCTCTAACAGTGGAGATTTTTCTTCAGAGAACCACTCCACCTGCCTGTTACTGGCTGATACATCTCTGACCAAAACAACTGTATACAGGACTAAACCTCAGTTCTTCAGGGTCAGGGTAGGAAGTCAGAGGTAAGAGATCCATAAATCTGTACTGCCCCCAAGCCACAAGCTGTCTCTTTGGATTAGCATAGAGTAGCAAATGGCCATGGGGCATGTCCGTTGGGTCACCTGAGTCTTGTGGAACTGGATTAGTGACATAACTGTGTTAGGCCCTGCTGCAGACAGTGATCTCTCTGGAAGGACATGAGGTGGTGTGAGAAGTCACACAACTCATTGTGAGACCACAGGGGCAGATAACGCCTCATCTGCCTTCATCACAATGCTTGAACCTTAATCCTTTGATGATAGCTTTGCCACATAACTTTTTTAAATCTCTGGACATTTTTCCAAACTCTGTTGAATTTCATTTTGCTGACTTCATCTCATCCTGTGTGTTCCAGGTACTGGTGTCTGGTAATTCTATTATAGCAAACTTTCTCTTGAGGGTTTTGGGGAAAAGAATGAGACATTCTTCATATTGACTCTGTTTAGAGGGAGATAGGGCAGGAGTCCAGGAGTGCAAATGGATAGACAGACACAAGAGAATGCTTTGCCTTTGAGCAGATCCCAGAGCGTCATGGGCATCCGTTGGGGATGGAGCTTGACCAGAAGCCTGGTAAAGACTTATCCCCTCCCTAACCCCTACCCAGGGTCACTGCAGAGTGAAATTCTGGCCCATGGTCTGTCTCCCACGTGGTCAGCATGGCCTCTGTGGCAGACTGCTCTGGCTTTGCAGGTGCAAGATTTCCCGTGAGGCCATGCTGGAGAGCATCACCAGAAACAATTAAAAACACCCTCAGCCTATTGTCATGGTCACTTGTGAAGCCAAATGCAGAAGGAATGTGAGGGGGTAAAGTTTGGAGGGGGGCAGGGAGTGAGTGGGAAAGAAAGAATATGAAAGATGTCATCTGGGTGAGTTTGGGCCCATTCACAAGAATGCAGCAAAGTGCAGAGAGGTGGGGGTGTCTGCATGAACCTGAAATGGGGTCAGATGACTGTTAATTTATTCTACATCAGAATTTCCCCATCCAATCAGTGACCTTCCAAAGGAAAAGGCTATAGTTTTGTTGAGTGTATTTTCAATGTATTGTATATGTGTTTTTAAAGCTAAATGTGTGTGTGTGTGTATTTTTAAAATCAATTTTTAAATGTAATATGAATCTTTGCTAAGTTCATATCCTGAGTACTCTAGGGTAGAATAAATTTAGTAGGTTTTTATTAGTACAGTAATAAGGGTGAATAGCTGAAAATGAATGCTTGAGGTTTGGAAGGTTGTATCCTCTCCTGAGTTTCTGGAACATTCTATTACAAGATTATTACAACCATTACTTTGGTTCCAACTTCCTAAGAGCCAATGGTTGAAGAACTTGGGCTCTTTCACCTTGGGCAGGCTAAGGGATGACCGAATTTCATGAAGAAATATAAATAACAATAACACATGGCTTCAGATTTGCTCAGGCCAAATCAAGAATAAATGAGCTGAAATAGCAGCAGAGAGAATTTTGGTTAAAACAAAACAAAACTCACAGACACATACATTGTGTCTTTTACTGCTCCAGTGCTGGCAGACTCTGTGGGTGAATCCAGTTTTTTGAGAGGGAAAAAAATCTGTGAAGATATGAGCAGAGGCAGGTAAGCAGACTGAATTCCCAAGATCCAGCCGATGCTGTTTCTAGGAGGCTCCTCCTTTCCCTTTCTGACCTTACCTAGCCAGAGTTGAAGCTGCACCTTCTTAGAGCAAATACCAGCAAAGCTCCACCTAACAGGCTTCCCAAAAGAGTACCCTGGACAGAATACCCCAGCCCATAGCCCAAGTTCCATTTGACTTAAGGCACCCTGGACTTCCCTCAAAGTAGTATGTGCTTAGAAGACACTTTCTCCCCATAGACAACAGAAGTCCTCAGTGCCCTACAAACATGTGAAGAATGTCAGGAGTCCATCATGTGTCATGGGCTGAGCCTCCAGAGAACTATGTTCTACCCTGGTTATGTTGTGAACTGGTCATCAAGCAAGGGTGGGTAGCCTATCCTGTTTGGGCCTTGCTATCATCACCTGTATCATGAGGGATATTTGACTAGATAATCTCTAAGATCCTTCCCAGCACTGACATTTTATAATTCTCCTGTAATGTGTGCTTTCCCTGTTCTACACTTAAGTTTCCAAACAGGGTCACATTAACAATGATCATTGCTGTCCGATGGGCTCCTGCATCCTCCACCCTCTCTGTGAGATCTCTCCTTTAGGTTTCATCAGGAATCCTCAGGAATCTTTTGCATGTGCCCACATGATCCCGCATGGACTCTGCCCCATGAGGGTGCTGATGTCTGCCAACGCTGCTGCCACCATGTCCCCAAAGATATAGATAGTTACAGTCTCAGAAGAATTCAAGATCCCCCAAATGCTGCAGGATTAGCACAGAAGCAGACAGAATATTGCTCCTTCCCACTTTAGCTACCTTTTCTCCCCCGGCATCAGATTGTGCTGTTCACATCTCCCCTAGCTTCTGAAAACTGGCTATTGCAGCTTCAGTGTACAGTTTCTTTTTACCTGGAGCCAAGGGAGGAGCCCGCTGATGTCTGAAGTACCCAAGCCGGCTCCACTCCAGGGTATAGACTCCCACCACCAAAATCCCCTTCCAAAGTGACCCTTGCCCCGCCTTTCTGTGACACACACGCAGACAGGTCTGAATTGCTGAAATGAACGCTATTTAGGCTGAACTGGGGGCCCTGATATGCTATTTAAAGAAAAAAGAAATGAGAAATCATAGGAATCTTGAAGCTATTCATCTTGAAGACCATTCACGGAAGCAGTGAAATTAAACATAGCATCCTTCAATATATTCCCTCCAAACATAAACTTGGGCTATTGTTCCTTCATAATGCCAGTTTACCTCTGGGAGTTTGAGAGGCGGGTACTCATGTCCTCTCAGCACAATCACCAAAGCACTGCACCAGGTATCAGGAGGAAACAAGAACAAATCTATTGTCAGGAAGCCTGAGGGTTGACCCAAACACAGCAGAGCTATGGAAAATTATTTTGGAAACTATTTCTTACATAGCTGCCTGCAGTTGTTCAACCTGATTCTTAGACTGGACTGGAAGAGGAAAACCACTCATCATCTGAGAAGCCTTCGTGTTGCTATTTTATTAAGGACAGAAACATAAAGAGAAAAAAATCCATGGTTCTGCCTCACTTTCTGCTCCCTCCTTGACTTTTCTCTCCAAGTCTCAAGTACTCTTTATGCTCTGTGGGCAGTCGTCAATAGGAAAAAAGACTGATTTGATTTAAACCCACACCTTACTTTTAAGGAGCTCTTTCCTGCTCACCTGCTCATTTGATTAACTGGGGGCACAAAGAGGGTAGGAAATCCAAGAGGCAAAAGTAAGGGACCCCAAATGATGCATGCAGAATCTTTAGTGGTGAACTGTTGGGCTAGAAAAGTTGTCACCGTGGAATCTAAAATGGGTCCTGTTGTTTGTAAGATCCTTTAACCATCCTACTTCTCTTAATAACCATGTGGGCTATCCCAAAGTAGATTCTGGTACCCTATTAGAAGACACAGAGGGTATTATGGATGTGTGTTTAAGCCACAGTTTGAGCAAGATTGCATTTCTGTAGAATCATGATCTATGAAAACTTTCTGGCTGAACTGTTCATGTTACTAGTAAATCAATTTCATCAATTTCATTTTAAGAGAGTGTAGGAGAAGCTGTGGAGGAATCCTGCCAATGGCAAGAGTGAAGATGAAGCTCTATATGAAATGAGGAAAGGGGCAGACCTGCCACCGCAGAGCTAGCCCATTCTTATGGATGAAAGCCAGCTTCTGGGCCTTATTCATTCATTCACCTTTCATTTATTTGCCCATCCATCCACTCCACACATATTTCTGGAGCCCCTACTAAATGCTAAGCACTGCAAGTCTTAGGGACAGGTCAGTGAACAAAATAGACAAGCTTGCTGTCTTCTTGGAGCCTGCAGCCTGGAAAGGGAGTCAGACTAATATGACACAAATAAATTATGCAATTTTGATCATGGTAAGTGTTAGGAAGGAAGAACATAGGGTGCTATGAAAGCAAATAGGAAGAATGGTGAAGGGTCAGAAAAGTTTCCATGAGGAAAGCTGAAGGGTTAGCCAGATGAAGGAGAGGGGAGCCTGGGGAAATGATTTAAGCAGGAAATGATCCATGACTGAAGGGAGAGGCAGACAAATATATGTGTTGTGTGTGTGCGTGCGTGTGTTTGTGTATATGAATCTCAATGAAATGAAATCATCAGTAAGAAGCAAGTAGGCAAAACTCAGTGAAAAGAAGGGAAAACAAAATACAAATCAACCCCAGTAGGGCAAGAATATGCTCCTAAAAGTTGCCAACTGTGGTGGCAGGAGAGTGAGTGCAGGGTGCCCTCCACTCAGGCTAGCTTCCATCCCTCCCACATTGAAAGCAAAAGGCACGTCGTGGAAGGATGACATTGTCTTTCATTACTGAATCTCCAAATGGCTCACTGAGTCAGATGGATGCTGTGAGTTCTTTATACATTTGATATGTTTATCAATGAGTAGAATGGCAAAGTTGGAGGTGGATATGAAACTAAAATTACTGAACATCAATGTTGAGGCAGGCAATGGCTAGGCACTTTGTGGCCATTATTTCATTTAACATTTAAATAGTCCTGCCAGGTGGATACTACACATTTTATAATCAAGAGAGGAACAGTAGTTCTGGGAAGGTGACTAAAAATGAATGAAGATCAACCCACTTAAGTTGGTCTGGCTTCCATGTCGTGGAATTTCTGCAGTGCCACTCTGCTTTGCAAGCTTAGGAGACCCCTGTTATGGTTTGAATGTTCATCCCCTCAAAACTCCTGTTGAAACTTAGTCCCCAATTTAGCAGTATTGAGAGGTGAAGCCTTTAAGAGGTGATTGGGTAATGATGGCTCTCCACTCATGAATGAATTAATCCATGTATGGATTAATGGAATAATGGGTTATCATGGGAGTGGCACTAGTGGCTTTAGAAGAGGAGAAATAGGCCAGGTGCTGTGGCTGACTCTTGTAATCTCAGCATTTTGGGGGACTGAGGCGGGAGGATTGCTTGAGGTCAGGAGGTTGATACCAGCCTGGGCAACATAGAAAGACCCCATCTCTACAAATAAAAACTTTAAAATTAAAAAAATAAAAAGTGGAGAAAGAGAGACCTGAGCAAGCACACTCAGTCCCCTCAGCATGTGATGCTCTACACCAGGCTGGGACTCTTTAGAGGGATCCTCTCCAGCAAGAGGGCCCTTGTGGAATCCTGAGCCATACCCTTAGACTTCTCAGCCTTCAGAATTATAAGAAATAAATCTCTTTTCTTTATAAATAACCCAGTTTCAGGTATTCTGTTATAAGCAACAGAAAATAGATTACAGCAAACCCATAGAACTCATTTGGTCCCAGTCAATGTCCTCCTCCAGAAAATAACAGAAAATAAAAAATAACAAAAAAACCCAGAAAATAACAAATTTTCTGGAGGAGGACATAGAGGCTTACAAAGTTTAAGGGATTCATGTAAGCCTGGAATTATGGCAAATGTAAAGTAGACCTCTGTTTTCACATTACTAATCCACACATCTTTCCTGTTTCTTACTGTTTTATAAATCTAGTAAAAACACATACTTACCTGTGAATTATTAGTTTGCCAAAAGTACATATACATTCATTATTTTTCTTGACTTATACCATTTTTTCTTGAGTTATCCCTGAAAACTTCAGAGTTGAAATATGTAGTGGGAACATCTTTTCAAAAAACAAAAACCCTACTATAAAATATATTTTGTAATGAGGCAATCATACTTTTATTATTTTTCTATTTTGAACTTTCTTAAAGCAGGAGATGTTTGTGTTGGACAACCAACTTGTGTTGTGCCTTTTATATAATATTCTATATTATATTATATTATATTATATTATATTATATTATATTATAGGAAAGGAAAAACAAAGAAGGAAAAACAAAATACAAATCAACCACAGTAGAGCAAGAATATGCTCCTAAAAGTTGCCAACTGTGGTGGCAGGAGAGTGAGTGCAGGGTGCCCTCTACTCAGGCTAACAAGAGTTTTGAGGGGATGAACATTCAAACCACAGCAGGTGTCTCCTAAGCTTGCAAAGCAGAGTGGCAATGCAGAAATTCCATGACATGGAAGCCAGACCAACTTGAGTGGGTTGATCTTCATTCATCTTTAATCACGTTCCCAGAACTACTGTTCCTCTCTTGATTATAAAATGTGTAGTATCCACCTGGCAGGACTATTTAAATGTTAAATGAAATAATAATATTCTATATTATGTTATATATAAAATTATATATATTCTATATTATATTATATAAAAGTTGGTTGTCCAACATAAGCATCTCCTGCTTTAGGAAAAGAGGAATATAATATTCATCTAATAAAATGGAAAGTCCTAAATAAAGTATGTTTACTTTGTTAGCTTCTCTAATAAAATCTCAAATCCAGAATAATATCTTGGTCCATACATCAAGTCGGTGAAATAATACCATAGAATCAGAAAATAGAAAATGGTAACCAGTGCTCCATTAGGGAAGAATTCTACATTTGCGATCACAGAGTCGCTTCTAATTAATTGGTTTTGACTTTAGACATATTGTTTCACTCTTCTGGCCTCAGATTCTACATCTGGAAGATGAAGGGGTTATAGCTGATGGTCTCTGTACATTCCCCTCTAGCTTTCAAGTTCAGTAAGATAATGGGTCTTGAAGGTATATTTACAACCAGCCCATCCTTTCCTTCTTGGTCAATAATCCCCAGCTGTCATTCTCACCTGCTAGTTGTCCCTTAACTTCAATTTCCCACTCTTCCCTATAGGATCTTAGAAATACTAAAGGGAACATCTAATATTCACAATTCCTGGGCCTGAGCACCCCCTGGGCACACAGAGATAAACTGCTATAGCCCTGGAAGAAATCAGGGCTCTGGGAAGCCGGGGTCTAACTAAAGTTAGCACCAAATCCCTGAACTTCCCTGTGTGTACTATGAGACAAGAACTGTGGGACTTTCCTGACTTGGGCAGGAAAGGAGCTTGGAAGAATGAGAGGGACTGGGTGGCAAGCTCTATCATCAAACAGGCGCTGCAGGGGCTCTGCAGGGCTGTCCCCAGACAGGTACATTTGGAAGGGAGGGAGATGAGGTAGGGACTTGGCAGATGCCCAGTGGGTGTAAGTCAGTGGCCACACAGTGAGTGTACAGGGGCTAAAGGGCAGCCACTTGAAAAAATGTGCTGTTCAACTGAATAAGTTCACAAGGAACAATCCAAAGATTACTAAATATCAATTATTTGTGTTGCCTGAATTGTCCTCCAATCCCAATAAATATCATGCGTGCATTTCAACAGGGATTTTATCTTCGTGTATTTACCATTTTTGATGCTTTCTTTCATTTCTTTTACTGGTTTGTATACACACCTTCTGCGTTTGTAGGCCATATAACCATTATTTTAAGCCTTTTAGGATATGGCTGTCCTGTAGTGAGGCACTTTTTGTAGAGTATGTGCATGAGCCTGCGTATGTGTGTGGTGTGTGTGCGCTGCGTATGTTTGTGTCTGTGTGTGTATATGTGTGTGTGGTGTACGTAAGTGTCTTCATGTGTTTCCGTGTATGGTGTATGTGTTGCACGTGGTGATGTGTTGGGTGTGCACGTTTGTGTGTGCATATGTGTGGTATATGGTGTTTCTCTGGGTCTTTGCATGGTGTGTCTCTCTGTGTATTTGTGTTACATATGTTTGTGGCTCTGTGGGTGTTTATTGGGTTGTGTATGTGTGTAGTGTGTATGTTTGTGTGTGTTGTATGTGTGGTGTGTGTGTCTCTCTGTGTTTGTGTGTGGTGTGTATATTTGTATCTGTGTGTATGTGTGATGTGTCTCTCTGCGTGTGGTCTATTTGTGTGTGTATTTGTGCTGTGTATATTTGCAACTCTGTGGGTGTTTATGTGGGCTGTGCATGTGTGTAGTGTGCATGTTTGTGTCTGTGTGTGTGTGATGTATGTGTCTGTGTGTGCTGTGTCTATCTGTGTGTGTATTTGTGCTATGTATGTGTGTGGCTTTGTGGGTTGTATATGTGTATGAGTTAACTCCTGTGTGCAGACTGCAGCCCCTCAGGCCTAGACTCTGGGCTCTTCTCTCAGGCCTTAGCATCTATGCCAGGCAACTGAGATTTCTCAGGCACTCCTGGGAACTGTGCCTCATGTCCCAGAGAGCGTGTGGAAAGCACTCTCTGCGGCAGGTGTCTGACAGCCTGCAGGGTTGCTATGTGCCTAGGGTGTGGCACACAACCCCTCTGCGGAGGATGAGTGCCTGTGGTTATCAGCAGAGTCAGTGCACTGAAGAGGCCATTATCACGGGCACCGGAGTGCATGAATCATGGGGTATGTCATTTTCTATTTTAGGAAGAAAAAGAAAACATCTCGAGCGAATCAATCAATTCTCATTAGGCCCATTCATAGCCACATTGCCTGGTCCTCTTTCAGGGGCTGGAAGAAGTGGCCCACATCCAAATCCACCATTCAATCCGTAGGCCTTTGCCCCATATTCCGGCCCCATTTCCTTGCTTGATGTGTGCACACAGCTCTGCCTCATGCTGTGAGTGTGCATACCTCCTCCGTGTCCCTCAGTCAGCCTCCTGCCTCCTGACTTGGGTCGCACTCAGGAGGTAAAGACACTTTCTCTAGGCCACAGCATTCTAAGTTGGTGTAATTTTCTGTTTAAACTCATGATGAATGAACTCTAACATTCATTCAGTAGGTGTGGCCACATGCAGAGTTAGGCATTCAAGATGCAGGGAGGATTAGAAAAAATGGTAGTTAAGGGCATAGACTTTGATTAAGATAGAACCTGTTTACATTGCTTCTTCACCCCTTCCTCTGTGACCCGGGGCAGACAAGGTAACTTCCTGAAGGCTCTGCTTCCTCATTTGTGAAATGGGCACTTACCTAACTGTGGTGCTGTGAGGCCAATGACAGCTGAAAGTGCCAGCTGTGGTGTGGATGGTCACTCAACCTTCATTCCTGCCTCTTGCTGGGTGAAGTTGGAAAGCTGAGCACCATGATTCCAAGGCTCCTTTGCAGTCGGGGTTCTAGAAGCAAGCTGTCTTCTGCCAAGTAGAGGCACTCAGTGCAAGATGTGCAAAGCAGAAGCTGCACCCCTTTGTAGCCATTTTGCTGGCCAGCAAAGCTGGGGAAATAGGAGGTTTTTCTGCATCAGAGTTCCAGAGTCCATTCTCCAGCTTCTTGGGTATCGAGAGGCAGGAATTGTAGCAGAGGCAGCAGTCACTTCTGGATTCCAGCACAGCTCCAGAGGTGCCCTAGAGGTGGTGGTTAATTTCTATACTGCTTTGTGAGCCCCAGCCTAGAACCTGCTCCTTCAGCCCTTCTAACCGTTTTGCAAGCACATTATCCCTTGACTAAATCCCTTCCTACTCAATGTAAGTGAAGCAATTTCTGTTTCCTGCACTGAATCCTAACAGATAAAGCTATTATTATTTGTATACAGAAGAACAAGTTAAAGTAATAGCAGCTGCCACATATTGGTTATACCATAAGTCCAGATTTTTATAGATGGTATCTAATTTCATTCTCCCAGAAAAATCACACAGCCCCTGAAGGGTCTAATCAGAGTGTGAACCTAGGTTTCTCTGGCACCAAAGGCGGGGTGCCAAACCATTATACTCCTCTGTTCATGCTCTGGAAGAGCTCGCAGGTCAGGAAGGATGCATTCTGGTGAATAAATGGCTACAGTGCAGTGAGAGAGATGCTGAAAAAAACTGTGGGCCCAGGCCTATGGAGCCCAGATGAGAAAATGCCTAACTCTGCCTAGCCTCGGAAGTCCAAGATGGAGTGTGATTCCCACCTTGGCAAGGAATCATGACCTCCAGGCTCCTTAAGATGTTGGGGACCTCTGCCTTGAAGCTCCAATATCCTGTTTCTCAAGAAACCATGATTTAGGAACTCCACAGAAGGAAGAAAGAAAGGGAAAAAGGAGAGAGGGAGGGAGAAAGCGAAGCAGGGAGGGAGGGAGGGAGGGAGGGAGCCCTAGCCTGCAGCGGCATTTGGCTACCTGGGGGGCTGAACCCTTTGTATCCTATTCTCAGCTCTTTTACCCAGGCTTTCAGGTACCATGGTTTTCTCACACACCTGGCCTTGCATAGATTGTACCACTCCTCACCCTTTTCTAGCACCTGGAAAATGGGTTTGCCTTTATTTGGTGGTTCCTTTTAATGTCTATCTTTTCAGGAATTGAGATAATTTTTCCTCCACCCTAATTTAAAGGCTTATGAACATATGTAAAAGCTTAGGAGTACCAATGTGTTTCTGAAAGGTTTTTTGTTTGTTTGTTTGTTTGTTTGTTTGTTTGTTTTGAGAAGGAGTCTTGCTCTGTCACCCAGGCTGGAGTGCAGTGGCACGATCTCGGTTCAGTGCAACCTCTGCTTCCCGGGTTCAAGCAATTGCCTGCCTCAGCCTCCCGAGTTGCTGGGATTACAGGCGCCCACCACCATGCCCAACTAATTTCTGTATTTTTAGTAGAGACGGGGTTTCACCATCTTGGCCAGGCTAGTCTTGAACCCCTGACATCATGATCCACCTGCCTCGGGCTCCCAAAGTGCTGGGATTACAGGTTTGAGCCACCACGCCTGGCCTGAAAGGTCTTTTAATACTGAAAAAACAAACAAACAAACAAACCAAAAAAAAACCAAGACTTATTCAGCTGCATCTCTAAATGAAACATGCATCCCAGCAAACAATCATAGCTGGCCTCCCTTATTAGGGACCTGGAGATCCTAGGCTATAGGAAATACATATCCTTTGCATTTGTATGCTTGAAATTTACAAAACAATTTTTAGTTGTTTTGTTTTTTAACTCTCAACTGATTTTTTAAAAAAAGATACAACCGATTGTTTGATCTGCTGCCTGCAAGATATTTTGAATAGGCACACTATTCCTGTTTCAGAGGAGTAGGTTGAAGCCAGAGTCCCACATCTTGTAAGTGACGGAGTTAATTGATGACTCTGAATTAGTGCATTTCCCTATTTTCCTTGAAAGTAAACCTTTCCCCAGAGCTGCTGGAATAAAAGGTATGGGGGTCTCTTTTTTGCTCTTCCTCTGCCTACCTGAAGCATGTGTGAGGAGCTGGCTCTGTTTCCCTGGCTGGAACCTGGAGCAGGAAGTCCCAACCTGTGGCATCAGCTCTGGAAGTAGAAGCAGGGTCCTGTGGAGGAGGTGGTTCCAGATGTAGGGCCTCTGATTTCTTGCCTCTCAGCTCCCTCATTTTCAGGGTTTGCTACCACCCCCTAATTTCCAGGTAATGGTCTTGTAAAATTTTATGAATTGGACCATCAGGAGTGATGTGGTTAGGTTTTATGTACCCACCCAAATCTCAGCTTGAATTAGAATTCCCATAATCCCCAGGTGTCAAGGGAGAGACCAGGTGGAGGTAATTGAATCATATGGGTGGTTTCCCCCATGTTGTTCTCGTGATAGTGAGTGAGTTCTCACGAGATCTGATGGTTTTATAAGGGGATCTTCCTCCATTGCTCTCCTTTCTGCAGTCTGGTGAAGAAGGTACATTTCTTCTCCTTCGTCTTCCGCTATGATTGCATGTTTTCTGTGAGGCCTCCCGAGCCATGCTGAACTGTGAGTCTGTTAAACCTCTTTTCTTTATAAATTACCCAGTCTTGGACAGCTCTTTATAGCAGTTATAAAACGGACTAATACAAGGAGCCTAAACCTTGAGCACATTTTCTAATTTCTAGCCCCTGGGTAACTGGCTCCTCTCTCCACATTTAGCCCCATGCCCATGTTCAGACCCTTAGCAGAGCCCTGGGCATGGGGCCAAGGAATTGCAGAAGATTCTGGTCCCAGGACAACTGTTAAATGATTTCAGAAAGGTAAAGACCACCACATATGTGCACCTCAAAATAGTTTCAGGACACACAGGACCTCAAATACCACAGTGTTTTATAGAGGGCACAAAAAGGGGGCTTAGAAATTATTAAGCCTTCAGAAGAAAAGATGATAGGAGGGAAGTAACAGTGGAGATAATGAAGCATTTGTAAGATAATGATATCAAAAATCACATTCAAATAGTATTTGCTGATTTCAAAAGCTTTCTCACCTATATTATTTCATGTAATTCTCAAAGTAATAGTCTAAAGCTGGGTGCTGTGACATGCTCCTAAAGTCCCAGCTACTTGGGAGGCTGAAGTAGGAAGATCATTTGAGCCCAGAAGTTCTAGGCTGTGGTGTGCTATGAATAGCCACTGCACTCCAGCCTGGGCAACACGGCAGGACCCTGTATCTTAAAAAAAAAAAAAAAAAAAAAAAGTAACAGCCTTGCGAAGTAGGCAGAGCAGACATTACCATGCCAGTGTAAAAGACAAAAAGCCTGAAGCTTGGGGTTGGGGTCTTCTGATCCCAAATCTAAATCTCCAGTGAAAATTAGGAGCAATATTGTATATAGCAACATCAATTTAAAAAAAAACTCTAATGTCCCAATTACCTGATTCTGGTTTCTGCCTGCTCAGTCTCCTGCAAATTCCCTCTTGATTGGTCCTCGGAGTCCCCAAGAGGTATTTCACGTGTGTGCTCAGGAATAAGTTTCCCTTCCGATGGCTTCCCTGGTTCTGGGGCCCTGATGAATGTCATACTGCCCTGGATCACTGCCCAGACCCCACTATGTGGCCATCACCTCCCTAGAGCAGTCCTCTTTCCTGTAGCCACAGGCCCCACCCTTTTTCTGGTAGCATTCACTTCCATTCCCCGGGATGTCAAGGTTATTTGGTGGTCTATGGCAGAACAGGAGAGAGTGGCTCTCTCTTCATGGAATTACACTTTGTTAGAGGCTCCCAGAGCAGTGTTAACATGATTCCAATGTGAGAGAGGTTAACTCAGACACCTAGGTCAGTTTTTATCTCTCCAGGGGGAGGGCTTGGGATGGATGCATTTAACAGCCATGCAATTCTGTAAAGTTCCACTCAGTATCTTTCCTCTGGGGCTTTATTCCTACCCTCTCAGTCTCTGTCAGTTTCTTAGTCAACTCAGGAACCAAATGGAGTCAAGTGCATATTTTGGATGAATTCTTTGTTGCTCAAAACTGAGGAATCAAGCAGAGTGGGACAACTCATTGTTCCTTAATCTCTTAATGCTACTATTTGGGTAGAGAGGAACTCTTGTCTTAATCCCCGATACATCAGTGTAGTTTGAAGCACTCGCAATCCAGTGACGAAGAAGATGGGCACAGTTCCTGCTGCCTTGGATGCTTCAGTCTGAGAGGTCGATGGTACCGTGCCTGCTTTCTTCTTTAGGATGAATGTTTCATGGGAAGCTTATCTAGATTATTCACTCTCCTCCTACTCCCCTACCTGTATCCTCCACCCACGCTCCCAATTTACAAAAAAAATTTTTTTAACTGAATTTTTATTTTAGATAATTGCCAATTAATGTGCAGATGTAAGAAATATTATAGAGAGATCCTTTGTATCACTTATCCAGTTTCCTCCCGTGGTAACATCTTGCAAAATTATAGAATAATATCACAACCAGGATATTGACATTGGCACAGTCAAGATACAGAACAGGCCAGGCACAGTGGCTCATGCCTGTAATCCTGGCACTTTGGGAGGCTGAGGTGGGAGGATGGCTTGAGCCCAGGAGGTCGAGGCTGCAGTGAGCCATGATTGCACCACTGCACCCAGGCTGGGTGACACGGCAAGACTTCGTTTCAAAAAAAAAAAAAAGAAAGAAGAAAAGATACAGAACATTTCCATCACTACAAAGATACCTCATATTGCCCTTTTATACCCACCTCCACCTCCCCTCTCACCACTCCATCCCTGATCCCTGGCAACCACTAATTTGTTTTCTATTTCTATAATTTTGTCATTTCAGGAATATTGCATTAGCAGAATCATACATCACGTGATGTTTTGGAATTGATTTTTTTTTTTTTACTCTGCATAATTTCCCAATTCTCTGGAGATTCATTGAAGTTGTTCTGTTTCTCGCTGAATAGTATTCCCTGGTATGGATATACATGTGTTCTTCCTTAATTTGGATACCATACTTGTATGAATACAGCTAAAGACTGCAAAGACCCTTTGGCAGGCCCTGTCCTTGATTCCTTGTTTTTCTGTGAGTTAATATTCCCAGGTTCTTTTCAGGTGAATACTGACATTTACATAAATATGCATCAAATTTTGTCTTGCTAGCTTCAGCCTGCCAGATACTTCTGCCACTTGAGTCTGTCACTTAACACATTAGGCACCTCTCCCAGTTTTGTGTCATCTGTGAGTGATAACATGCACTCTCAGAACAAATTTGATATGCAAGTATTGAAGAGGACAGGACACAGGCACAACTCGCCTTCAGTCTAGCATAGTACACTTAAGCCTCTTTGGGCTTAGCTGCTTAGTGAGTTAGGAAGCCACCTGTGTTCCCACATCTTGCCCATGAGACTACTGTGAGAGCTTGGGAAAAATGTTTTGCTCAGATCCAGCTATGCTACATTACCTGTTTGGTAATTCCATCAAAAAAGAAAATAGAGGCTTGATGGCAATTGCTCTTAATGATCTCCAGCTGGTTTCTAGCATTGTGGTGCCTGTTTGTAATATTACACCATCTGCCTCAAGCACTTAGCCTGGCCTTTTTCTTAGACTTCCTGCTCTGAACACAACCGAAACAATTATCTTTGTTGTCCTTAGGATTTTTACAAATCTCAGCTTTTTCTGAAACCGTTATTTGGAGGTCTTTGTTGTATCTCTTGTGCTTTCTTTTAAAATCCGAGTGCCCTGGACAGCCAAATTGTTAATTTCTCCATATTATTTTCTGCATGTACACACACACATACACACAAAGAAGATTGAATTATTTATGTTTATATTAACAAAACATTAATTTTTACAATCTTCTAAGCCCCTTGAGATATCTTATCTTTTGGAGTTATTGGCCACAGGATCATTCATTTTTGGTTTATTTTTTATGAAATCCACTTTTCTAAAGTTGAATATGTGACTAGTACTTCCTGGAATTCTCTTTCTTAACTACTAGGCTGGTGCAAAAAAAACCCCGCAATTACTTTTGCATCAACCTAATATATGGTCTTTAAAACAGCATGGCTACCCTTCACCGCTCTCAAGATGCCTAGTTAAGAAGTGAGCGTTGGAGTCAGATAAATCTAGGTTGGGCTTTTGGGTTCTTTATCACTAGCTATGTAACCTCTTTAACCCTCGGTTTCCTCATCTGTAAAATGTGGATAGTTTCATAGAATTGGGAGGATTAAAAAAGGTAATTCTCTGCACATAGTGAGTACTCAATAAATGTTAGCTTTTATAATTATTTAAAGTATTTATTACTGTGATCAAACATGTTAAGTGCTCAATAAGTGTAAGCTATTGTTATTTTATTTATTTTTATTTATTTATTTTGAGACTTGAGTCTCGCTCTATTCCCCAGGCTGGAGTGCACTGCCGTGATCTTGGCTCACTACAATCTTGGCCTCTCAGGCTCAAGTGATCTTCCCACCTCAGGCTCCTGAGTAGCTGGGACCACAGGCATATGCCACCATACCTGGCTAATTTTGGTAATTTTAGAAGAGATGGGGTTTCACCATGTTACCCAGGCTGGTCTGGAACTCCTAGGCTCAAGTGATCTGCCTGCCTTGGCCTCCCAAAGTGCTGGGATTATAGGCATGAGTCACTGTGCCCAGCCAAAATTTTTTTATTTATTTTACTTATTTATTTACTTATTTTTGAGACGGAGTCTCGCTCAGTCGCCCAGGCTGGAGAGCAGTGGCGCGATCTGGGCTCACTGCAAGCTCCGCCTCCCGGGTTCATGCCATTCTCCTGCCTCAGCCTCCTGAGTAGCTGGGACTACAGGCACCCGCCACTACGCCCGGCTAATTTTTATGTATTTTTAATAGAGACGGGGTTTCACCGTGTTAGCTAGAACGGTCTCAATCTCCTGACCGCGTGATCCGCCCGTCTCGGCCTCCCAAAGTGCTGAGATTAAAGGCGTGAGCCACCGTGCCCGGCCCTTTTATTTTTACATGAAGTATCACATTCATTTCTTTATCCATGCTTAGCCCATATCTGAAATCATGTTTTGCTACCAAACCTTTCTTATTTTCTCCAGCGATCAGCTGGAGACATTCACCATTATTGTTATTCTTTCTGTTTCAACACCCAAGATTCTCCATCATAACTAGCTATTAGTTTTATCTAAATCTTTTCCTCTCTCCTCATCAAATGTTAATGTAAAGCCCTCTTGATCAGTTAATGAACCTCCTGTCAAACTCTCTCTTCCTGTTCTGTCTCTTGGCAAGAACCCATTTCTCTATTATTGTAAGCCATGGTCCAGGAAAATCAAACCTGTTTTTCAACTTGTTTATGAAGTGCGCACTTCCCTTTCAGTATTAAGGTCGTTACTTTCAACTGGAATATGAGATAAAATGACCCTCAGTGGATCGTAAGTGGATGGCTGTTTGGCATTTTGTTTTTGATTTCACAGCCATCTGAGATACACCCCCAAATTTCTTTGTGCTGTATTGTCTCTCTCCATAAGGGTCAGTGACAGTGGGTAGTGGTCAACAGGCTTGGGGACTCTTGGCAGGCTCCTGTATGTTACAGACACCTGTGTCAAAAAATCAACAAACCTCCTGAGATTCCTGCTGGGCTCTTCCTGCTCAACACCTTTTTCACCTGGCTGGCCTCCTTGCTGGCTCTTAAGTATGGGCATGGCTCTGTCTTTGGGGGTCTTTCACCAGATATGCGCCAGTATCCCCAAGACCTCATCTACATGTCCATATCCTATGTTTCAATAAGGTCTGCCCTGACCACCCTAGTTACAATTATAAGCTGCAGTGCTCTGATCCCCCTATATCACATTCTCTTTCTTCTTTACCCAGCTCAGTTTTTTTTTCCCATAGCAAATATCACCCTCTAATATATTAAATCATTAACTTATTTATTACAGTTATTAGTTATTGTCTAATACTCCCACACACAAATTGGAATGTAAAATCAATGAGGCAGAGACCTATGTATCCTGGGCACTTAGAACAGTTCCTAATACTTATAGATGTTCAGTAATTGTTTGTCTAATGATAGATTACAATAGGACCCACAACCTACCTTTTTTATTTCCTTTATTCCTTTATTAAGTAAAGTTAGACTTTTCTAAGTATAAAATAAAATTGCTTGAAGTAAAAATTTGAAAAAAAATCATAGATAGTAAAAATAAAATTAAACAGAATCCTACCACCCAGAAGTAAATACTGATAGCCATTTAAGTACTCTTGAGCAAAAAGAACAAAGCTGGAGGCATCACATTACCTGATTTCAAATTATAGTACAAAGCAAGAATAACCAAAACCGCACAGTACTGGCATAAAATGAGACAGACGAACAGAATAGGGAATCCGGAAATAAATCATGCATTTACGGTCAACTCATTTTTGACAAAGGTGTCAAGGACCTACACTGGGGAAGGGACAGACTCTTCAGTAAGAGGTGCTAACAGAACTGGATATCCACATACAGAAGAATGAAACTAGACTCCTATCTCTTGCCATATACAAAAATCAACTCCAAATGGATTAAAGACTTAACCTTAAAACCTGAGACTATGAAACTACTAGAAGAAAACATTGGGAAACACTCCAGGGCATTAGTCTGGCAAAGATTTTGAGTAAGACCTAAAAAGCAGAGGAAACCAAAACAAAAATGGACAAATGGGATTGCATCAAGCTAAAATGGTTCTTCGTATCAAAGGAAACAACGATTTGCAAACTACCCATCTGATGAGAGATTAATAACTAGAATGTTAGGAGGTCAAATAATAGCAAACAAACAATCCTATTAAAAATGGGCAAAACAGCTGAATAGACATTTCTGAAAAGAAGACATACAAATGGCTAACAGGTATATGAAAAAATTCTCCACTAGTCATCAAAATAATGCAAATTAAAACTACAATGGGATATCATCTTACTCCAGTTTAAAGGGCTTTCCTCCAAAAAAACAGGCAATAACAAATGCTGGAGAGGTTGTGGGGAAAGGGGAACCCTCATACACTGTTAGTGAGAATGTAAAGTAGTACAGCTACTATAGAACACAGTATGACGGGCCTGGCACAGTGGATGACGCCTGTAATCTCAGCACTTTGGGAGGCCAAGTGCTCAGGCAGATCACCAGAGGTCAGGAGTTTGAGACCAGTCTGTCCAACATGGTGAAACCCCGTCTCTACTAAAAATACAAAAAAATTAGCCGGGTGTGGTGGCAGGCACCTGTAATTCCAGCTACTTGGGAGGCAAAGGCAGGAGAATCACTTGAACCTGGGAGGTGGAGGTTGCAGTAAGCCAAGATCACACCATTGCACTCCAGCCTGGGTGACAGCATGAGACTGTCTCAAAAATAGTATGATATGATGATTCCTCAAAAAACTAAAAATAGAACTACCACATGATCCATCAATCCCAGCGTTGGATGTATATCCGAAATAAAGGAAATCAGTATATCAAACAGAAGATATCTGTACTCCCATGTTTATTGCAGCACTATTCTTAATAGCCAAGATATGGAATCAACCTGAGTGTCCATCAATGGATGAATGGATAAAGAAAATGTGATACATATACACAATGGAATATTATTCAGCCATAAAAGGAATGAAGTCCTGTCATTTGTAACAACATGGGTGGAACTGTAGGACATGACGTTAAGTGAAATGAGCCAGACACAGAAAGCTAAAAATAAACTCATAGAGATAGGGAGTAGAGGCCAGGCACGGTGGTGCACGCTTATAATCCCAGCACTTTGGGAGGCCAAGGCAGGCAGATTGCTTGAGCCCAGGAGTTTAAGACCAGCCTGGGTAACATGGTGAAACCCCATCTCTACAAAAAATATAAAAAAATTAGCCAGTGAGGTGGTGTGTGCCTGTAGTCCCAGCTACTCAGGAGGGTGAGGTGGGAGGATCACTGGAGCCCGAGAGGTTGAGACTACAGTGAGCCAAGATCATGCCACTGTACTCCAACTTAGGCAACAGAGTGAGACCCTGTATTAAAAAAAAAAAAAAAAAGAAAAGAAAGAGTAGAATGATGGTTACCAGAGTCTGGAAAGTGTGGTGGGGAGGAGGGATAAAGAGGGATTGGCTAATGGGTACAAATATACAGCTAGAAGGAATAATATCTAGTGTTCATAGCATAATAGTGACTATAGTTAACAATCATTTATTACATATTTCAGAGTAACTAAAAGAGTGAAATTGGAATGTTTCTAACACAAAGCTGGGACTACAGGCACGTGCCACCACGCCCGGCTAATTTTTATACTTTTAAAAATATTTATTTATTTTTATTATACTTTAAGTTCTGGGATACATGTGCAGAACGTGCAGGTTGGTTACATAGGTATACACGTGCTATGGTGGTTTGCTACACCCATCAACACATCATCTACATTAGGTATTTTTCCTAATGCTATCCCTCCCCTATCCCCCTAACCCCCAACAGGCTCCCAGTGTGTGTTCCCCTCCTTGTGTCTGTGTGTTCTCATTGTTCAACTCCCACCTATGAGTGAGAACATGTGGTGTTTGGTTTTCTGTTCTTGTGTTAGTTTGCTGAGAATGATGGTTTCCAGCTTCATCCATGTCCCTGCAAAGGACATGAACTCATTCATTTTTATGGCTGCATAGTATTCCATGGTGTATATGTGCCACATTTTCTTTATCCAGTCTGTCACTGATGGGCATTTGGGTTGGTTCCAAGTCTTTGCTATTGTGAACAGTGCTGCAATAATCATATGTGTGCATGTGTCTTTATAGTAGAATGATTTATAATCCTTTGGGTATAAACCCAGTAATAGGATTGCTAGGTCAAATGGTATTTCTAGTTCTAGATCCTTGAGGAATCACCACACTGTCTTCGACAGCGGTTGAACTAGTTTACACTCCCACCAACAGTGTAAAAGTGTTTTTATTTCTCCACATCCTCTCCAGCATCGTTGTTTCCTGACTTTTTAATGATCACCATTCTAACTGGCATTGGAGGTATCTCATTGTGGTTTTGATTTTCATTTCTCTAATGACCAGTGATGATGAGCTTTTTTTATATGTTTGTTGGCTGCATAAATGTCTTTTGAGAAATGTCTGTTCATATCGTTTGCCCACTTTTTAATGGGGTTGTTTTTTTCTTGTAAGATTGTTTCAGTTCTTTGTAGATTCTGGATATTAGCCCTTTGTCAGATGGATAGATTTCAGAGTTTCTCTCTCATTCTGTAGGTCGCCTGTTCGCTCTGATGATAGTTTCTTTTGCTGTGCAGAAGCTCTTTAGTTTAATTAGATTCCGTTTGTCAATTTTGGCTTTTGTTGCCATTGCTTTTGGTGTTTTAGTCATGAAGTCTTTGGCCATGCCTATGTCCTGAATGGTATTGCCTAGGTTTTCTTCTAGGGTTTTTATGGTTTAAATCTTATGTTTAAGTCTTTAATCCATCTTGTGTTAATTTTTGTATAAGCTGTAAGAAAAGGGGTCCAGTTTCAGTTTTCTGCATATAGCTAGCCACTTTTCCCAACATCATTTATTAAATAGGAAATCCTTTCCCCATGGCTTGTTTTTGTTAGGTTTGTCAAAGATCAGATGGTTGTAGATGTGTGGTGTTACTTCTGATGTCTCTGTTCTGTTCCATTGGTGTATATATCTGCTGTGGTACCAGTACCAGTACCATGCTGTTTTGGTTGCTGTAGCCTTGTAGTATAGTTTGAAGTCAGGTAGCGTGATGCCTCCAGTTTTGTTCTTTTGGCTTAGGATTGTCTTAGCTATACAGGCTCTTTTTTTGGTTCCATATGAAATTTAAAGTAGTTTTTTCTAATTCTGTGAAGAAAGTCAATGTTAGCTTGATGGGGATAGCATTGAATCTGTAAATCACTTTGGGCAGTATGGCCATTTTCATGATATTGATTCTTCCTATCCATGAGCATGGAATGTTTTTCCATTTGTTTGTGTCCTCTCTTATTTCCTTGAGCAGTGGTTTGCAGTTCTTCTTGAAGAGGTCCTTCATATCCCTTGTAAGTTGTATTCCTAGGTGTTTTATTCTTTTTGTAGCAATTGTGAATGGGAGTTCGCTCATGATTTGGTTCTTTGTCTACTATTGGTGTATAGGAATGCTTGTGATTTTGGCACATTGATTTTTGTATCCTGAGACTTTGCTGAAGTTGCTTATCAGCTTAAGGAGGTTTTGAGCTGAGACAGTGGGGTTTTCTAAATATACAATCATGTCATCTGCAAACAGAGGCAATCTGACTTTCTCTCTTCCTATGTGAATACCATTTATTTCTTTCTCTTGCCTGATTGCCGTGGACAGAACTTCCAATACTATGTTGAATAGGAGTGGTGAGAGAGGGCATCCTTGTCTTGTGCCAGTTTTCAAAGGGAATGCTTCCAGCTTTTTGCCATTCAGTATGGTATTGGCTGTGGGTTTGTCATAAATAGTTCACATTATTTTGAGATACGTTCCCTCAATACCTAGTTTATTGAGAGTTTTTAGCATGAAGGAGTGTTGAATTTTATCAAAGGCCTTTTCTGCATCTATTGAGATAATCATGTGGTTTTTGTCATTGGTTCTGTTTATGTGATGGATTATGTTTATTGATTTGCGTATGTTGAACCAGCCTTGCATCCCAGAGATGAAGCCAACTTGATGGTGGTTGGATAAGCTTTTTGATGTGCTGCTGGATTCAGTTTGCCAGTATTTTATTGAGGATTTTCACATCAATGTTCATCAGGGGTAGTGGCCTGAAATTTTCTTTCTTTGTTGTGTCTCTGCCAGGTTTTGGTATTAGGATGATGCTGGCCTCATAAAACGAGTTAGAGAGGATTCCCTCTTTTTCTATTGTTTGGATTAGTTTCAGAAGGAATGGTACCAGCTCCTTTTTGTACCTCTGGTAGAATTAGGCTGTGAATCCGTTTGGTCCTGGACTTTTTTGGTTGGTAGGCTATTAATTACTGCCTCAATTTCAGAACTTGCTATTGGTCTATTCAGGGATTCAACTTCTTCCTGGTTTAGACTTGGGAGGGTGTATGTGTCCAGGAATTTATCCATTTCTTCTAGATTTTCTGGTTTATTTGCATAGAGGTGTTTATAGTATTCTCTGATGGTAGTTTGTATTTCTGTGGGATCAGTGGTGATCTCCCCTTTATCATTTTTTATTGTGTCTACTTGATTCTTCTCTCTTTTCTTCTTTATTAGTCTGGCTAGTGGTCTATCTATTTGGTTGATCTTTTCAAAAAACAAACCCCTGGATTCATTGATTTTTTGAAGGGTTTTTCATGTCTGTATCTCCTTCAGTTCTGCTCTGATCTTAGTTATTTCTTGTCTTCTGCTAGCTTTTGAATTTGTTTGCTCTTGCTTCTCTAGTTCTTTTAATTGTGATGTTAGGATGTGGATTTTTGATCTTTCTTGCTTTCTCTTGTGGGCATTTAGTGCTATAAATTTCCCTCTAAACACTGCTTTGGCTGTATCCCAGAGATTCTGGTACGTTGTGTCTTTGTTCTCATTGGTTTCAAAGAACTTATTTCTGCCTTCATTTCGTTATTTACCCAGTAGTCATTCAGGAGCAGGTTGTTCAGTTTCCATGTAGCTGTGCATTTTTGAGTGAGTTTCTTAATCCTGACTTCTAATTTGATTGCACTGTGGTCTGAGAGACTCTTATGATTTCTGTTCTTTTGCATTTGGTGAGGAGTGTTTTACTTCCAGTTATGTGGTCAATTTTAGAATCAGTGCAATGTGGTGCTGAGAAGAATGTATATTCTGTTGATTTGGGGTGGAGAGTTCTGTAGATGTCTATCAGGTCTGTTGGTCCAGGGCTGAGTTCAAGTCCTTAATATCCTTGTTAATTTTCTGTCTTGTTGATCTGTCTAATATTGACAGTGGGGTGTTAAAGTCTCCCACTAGTATTGTGTGGGAGTCTAAGTCTCTTTTTAGGTCTCTAAGAACTCGCTTTATGAATCTGGGTGTTCCTGTATTGGGTGCATATATATTTAGGATAGTTAGTTCTTCTTGTTGCATTGATCCCTTTACCATTATGTAATGCCCTTCTTTGTCTCTTTTGATCTTTGTTGGTTTAAAGTCTGTTTTATCAGAGACTAGGATTGCAACCCCTGCTTTTTTATGTTTGTCATTTGCTTGGTAAATATTCCTCCATCCCTTTATTTTGAGCCTACATGTGTCTTTGCCTGTGAGATGGGGTTCCTGAATACAGCACACTGATGGGCCTTGACTCTTTATCCAATTTGCCAGTCTGTGTCTTTTAATTGGTGCATTTAGCCCATTTACATTTAAGGTTAATATTGTCATGTGTGAATTTGATCCCATCATTATGATGCTAGCTGGTTATTTTGCCTGTTAGTTGATGCAGTTTCTTCATAGTGCCGATGGTCTTTACAATTTGGCATGTTTTTACAGTGGCTGGTACCAGTTTTTCCTTTCCATGTTTAGTGCTTCCTTCAGGAGCTCTTATAAGGCAGGCCTGGTGGTGACAAAATCTCTCAGCATTGCTTGTCTGTAAAGGATTTTATTTCTCCTTCACTTGTGAAGCTTAGTTTGGCTCCATATGAAATTCTAGGTTGAAAATTCTTTTCTTTTTTTTTATTATTATACTTTAAGTTTTAGGGTACATGTGCACAATGTGCAGGTTAGTTACATATATATACATGTGCCATGCTGGTGTGCTGCACCCATTAACTCGTCATTTAGCATTAGGTATATCTCCTAATGCTATCCCTCCCCCCTTCCCCACCCCACAATAGTCCCCAGAGTGTGATGTTCCCCTTGCTGTGTCCATGTGTTCTCATTGTTCAATTCCCATCTATGAGTGAGAACATGTGGTGTTTGGTTTTTTGTCCTTGCGATAGTTTACTGAGAATAATGATTTCCAATTTCATCCATGTCCCTACAAAGGACATGAACTCATCATTTTTTATGGCTGCATAGTATTCCATGGTGTATATGTGCCACATTTTCTTAATCCAGTCTATCATTGTTGGACATTTGGGTTGGTTCCAAGTCTTTGCTATTGTGAATAGTGCCGCAAAAGAATGTTGAATATTGTCCCCCACTCTCTTCTGGCTTCTGGGATTTCTGTAGAGAGATCTGCTGTTAGTCTGATGGGCTTCCCTTTGTGGGTAACCCGACCTTTCTCTCTGGCTGCACTTAGCATTTTTCCCTCATTTCAATCTTGGTGAATCTGACAATCACGTGTCTTGGGGTTGCTCTTCTTGAAGAGTATCTTTGTGGTGTTCTCTGTATTTCCTGAATTTGAATGTTGGCCTGTCTTTCTAGGTTGGGAAAGTTCTCCTGGATACTATCCTGAAGAGCATTTTCCAACTTGGTTCCGTTCTCCCCGTCACTTTCAGGTACACCAATCAAACATAGGTTTGGTCTTTTCACATAGTCCCATATTTCTTAGAGGTTTTGTTTGTTCCTTTTCATTCTTTTTTCTCTCATCTTGTCTTCATACTTTATTTCATTAAGTTGATCTTCAATCTCTGATATCCTTTCTTCTGCTTGATCGATTTGGCTATTGATACTTGTGTATGCTTCATGAAGTTCTCGTGCTCTGTTTTCAGCTCCATCAGGTTATTTATGTTCTTCACTAAACTGGTTATTCCAGTTAGCAATTCCTCTAACCTTTTTTCAAGGTTCTTAGCTTCCTTGCATTGGGTTAGAACATGCTCCTTTAGCTCAGAGGAGTTTGTTATTACCCACCTTCTGAAGCCTCTTTCTGTCTATTTGTCAAACTCATTCTCCGTCCAGTTTTGCTCCCTTGCTGGCAGGGAGTTGTGATCCTTTGAAGGAGAAGAGGCGTTCTGGTTTTTGGAATTTTCAGCCTTTTTGTGCTGGTTTTTCCCCTTCTTCTTGGGGAAAAACCTTTTGTCTTTGATGTTGGTAACTTTGAATGGGGTTTCTGAGTGGACATCCTTTTTTTTGATGTTGATGCTATTCCTTTCTGTTTGTTAGTTTTCCTTCAAATAGTTGGACCCCTCTGCTACAGGTCCACTGGAGTTTGCTGGAGATCCACTCCAGATCCTGTTTGCCTGGGTATCACCAGCGGAGGCTGCAGAACAGCAAAGATTGCTGCCTGTTCCTTCCTCTAGAAGCTTCATCCCAGAGGGGTACCCCCCAAACGCCAGCCAGAGCTCTCCTGTATGAGGTGTCTGTTGACCCCTGCTGGGATGTGTCCCAGTCAGGAGGCACGGGGGTCCAGGTCCCACTTGAGGTGGCAGTCTGTCCCTTAATAGAGCTCGAATGCTGTGCTGGGAGATCCGCTGCTGTCTTCAGAGCCAGCAGGCAGGGACAGTTAAGCCTGCTGAAGCTGCTCCCACAGTTACCCCTTCCCCAAGGTGCTCTGTCCCAGGGAGATGGGGGTTTTATCTATAAGCCCCTGACTGGGGCTGCTGCCTTTTTTTTCAAGATGCCCTGTCCAGAAAGGAGGAATCTAGAGGCAGTCTGGCTACAGTGACTTTGCTGAGCTGCAGTGGGGTCCACCCAGCTCAAACTTCCCAGCATCTTTGTTTAAACCGTGAGGGGAAAACCGCCTATTCAAGCCTCAGTAATGGTGGACGCCCCTTCCTCCAGCAAACTGGAGCATCCCAGGTCGACTTTAGACTGCTGTGCTGGCAGTGAGAATTTCAAGTCAGTGGATCTTAGCTTGCTGGGCTCCATGGGAGTGGGATCCGCTGAGCTAGACCACTTGGCTTCCTGGCTTCAGACCCCTTTCCAGGGGAGTGAACAGTGCTCACTGGCATTCCAGGTGCCACTGGAGTGTGAAAAACAAAAACAAAAACAAAAAAACAACTCCTGCAGCTAGCTTGGTGTCTGCCCAAACAGCTGCCCAGTTTTGTGCTTGAAACCCAGGGCCCTGATGGCGTAGGCACCCAAGGGAATCTCCTGGTCTGCGGATTGCAAAGACCATAGGAGAAGCATAGTATCTGGGCTGGAATGTACCATTCCTCAGGGCACAGTCCCTCATGGCTTCCCTTGGCTAGGGGAGAGAGTTCCCCAAACCCTTGCACTTCCCAGGTGAGGTGATGCCCCACCTTGCTTCTTTTTGCCTTCCGTGGGCTGCACCCACTGCCTAACCAGTCCGAATGAGATGAGCCAGGTACCTCAGTTGGAAATGCAGAAATCACCCGCCTTCTGCATTGATCTCACTGGGAGCTGCATACCAGAGCTGTTCGTATTCTTCCATCTTGCCAGCCCAGTCCTAATTTTTGTATTTTTAGTAGAGACGGGGTTTCACCATGTTGACCAGGCTGGTCTTGAACTCCTGACGTAAGGTGATCCGCCCACCTCGGCCTCCCAAAGTGCTGGGGTTACAGGCATGAGCCACCGCGCCTGGCCCATAACACACATTTTTAAGGTTTTTGCTGTTTACTGCTCTCCTTCCTTTCATAAGTTTATATGGAGTTAAAATTCTATGATCAGTGTATGAGTGTGTTCCCCTTACACTTTTCAAACTACATATTTCCATTCTGAGTAATCCTTTTTACAGCTCATCTCAACTAGCACTCAGATCAATATTTGTCCAGTCCTGCCCTTCCTTGTCCTATGTGTACAGGACACAATGCTCCTAGCAAGAAAGTTCACACCCAGTAGGAGGAATAACAGAAGTTTTTTTGTTTGTTTGAATCTAAAAATGCTGAGGGTGATTAATTCATGAAATCTTATTTTTTTTCAAATTATATTAGACTATCCTAAAGAAAAAAAGAACAAAGGCAAAATATTTTTACCTCAACCCATTGTCATATTGATAATCTTCAACTTTCTTTCTTTTTTTTTTTTTTTTTTTTTTTTTTTTGTATTTTTAGTAGAGTTGGGGTTTCACTGTGTTTGCCAGGCTGGTCTCAAACTCATGACCTCAAATGATCCACCCACCTTGGCCTCCCAAAGTGCTGGGATTACAGGTGTGAGCCACCATCCCTGACTGATAAACTTCAACTTTCAATATGCAGATCTACTTGTACATTTGTGATTCTTCAGAAATGGGACATGGCTGCTATTTTACCTCCTTTGAAGAAATCTAAACTTCTTGAGATCAGGAACCATTCTTCTATACCTTTTATAGAATAAGTTAGAGAACCATAAGATGGTAGACCTGGAAGCAGCCTCGTATTTCTCTAGTCTGAGTTTTTCTACAGATGAGGAAAATGAGTCCCAGAAAGGTGGAAGAACTTACCCATGATCAATAGCTATTTAGAGGCCAGCTATTAGAACCTGTGTAACCTGACTCCTCTTTCAATGCTCTTACCAGTGCCTGTCCTCAAAGGTAAATCTATGAAGAAGAGAGAACACTGCCTGTCTTAAGTAGGTTAATAAAAAGCGCTTCTCCGAATCATTCTGAATTCCGTTAGCTGGACTCATACAATGTTTGTAAGACTTGAATGGAATGTCTGCTTCCAAATAGTATGGCTTTCTCATGGGTCACTGGAAGGAATTAGTCATAAATGAACTCTCAGGAAAAGGTAGGATTCATCCACCATAAGGAGTTACTGAATATCAACCAATTAAATTTTGGAGTCTATTCCATCCAAGGACAATCATTTTTGTTTTGTTGTGTTAGTGTTGTAGATCAAATCTTTTATCCTAACCTTCTGTTGGCTGGTATGTGCTCACAACTCACCATCCATCCAAAGCAGATAAATACTTCAGAACATAAGAAAAACATATTTAGTTTAATTTGTTTGCATCCTGTTTTTAAATGACTTTTTTCATGAACTGGAAACATTCAGATTAATGAAATAAAGATTTTAAATGGGGATGTACAATTAAGAAAGAGAAAACTAATTTCCAGCCACCATAAGAGGCAAAGCAGTAGCTGGGATTAAATATAAAACTTGACCAAGACTATGGTTGTCATAGAAAAAGATTAAGAAAGGGAAAAGAAACAAAAAGGAAGAAAGAAAAAGAGACAGAAGGATTGATATAGAATAATTCTCATTATCTAAGAGGAGGAGGTATTAAGTGATATAAGGTTCTCTATATCAATCTCAGAGTGGACAAAAAAGTTGAATTCTCATGACAATTTTTGATAAAAGCCAACCCCCTCCACAAAAACATAAATATAGTAAAGGCATTTATTTGAGATGGTAAGGTGATGAGGTTCAAGTTTACAGGTATTTGGTATTCCAGGCTAATCTGACAATAAAAATTAAAATATTTAGAGGTATAGATAGATATCATGTTTCTCAGACTCTTAACTAAATGCTTAATAAATATAATAAGTTCAGCTAGATTTTTGGTATGACTTGAGAGTTGAAGTTAGACTTCCAGGAAGCTGTTCTATTTTGCTAATTAAAGACAAATGCATATGCTTGGGAAACTAGATAAGTGGGTGGAAGGACATGTGTTATAGCAATAAAGGAGCCTACCAATAATCTGATGAGGAAGGAAGTCATGCTTCTTCTAAATACAGGTGACCCGCTAGGATCTATGCTTAATGAAAACTCCAAAATTTGCTGGGCTAGAATGGCATGAATATTTCAAGTTGAGCCATCACAGCTTGGGAAAAACATTTGTAAGACTTGTGTGGAATGTCTACTTCCAAGTAGCATGGCTTCCTCATGGGCCACTATAATGAATTAGACTTAAATGAACTCTCAGGAAATTGTATGATTCATCTACCATAAAGAGTTATTGGATATCAACCAATTAAATCTTGGAGGCTGTCCCATGCAAGGACAATAATTTTTGTTTTGTTGTAGTTAGTGTTTAGCTCTTTTTCCTGGTTAGTGTAATAAAACCATGCTGTCTGCATATGCACTTGGGCTGTCCACTTACAATTGGGACCTGATACTTCTAAAAGACTGTTCCTGCCTTGCTGATTTTGGCAGTGGAGTTAGAATGCAAATTTTGCAGCTCTCTCTGGGAACCTACATTGAATTATTTTACAGCTTAATTCATGACCAGTGAATGGGAGGGATGCATTCTTCCTATTAGCTAGACTTGTGAAATATTTTTAAAGGATGTTTTGATTGATTGGTTGCCTCATTGTGTTAACTGGGGGGCACCTCTCCAGAAACACTTGGTTCTGAGGCATCTTTTACAATATAAATCACAACGGGTCACTCTGTAGTCAAAAATCTTTCATGCCAGACGTGGTGGCTCATGCCTATAATCCCAGCACTTGGGGAAGTGGAGGTGAGTGGATCACTTGAGTCCAGGAGTTCGAGACCAGCCTGGCAAACATGATAAAGCCCCATCTCTGTTAAAAATACAAAAATTAGCCAGGTATGATGGCGCATGCCTGTAATACAAGCTGCTTGGGAGGCTGAGGCACAATAATCGCTTGAACCCGGGAAGCAGAGGTTGCAGTGAGCCAATATCATACCATTGTACCACACCTGGGCACAGATTGAGACTCTGTCTCAAAAAGAAATATGTGTGTGTGTGTGTGTGTGTGTGAGTGTGTGTGTGTGTATATATATATAGATAGATATATATTTCATATCCTTACCTCACTCTTAAGTGAAATCTAAAGTCTTCAACATGATCCGTTAGGCCTATGTGGTCTGGCTCTGCCTCAGTCTCCAGCCACCCGCCTTTGCTAGATAGGTCGAGGATCCTTAACCTTAAAATCCAAAATCCAAAATTCTTCAAAATTCAAAACATTTTGAATGCTGACATGACATCATAAATAGAAAATTCCACACTTGACCTTATATGATGGGTTGCAGTCAAAACAGTCAAAAGTTTGTTTCATGCACAAAACCATTAAAAATATTGTATAAAATTACCTTCAGTCTATGTGTATAAGGTGTACTTGGAACATAAATGAATTTTGTGTTTAGACTTACTATGGATATGCAGATATTCCAAAATTCAAAAAAAAACCCTAAATTTGAAACACTTCTGGTCCCAAATATTTTGGACAAGGGATAATCAGCCTGTACTAGACTTTCTTATCTGCTTTTCCACCATGAGGCTTTTACCTCAGCTGTTCCTGCTGTCTGAAATGTTCAACATCTGGATAGTTCTTTCTTGTCTTCTATGTCTCAAGTTAAATGTTCCTTCCTAACTTGCTCCAATCCCAAGTTAGTTTCTCTAATTATGCTCTGTTACTGTGCCCTGCACTTTTTCTTTGCAGTGTCTACCTCTGTTTTCAATTATGGCATTTATTTGAGTAATTATAGCTTACCAGTGAAAGACAAGTTCCAGGATTTCAGAAACCTGTTTTTTCTGCTTGATGCCGAATGCTCAGGTGACAGGAATTTAGCATTTCCTGAATGAATAGAGGTTTATAGTGTCAGGGCATTGGCTCCCTTGATTTTGGTCGGACCAGTAGGCATTGTGCTTAAAATATTGTTCTGTTTTGTTTTATGGGGTAGGTTCTTTTTTTTTTTTGTCCTGAGATGGTGTCTCGCTCTGTTGCCCAGGCTGATGTGCAGTGGCACAATCTTGGCTCACTGCAACCTCCGCCTCCTGGTTTCAAGCGATTCTCCTACCTCAGCATCCCGAGTAGCTGGGACTACAGGCACATGCCACCAAGCCCGGCTAATTTTTTGTATTTTTAGTAGAGACAGGGTTTCACCATGTTAGCCAGGATAGTCTTGATCTCCTGACCTCGTGATCCGCCCACCTCAGCCTCCCAAAGTGCTAAGATTACAGGTATGAGCCACTGCGCCTGGCATTAGTTTAAGACAAACTGTATAGCAGACATTCTTTCCTTTCCGGCACTCCCTCTACCATGCCGTCACGAAGAAACATCTTCTTCCATGGACAGTGGGAAGGGGTGCTCACTCTCTGCAGAGAGGACATATGGGAACCCAGGTGCATGATCCAGGGCAGCATCTTCTTAGCTCAGAGGAGGGGTTGAGCTGTCTTGGAGGGCTGGGTAGAGTCAGGACCCAGTCAGCAAAAACCTGCATCATCTGGGTGCCACCCATGCCAGGAACAGTTAGCAGTAGCCACCTGCCCTTTCTCCCTTAGGGCAGCTATGGGCTGACACCTGAATGCTCCCTAGAGCCTCTAGACCTGAGGCCACCCTCAAGAGCAGTGTCTTCTGAGGGGAATAAGTGACCAAAAGGGATAGAAGCCTGGTAATGGCCTGTAATCAGTTTTTACACTAAAGGGAAAAAGTAGTTTAACCTAAGGTCTTCCTACTTCTTCATCCACCAAGGCTGAAAAAGTAAATATTATTTCATTAGGGTTTTAAGTTGACCTGAAGAAAGGAGGACCAAAAATGCTGTATCCTTGTGGGAGATGTTGTGTGCCAAGAAGAGCCAGGGCAGGTGGCGTAGTAAAAGCACAGGGCCAGAGAGTCAGGAGGTCTGGGTTTGAGTCTTTGGTTCAGGCCTCATCACCTTAGTCACTTCCCCTCTCTGGCATCCTCAATTTCCTCATTTTGAAGTGAGGGGCCTGAGTGAGATAACAACTAAGATCCCTGCTGAGTTAATGCAATATTACTTTAAAAAAGAAGAGAGAAAGAAGGGATGGAAGGAGAAAAAAATGGGAGGGAAGAAGGAAGGAAGGTGGGATCAGCAAGTAGAGTAGTAGAATAGAATTAATTTAACTATAAGTGACAGGAAACTCTAAATAACAGGGACAAGCAAGTTTGAGGCTTATTTTTCTTTCACATGAAAGTCTAGAGATTGGCTAAAAGGGAGGGTCAGGGACCCAAGTTTCTTCTATCTTGTTACTCTGTCCAGCATGGCTTCCATTGCCAAGTTTGTATCATGATCCAAGATGGTGGCCAGCCATCTACTTACACTCCATTGATGAGAACTTAGTCTTATGGCCACACCTGTCTGCAAGGGGATCTATCATATGTAGTTTTTGTTCTAATTAGCCATGGGGCTCCTACTGCTGAGGAGTAGGAGGAAGACAGATATTAGGGGATGTGTAACAGGCCCTGCTAGAATGGGCTTCCCAAGAAGCGTCAATTAGGGAGATGTCCAAAAATTTAGAGCAGAATATCAGTACTGTAAATGGAATCAAGATCATTTAGAATCTGCCTGTTTAATAGTTTGGGCAAAATATAGGGCAAATGGAGCAATTAGCTTACTCCACATCTCAGGGAAAGGAAGAGCCTTGGTTTTGTACGGAAGGGAAGTCATGGTCAACAAAGGAAGAGAAAACAGACTCTTAGGGTCTTCTGTAGACTTAGGAGGCAGGACAACATAAAAGATTATGCAAGGAAGGAAAAAAATTAAATAAAAATAAAATGAATGGATAAACAAGATTCCCACTGTCCCTACCTACTATCCAGTTAAATTTTTTTTTAATTAAGAAAAAAGAAGACTATGCAAGGAAACAATGAACTTTGGCCCCTTAACAGAAAGAATCCAGAATCAAAAAACTTTAAACAAGACTGAGGGAAAATTAAAGTAGCCAAAGCAATACTCCAACTAAGCCAGATGCCTAGAATTTTCTTTCTTATTGTAGCCTATACCTGAGATTCCTTGTGTTATCATTTCTGTGTCTGAGGTTGCTGGAGAATCACAAAAGAGGAGAAGGATAAAAGAGGTTAGAAAAACCAAGGCCTTTAGTCTCATGGTTGTAGCCCAAAGAGGGCATCCCTGCCTTCCTTCCCCACCTTCCACAAGCTGTGAAAAAGAGTGGAGGAGCTGGTGCCCAGAAAGCTAGGAGATGACAAGTGAAACTTGCAGCAGGGAAGAGAGGGCCTGACACCTCCACAGGTGCTCATCTGTTACGAAGCTTCGGCTCCCTTACATATACTTCTGCATTAGGAGGGAGACACCCAAACCAACATCCCAGGCAGAGGAAAGAGAGTAAAGCCACTTGAGAGAGGCCCATCTTCACCATTCAACAATCGCTTCTGACCATGGTCGCATCCTCACCCACCTCTCAGTTCTTTATAACTTCAGAGAGGAAATCACAAAGAAAAAAAAAGAAGACAAAGACAGGTAATATGTTAGTTAAGGTATGTGAGCTGCTGTAACAGCATAACACAATAAAAGTTTGTTTCTGTCTCACCCACCAGTCTAATGCATGGGAAGGATGGGGGAATTCAGGGAGCCATAGCTCTGCCATCTTCAACACATGGCTGCCAGCATTGTCATCCCACAAGCAGATGGGGAAAGAGCATGTGAGATTGCAAGTGGGAGGCTTTTATCAGAAGCCTGGAAGTGGCACACATCACTTCTGCTCAGATTCCACTGGTCAGAACTCAGACTCAGGCATGTGACCACATTTAACTCAAGGAAGACTAGAAGATGTCAAATATGTGTTTGCCCAGGAAGAAGAGGGAATGAGTTTGTGATCAGTCAGCAGCCTTAGCCTTAGTGGACATGAGAGGGCAGACAGAAAATTCAGAAATGATCTGTACCTATGGGGTAGTGAGGGTGCATATCTAATTTTGCCTAAATAAAGTATTTCAGACCACAGACTCAATGAGAAAATAGAAGGTTAGACTGGTTAGTCCTCCTTCACAAATCTTTGGTTTGTTTCCCTTAGTCCCTTGCATCATGACCCCAGTGTTCAGCTCAGATCCGATTATCTCTGAGAGTTAGTGCACTGTGATAAACAGCCAGAGTCTTAGGGTTGCTAAGAATGCCAGTAATTATCAGGCACATTTAAAAAATTCGTGAAAACCTCTATATAGTTGCTGCCAATACTTGAATACTGTCTGCTTGAATACTTTCTATCCTGGAGAACTTTTTGTCTTAAAAGACAACCTAAGCCATTAATTTACTAATTAAATATTTTTTAGAATGCATACCCTCCACCAGGCACTGGGAATACAAGGTCACAAAAAACTAGATCCAGTCCTTAAGAATATCACACTTTTGTACAATTTCTCTATTGTTTATGTTTGTTACATTGGGCCACAGTTCTGCTTCTGCTGATGGTACTTGTCATTACTTTCCATTGCAGAGGTTGCCCAGGTATCTGAGTGAATTGCAAGCGCAATACAGTAGTCCTCTCTCAGACCCCAATCAACCTCACCCTAATTACCCCTAGAATCACCCTAATTATCCCTAGAAAAGTCAATCCTGGCTCCCATGTGACATTTGAAAATTGCCTACATGGCATTTTCCAAACCCTCTTATCCTCAGAGGACTTTTTGGAATCAGTCATTTGTCTAGTTGCAAAATTACTTCTGCCTTTCCAGTTTGGGTTTCTAAATTCTGCCTCTAGGTCCATTTCAAAACCTGTAATTGGATCATTCAGGGGCTGAGCCTGCTGCAAAGCATCTCAGTGCCCTTGTCCATATTCATCTTGGAAAAAATCCACCCATCAGAACTCACTTTATATGGCAAAATATGCCCATGCTTTTCATTTCAAAACCACTGCAGGGGCTGCATCTGAAGAATGGCCACCCATCTTTCAGCCACCTCTCACTTTGTGTTGCTAATTCAAAATATAATCTGTGCCTGGAAACCAGGAGGGCTTTCAAAATTGTTTTAGAAGATATTATAAAGATGAGTTGCAAACCCTCAGGATCCTCTTCCCTGACTCCCCACACCCCAGTCTCCCTCACTTTAGCTTAGCCTGCAGATGATCTCCCAATCTTTGCTCTTGGCCCTGCCACTAGGAATTCTTCACTGATCAGTCTACCAAACTCTGCTTTAAATTTGGCATTTGGGGATTGGTAAGCAAAAGTTATTCCTAAATGTCCCTATTTCAACATTTAGGCAAAGCCCATTATGGTTTTTAAGCTCTACTTATTTCTTTCTACTGGGCTTTTCCTGTTCTAAGTGGCCCTGAAAGGTTTTAATGACACAAGGAAACCAGCAGGAGCACCAGCAAGTGACAGATGCCCTTGGGCACCTGGTGTGCAGTATCCCACTTAGCCCCCCCCCCCACCATCCTGCGAGGCTAGCTCTATCATCCCAAGGCTGCACATGAGAAAGTGAAGCAGAAACAGGTCAAGTAACTTTAACTTGTCTGATGTCACCAAGCTGGCAAGTGGAATTCAAATTCACATAGGCCTGATTCCAAAGCCAGAGCTCTTTTCTAACACTCCAACGAACTAACATCCTTATTTGAAGGTTGGAACTAGTAAGGCATATAATCGTGGAGAAGGCAATTAAGTATCTCTGAACCTGGGGTTTCTTCACAAATGAAGGTGGACTAGATGAATGCTAAGGTCCCTTTCCCTAAAATGCTCTCTTTCTATTGATCTAGGGCTAGTGGACTCTGGAGGGAGAGCTCACACCAATCTCAAGCAACAGCAGCAAGTAAATCAACAATAAATATTTATTTAGTGCCCACTCTATATGAGACAAATTATAGCTTTATTTTAATTATTCTAACAAGTCTGTGAGGGCCTGATTATTATCCTCCTTTTTATAGAGGAGGAGACCAAGGCTCAGAGAAGTTCAGAAGCATACCCAAAGTCACACAGTTAATAAGTAAACCCAGGAATGTCTGACTTTTTAAGTCCACGCTCCTGTGTCCACCACTTTATATTTGTAAGGAAGGTGGGGAAAGGATGGAGGGCAGGTATTGTAAGAGATGGTCATTTAAGGCCAGAGAAATACCTTACAGAGTGGTCACCTGGCAGAGTGGTCAGAGGTAAATCAGTTGAGATAAGCAGAGGTGCTTAGAACAGGTAATTAAAGCCCTGTTCTAGTCTCTCTTATTAGACTTTACTCCCAACCATAGGCAAATGTGCTACTTACTTCCACACATGGAGTCCTGCCCTGGAAGGAGCTTTGCCTGGGAGAGCTTGGCGTGGCATCCAGTCTTGCTTATGGAGACCACTTATCCCCTAAGTTAGTAAAACTTTTGTGCACCACCCTCCATTCCCCCACCATCTTGCCTCTCTGGACTTGTCTTGCCTCTCTGGACTTTAGCCTAGGTGACTTACAGAAATGCCAGACTTCTAGCCCAAGCCCTATTATGCCCAGTACTTTTCTGAGGCTGCTTCAAGTCTTGGTGTCTACTAGATAACGCTTGCTGGAGTATGATATCACCAGCTGTAATGGAAAGGAACAATCAGTGGTGAAAAAAAAATGAGACTCTGAAAAATAAACAAGGGTCCATGCCTGGTTATTCCAAGGTCAAGCCAGGTTTGCAAAGCAGATGCCCAGACTGATGGAGCACAAGCATGGGCTTTGGGACCTGGTAGATCTGGGTTTGGATAAGACTTGGCTATCCCCGCTTTCTGGCTTCAACTTAGAGTGTCAGTCAGTAAAATGAGGATGACTGGAACCTTGTAGGGTGGCTGTAAACATGGAAAACATGCACGACACTTTAAGCACTTTGGAGAGACAGAGAGGAAGCAGGTCCTGTTACCACGAGTGTTAAGGAAATAGCATGAGAAAAGCCTTTTCCCTGCTTTGAGTACTCAAGCAAGGATCACCATTTTTCACACTGTTTTGCTTCTCCAGAAACTGGAATGTGACTATTTGGTGAGTAACACCAACAATACCCACTGGACACTAATGTTCAGAAGGTAGCCAATCTCTGGAATTGAAAAGCAGCTCATGGAGGCTGCTGGAACACACCCCTCAGAGCCTTAATGAAGGGGTCTTACAACTTTTTACATAGGGAATTTTCAAAACTCACCTTTTTTCACTTCAAAATAGAGAAGCGGTAACTGCCTGAATGTGATTGTTATATAAGAAAATGAAGGAACATAGGCTAAAACCAGTAAAGGGAAAGGACAAATCAGACATAGTAAAAATATGTCATCTGCAAAGCAGGACGGGCCGAGAAATGTGGGAGGGACGTCCAGGATGGTAAATGGGCCCCTTGTCATGCAGGCAGCCCTATGTCCTGGTTAATGTCTTTGTCCTGGAATTGTTTTCAAGAGCACTGCCTTTAATTCTTAGAGCCGTCCCAGTGTGGATGATAAAGTCTTGGGTCACCTAGACATACAGAATATAGAGGAATATAGGATATCACTCACACATTTATGCGGGAGAGGCAAGCTATATATGCTCTTTGGGCTACAAAGCCCCAAGTTAGCCCAGGCAGATGGACACTCAGGGAAGGAACTTCCATAGCTACGCTGTCTGAGCCAGGGCACTCTTCCTCATATTTCTACTAAACCCCTCTGATTGTCACATAGGCTCATTTGGTGGCTGGTGAAATGGAAGTGGAGACAGAGGAGAAAACAGGAGGGTGCGGGGGCAAGGGAGGAGGGGCGGGATAAGCCCGAGGAGTCATAGCATCATCAGTCAACTATTCCATGCTATGGCATCAAATGGGGAAATGGACTCAATGACTGTGCTCGTCTGCTGTGGCTCAGTTTGTCTTTTTGGAAGGCAAAGGGATTACTTAGAGCATGGCACCATTAGTCAGTGGCCTGGCTTGGCCTAAGTCAGTGTCTCCTTACTTCACCCTTTGTGTTCTGAGATTCCTAGGAAGGATCTTAAAGAGGTCACCAGTTTCTGACCATTCTGAGGCTAGAACATGGGTTTTTGGTATTTGTCCCAGTCCCACCAGAAGTGAATATGTGTATATGTGTGTCCGGTGTGCCTCGTGGGTGTGCCTCACTGATCCAGGATGTGCACAAAGGCCTCACAGCCCCCTTGCCCCACCTTGCTGGGCCCCCTGTGTTCTATTTTAACAGCTCAGGGTAGCCTGATCTGAGGTCCTTCCATCCCATCCCCTCCTTGTTTACTGGAACATTGGGTCACCTCAGTGCAGCTGGAATGCAATCTCTGGGCGATTCAGTAAGGCCAAGGCGGGCCCTGCAAGGCGTCATGTCATTGCGTTGTTTTTCCTCCCCTCCCACTGAGTTTTCTTGGAAGTTCTGAGCCAGGCTCAGTGTGTATCTCCAAAGATGCATTCCAAATTCCCAGCTGCTTGCAACTCAGCAAGTCTCACTGCCTCTCCTTTTAAAACCCAGGCACCCTGAAAGGTTAGAGATAAAAAAAAGCCCACACATAGGCAAAGGGGGAGTGAAGCACTATATGGGGCCTGGAATGGGGGTGTCAAGCCTCTTGTGGTTTGCAACTGCCCATTGTCACATAGCATTCAACCATGATTTCCTCTCTTAAAAGCAAAGAGGAAAACAATCTCTGTGTAAGATGTTTTTGTGGCTTCATTGAAAAGAAAGATGGGCAAACTTGTCCCCAGTCTGTGCATCAGGCCCAGCTGAGGGGCCTGGAGGTGGCTGTGCTGCCCTTTTCCTCCCTGAGCACAGATCTTGCCTTATTCTCCACCATCCTGAACTCTGGTGATCTATCTCTGTCCATCTCCCTATTTCCCGCTAACTTCCCTGCCCCCATGCTTTTTTCCCTTTCATCTTTGTCTCTCCATTATGATTCCTTCCTTCCTTCCTGGACTAGAGGAAATAATGGAGGGCAGGGAGAAATAGCCAAACACATCAACTATTTAAAAATCACATTTATTTTTATCAAGAGTGAAAAAGGCACTGTGCTTTTCTTAGATCTGTTCTTGCTGTTGAGTGATATATTGATAACTTAGGGATGAGCTTTGGGTTCTCAATGTGTGATCATCTTCTGACCTACAGCATGAACAGCCTTGGAACCTGCTAGAAATGCACATTCCCCAGCCCCATCTCAGACCTCTTGGGGATAAGGCACAGAATCAGAATTTTAACATGTCCTCCAGGTGATTCTGTTGTGCATAAAAGTTTGAGAACTCCTGGTGTTAGAGGATTCTCCAAGGGGCTGGGGGTGAAAGGAGGTCTTGAGGTTTCTTTCTGCCCTCTGGATGTGAGGAGGATGGGGTCTGTCCTACACTGGTTAGGCCTGGCTCATGCACCTTGCCTTTCAAACTGGGGCAGGGGTGAGAGTGACAGTAAGGAGAGGAAGGACTGGGAGGGAGTTAATGGTAGCTCTGCTGGTGTTCCTTGTGAGCTGGATTCATGAGCAACCCTCTGGTCAGGGATCTACAGCTTTCTGATCTTCACATTGTGTTCAGCTTCCCTCTGAAAGCATGTGAACACCTGACACATGTTATGTAATGATGTGGATTCCATCACTCTGCTTCTCATCTGACCTTCAGCAACTAAGCTGACTACTGGTTGTAGATGGAAGTTGTGAAATCTATTGTTTATTTCTTTTCTTTTCTTGGACTAAAGCAAATAACTAAAAATAGGCTCTTTATCTTGTCAGTTCTGTTCCTATCTTCTGAAAGACTTTCAAGAAGAGCTCCAAAGATTATGAAGAGTGTTGGGATTATGAATTTAGACTCATGGTGTTTGGTTTGGTAGCTACTGGCCACATGGCTATTAAGCAATTGAAATGTGGACAGTTGGAACTAAGTCAGGCTGTAAGCATACAACACCCATCAGTTTGCAAAGGCTTAGTCCAAAAGAAAGTGTTAAGTTATTTCATGGATAATTTTTATGTTGATTTCATGTTGAAATGATAATGCTTTAGATATACTGGGTTAAATACAATATTTAAATTAATTTCACTCATTTTTTTAATATTTAAAAATGTGGCTACTAGAAAATTTAAAATTACAAATGTGGCCTATATTCATGGCTCACATTATATTTCCATTAGATGGTGCTGGTCTGGTATTCTGGGGTTCTGGGAGAGACTGTGCCAGAAACAAATACAAGCAGTGAGTGTAAATTATAGCATGAGTGTTCAGGTGAGGCAATGTAGCATAAGGCATGGTAGCTAATCTCTTGGCCTTTAGAGAAAAATATACTAGGGTTGAATCTAGATTCTGCCACTTACTTGGAAAAGTAACTTAACTTCTATAAACTTCAGTTTTCTCATCTGTAAAATGGGGTTGTCTGAGTTCCTAAATCAGAGGGCTTTTGTGAGCATTAGTTAAGACAATGAATGTAAAATATTCCTGACTGTTAATAAGTTCTCAATAATACCAACTCCCCTTAAGTAAGAAGAAATTCTGTTACAAGATGGTATTTGGCATTGATTATGGACTCTTTATTTCTGAGGGCCTTTAACATGTACCTGATGCTCCTCTATCTGTAATGGTTTGTGTGTCATCCTGCCCCAAAGTATTGAATACTTAAAATACCTTCTCAATGCTTCTTCAGCTGGAAATCCACAGCTGGCTATGTCTCACTCTCAACATCTCCTACCATGATACTACAGGTCCTTGTGGTGAAGAACTGGATTACATGGTGGACTGTTCCTGAACAGAGACCTATCTGGTATATTATGCTTACAAAACTTGACATTATATATGACATAGACAGTGAATGGGCTCTGCCAATGACAAAAGCCGTGTACTTTCTGAATGAGGAAAGCAGAGTCTATTCATTAGCAAATACTCCAGCTGAGCAAAGTCAGGACTGAGTGGAAAACTGGGAGGAAATTGTGATCCTGGCTTTGCGATTATTGACTAGCCACTAAAGAAGAGTTTTAGCCCTTCTGTCCATATGATAGCACAAAATATCTAAGTTAGATTCTTCCAAAGAGAAAACTGTTCTCTCATGAAGTTTGTATGTAGACGGGAATGAAAGAAAAGGAGGATAAGTGAGATGAAGAGTGGGGAAAATATCAAACAAAAAGGTGATATGCCAGGTTCCATTTTGAAAGACACTGAATGTTGCATCGTAGTAGCAGATCTCCAGATGCAAAGTCTCTGAGTTTGCAGAATGCTTACACTATGATAAAGGCTGTAACAATTTGTTAGCCACTAACAAAAATGGTCCTGAGTTTTCTTCCATGAGTACTGTTTAAAACAATTACAGGAATGAAGAAGCAGAGATCATGCAAGGTGTTTCCATCCAAAAGTAGGCATCTCATGTCATCTGCTCTGGCCAGTATTTAACCTTGAGAAAAGAAGAAGTGTAGAGATGATGTACTTGCCTGAGGGATGGATTAAAAAGTCTTTGGTCTTCTCTGAACGGTACTACTGAATTTATCCTCATCACCGTCATCATTGTCATTGTCATCATCATCATGAAAACAGGTACCTTTGTTTAGTGCTTCTTACATGCCAGAAATTTTGCTAAGTGCTTTTTATGGTTGATCTCAATTAATTTTCTTGACAGCTCTTAACTACTATTAGTAGGCTATTTTTGCAGTTGAGGAAGCTAAGGCATAGAGACATTAAGTAACTTGCTCAAAGTTAACACCCCTGACATTGGGCTTGCTGGAATTTTCATGCTCATTAAACAGAAATGCAAGTTGAGAGGGCTTGTGTATTACACATCACAAAGGGAATCCCCAGATTAGAAGTCTTTAACATTATATCAACTGTAAGATACCTTTTTATAAGAAATATTTCATAATACCACATTTATTATTCAGAAATAATATTATATAATCCACCTAAACACACAATATTTGAAAATCAATATTTTGTCGTAAAGAGACGTGAAATAGATATGTTTTACAATGAAGTAAATACATTTCAATAAGTAAACATTTGGGCACAATGAGATCATCAGATACTGGCACTTGTACACAGAATCACCATGAAAACTGCATCTACAAATGCTGACTACTCAAATACCAAAAGTGGTGTTGGCTCTCTAAAAAGGTAAGCAACTCTTAGAAAGTTTTAAATAAAATAAAGTACAATTCTACCTTAATTTATATGTTGATTACATTCTGGGAAAATTCAATATACATTAATAAAAACCATGCAAAAAATTCTTTGTGTTCATATGTAAGGTAAAGTTCCAGATCATATAAGTTTTTCAAGTTTATCAGTTATCCAGTAGGACATTCAAAAGGTGGAACAATTTTTCACTGTGAGGGAACTGTTCGAGGCACTGTAACAACATTGAACCCATATCCCTGCCAAGAAAATGGCAGTAACACTTTTGCCTCAATATCTGGGATACCAGGGATACTTTGCAAATTTCCAAAACACCTTTGGACAAAGGTTCTCTGCCAGCCTTGGCTGCATGTTAAAATGAGCTGAACTTTAATTCAAATACCAGTTGGTGCTTGGGCACAATCTGCAGAGACTCTGATGTAATTGGTCAGGCAGGGCTGCTGCCTTGCCATGAGCGTTTTTTAAGCTCTTCTGTTGAGTTTATTTAGTAGCCAAGGTTGAGAACCATGCCTTAGGGATGGTTCTGTCCCTTTGAGTACAACTGCCCCTAGCTGAATCAGATCACCAGATCATTGACCTGGTAGATTTTTGTCTTTTCTGTATCACAGAGTTATTTTCTGTCCAGATAGAGTCCAAGCCCCTCTTAATCTAAGGAAAAAAATCTCTAATGTTTACAAGGTAGGGAAGGGGGTATGTGACTCTAGGATCTGAGAAGTCAAGAACCAGTTTCAAGAAATCCCACAAGTCAAGTAAAGGATTAATAGCTTACTTGCAAATGTAGAACAAACAGGAAAAGAGTTAAACTAAATAAAAAACAAATAAACTGATTATTTGAGGAATAAACTTGTACTATAGTATGGCTAAACCCCTTCTAAAACCCCTAGTCATCTCTCCTTAGGCTAGACTTGGGCCTTTATCCTTGTAGGAAAGATAAACTTACAATCATCCTTCCTGGTCTGGAGGGGATATCCATTGAAGCCTTGAATCAGAATGGCAGGTACATTTTATCTCCACCAACAACTTTATATGGATCAGATGCGGCTGGAGAGGGATTTGGACTGACTAATTGAAGAATTCTAGGGTGGGTTGGTTAGTGATACATGTCATGGGCACAGAATGGGAAAAGGAGGGGAAGCGCCCTCATTTTTCCTTTAGACCCTAAGATTACTATGGGGAAGGATGCACATTTCTCAAGAAGAACAAGTAAGCTGCCTAGTTCTGGTCAACTTTTGGAACCTGATTGGATTTTATCATCACCATTATCATCATCCAATGACAGTTTCCGTTTACTCAGGCCCAGTTATGTGCCTTGCACTTTACACTTTATTTATTACCTCATTGATTCTTATAACAACTCTATAAAGTAGACATTTTAATCAGAGTCTGGGATCCCACAGGTGGTAGAAAAACTAATTTTCAAATCTGGTCCTACCTGACTCTAAAGTCCTATGGTAAAATAATATAGAGCGAAATGTGGTCTCAGACCGTCTTCCAAAGTGCTAATATTCTTTATCCTGCATCCGCATTGCCAGGATTCTTGCTCAAATGGTATGAGAGTTAACAAATACCAACTGTCAGGCTTACTGTACACATTCTTTTTTTTTTCTGAGACAGAGTCTCTCTCTCTCTCTCAACCAGGCTGGAGTGCAGTGGTGCGATCTCGGCTCAGTGCAACCTCTGCCTCCCAGGTTCATGTGATTCTTTTGCCTCAGCCTCCTGAGTAGCTGGGATTACAGGCGCCTGCCATCATGCCCGGCTAAGTTTTGTATTTTTAGTAGAGATGGGTTTTTGCCATGTTGGTCAGGCTGGTCTCCAACTCCTGACCTTGAGTGATCCATCTGCCTCAGCCTCCCAAAGTGCTGGGATTATAGGCATGAGCCACTGCCCCCGGCCTGTTATTGTACACATTCTTATTTCTCAGCATTTTCCATCATTTCCTAGTATTTGATCCTGTCCATGAGTTTAAATGAAAAATTACTTTTAAATAATAGGGGTATTTTTCTTATTGTTAATCTTTCTAAAATGTATTTTCCTGCTCCAGTGCAGTATAATAGAGGGAATGCAATTCATTGCCATAATACAACAGCTAGGGGGTACTGGCACATCATAAATACTTGAATGAATGAATTAATGTAATTAACATTTTTAGGAGAGAATATTTTTAATTTTTATGAAGTCCAATTGATCCATTTTTTCTTTTATGGTCTTTCCTTTTTGTGCTGAATCTGAGAAATCTTGGCCTAATCCAATGTCACGAAGATTTTATTCTATGCTTTCTTCTAGAAGGTTTATTGTGTTAGCTCACATTTAGCTCTCTGATTCATTTAATAGGCATTACTTTTTATTGTTAAGATTTTTGTAGACATCAGGGTTTGCTCTATAAGCACACCTTAATCTGCTTTGCAGACACACATGAAGCAGTTTAAGAGTATACATGTGATTTTCCTCTCTTGAAACATGGTCTAAAAGTTGTTTTTTCCAGACGAAAATCTCTCACAGCATTCTCATCTTTATCATTTGACTCTTTCTCCTCCCCTCCAAAATCTCAAGAAACAGAAGACTCTAGTCTAACTAGTGGTGTTATCTGATATTTTTCTGTTTCAGAAAAACCCTGTCTAAAAAAAAAAAAGAGGTATTGCTCAATACTTTCTACCCTCCATCCACTTAATCACCTAACAGCCCTGAGCACCACTCTCTAAAGTAATCTCCACATTGTCAACAAAATAATCTTCAACCCAGGGCTCAAGAAACAGACCACTGATAGGAACTTGAGGCCTGTGCCGGGGAGCTGCATTTACAAAGGCCAAAGGCCTTCCATTCTGGTTAACCTCTAACTACTCCTATTTCATGCTGTGAACACCCCCTGAACAAGACCTCACTATTTAGGGACTTTTTTTGAGGAGTTGAGGGTCGAGTATGTGATTAAAAGAATCTTGTCCTATGAATTTGTACAGCCCCTCAGAAGACTTGATTTCATAGCTGGAATGGCAACCAAGGTTTCTGTCCACTTACAATTCCAGTTACATTTTGTTTGTTTGTTTTTGAGACAAGGTCTCACTGTGTCACCCAGGCTGGAATGCAGTGGTGCCATCATGGCTCACTGCAGACTCTACCTTCTGGGCTCAAGTAATTCTCCCACTTCAGCCTCTCTAGTAGCTGGGACTACAGGTGTGCACTATGACACCCAACTAATTTTTGCATTTTTTGTAGAAACAGGGTTTCGCTGTGTTGCCCAGGCTGCTCTTGAACTCCTGGGCTCAAGCAATCTGCCCATGTTGGCCTCCCAAAGTGCTGGGATTACAAGTGTGAGCCACCATGTCTGGCCACCTATTTGCAAATTTATGCAATTTTACCCTTTTGACATTCTGGGAAGAACTGAGCAAAAGAAAATGGACTTTGTTAGATCTTCATTAGGTATATGAAAGAATGTTTTGCCTCTCATAGGTGGGCTTGTGTCCTTTACTGTTTCTTTCACACACCCTTGCTCACAATCACTCTCCTGGAAGAAGGACCTCCCCTTGCCTCTTCAAATCTTACCAATCCATTGGCCAGGACCCAACCCAGGTCTCTTCCTATGAATCCAACTACTCAGGTATTCTCAATGATCTCCCATTTCCCTATCCTAAAAAAGGGCACTAATATACTCAAAGGTCCAGTAGCTAGGAGGGATGCTTTAGTACATAGAAAAAGAAGACACAACTCATAGCCATCAGGGAGCCTAGCGAAGGGACCAGACACCAAAAGCTTATTTTAATAAAGTGTTGGGATAAGAGATGTACATCAAAGTCAATGGGAACACAAAGACTTAGCACTTAATACAGAGCAGGTTAGGCCAGAGGGTAGCATAAAGTCAGGGAGTGTTTTATAATGGAGGCAATAGCTTTTGTTGCATTTTGAGATTAACTTGATATAGAGTAGCAGTGGGGTGGTTCCAGATAAAACTATCAAAAGCACAGACAGAGCGTGGGAAATCCAGAGAATACAGGTGGTTCAGTAAGCCATGGCCAGCCCACTGTCAGCTGGCTAATAATTAGGTGCTTCTTTTGACCAGTTTTAGTAAATTTTGTTTAGAGGAGAAGCTAGATGTTACAACAGTGGATAAAGAGGGCTCTCTGATGACAATATGCAATTGTGCTTCTCTATTTTCCCAAGTAAGTCAACTCCTTGGTCCCTGACTCAATCAAACAAAATTCTGATATCTGGTGAATCTACTCTTCTTAGAAAGCCATTTGGATTTTTTTTTTTTTTTTTTTTACTGTTACTTAAGCATGTCACTGGGGGATATCACTTCCCACCCTTAGCAGTTTATTAGAGGATCTCACAAGAAGCCCTGTCTGACAATTCTCTTCTCTATGACTTGCTAGATTTCATATGTTAGAAAGCCTTAGCAATTGGCTTACCTGAAGGGCCTACCCTTAAGCCAGTTTCAGGAGTGGTGGAAATATGGAACGCAAAACAGAAATGGCAAGAAATGTGGTTGAGTAGGATGTGGGTGGGAAACCAGATTATAAACACCTTTGAATGCCAGATTAAGGAGTTTGGGCTTGCTCCTGGGGACAGGGGAGTCCAAAAGAAGATTAAGCCATTGACACATAAACTGAACCATAGAGATGAAGAATTGCTTATCTCAAATTGTTTTAAGGTACAAACCAGTCTCTTCTACTGAACGATGCATACATTTTCTGAGGGCAAAATTCCTGCCTAATATTTTCTTGGTGTCCTCTTTTTTTTCTTTTCTTTTTAAAAATAGAGATAGGGTCTTGCTGTGTTGCTCAGGCTGGTCTCAAACTCCTGAACTCAAGCAACTTTCCCATCTTGGCCTCCCGAAGTGACCGGGATTGCAGGCATGAGTCACCATGCCCAGCCACTTGGTGTCCTCTTTGATTCCAGGCACATGTTTGAACAAATAGGAAGTTGTCAAAAATATGTTGATTGGTAGGTTTGAATGGCTACCAAGAGAGGCTGTATAGACCTTCAGAAAGAGATCTTGTGTCTCATATAGAATTAGATCGTTAAGCAGCAGAGAGTAGAGTCTGCATTTTTACCTAGGATCTGAGGCTCCTCTTCAATTCCTCCAGCCTATTCTAAATGGCTGTGTCTCTCAATTTGTCTCCCACTAGGAGGCAGCATCATTCCCTCTGCCCTCAGGACAAGGAGCTTTTTAAATAAACATACATAACACATATGTAATTATATGCACATTCCCCCAATATAAACAAGCACGTTAAGTTTTGACCTTGATTGACTAGAAAAAATGTTTCTTGGAGTCTTGGTCAATTAGCCTCAACCTAAAGACAGAGGGTTCTGGAACATACGACTCTGACCTCCAACTATCCCTGGAGGAGCTGCCTCCTATACCAATAAAAACTACTTTCTGAGAAGCATCTTCATGCATGATATTAATAGATTGATTTTGCAAGCAGGAATTGGCAAACATGATAGAACCCTATGGTAGGGAAAGAGCATTTGGACGATGTTGGATTGCCTTCCTGTTGAATTTTATGCAACCTTGGGTCCCTAGGGAGTTTCCCCAGAAAGCTGGTTCAGAGTGTGCCGGCTCTTGTGTCCCAGCCTGCTGTTTATTTCATGGTGGCTGCAGTAGAGCAGCATTTATGCTTATGTTAGCAGCTTAAAGCTTCTCGGAAAATTTGGAAAGTAATGTTACAGCAAATAGCCAAAGTATGCTCTAAGCATGTTTTTCTCAAGGCCTGGGTTTTCCATATTACCTCTGCCAGGAGTGACAGGAAAATCCAAGAAAAGCTCTTTAATTTGATCATCATCGTTGATATACTTGTTGTACATTGAGAATCTCAAGTTGTCCTGGGAAAGATTTGTCAATCAATTCAGCAGAACTTCTCAAAACTTGTTACATCAGAGGAGTTCAGGTTATTTCTGTGTCACAAGAGAGTACAGCCAAGGCCAAGAACATGGTCAGCCCCACTCAGACGTACAATTCTGTCAAAACAAAACCTTGGGCTGGCTTCCCACTTAAGCCTTTTAAAGAATAATTTGCTTTGATAGGCGATTGGTGCCAAGCCCAAAATTAGAAACTCCTATATGTGTGGGAGGCAGGGACCATGAAATGTTTTAGGAGGAAATTCAGCTTTTCCTCTTTTGGCCTTTGCTGAAGTCCCTCCAAGGTTTTCAAAGGGAAAGCCAACACCATTCCTTCAACGAACATGTGCTGAGCCTGAAATCTTGACAGGGCTGAGGACTGTCACAGTCTTGGAGTACAGCTTTGTCCATCACACCTGCTGCAAAGGGGCTTGCACTCCAGCTAAGAAGCATATGCAAGGTCAATTCTTTCAGCTTTCCATGTAACACATTCATAGGAATAGATAATAAAAATAAAGGAAATATTACTTTTGAGAAGGAAATAAACATGAAAACAAAACAAAGACACCAACCCTGATTTCTAAGAGCTTCCATTACAGCGGAAGAGTCACACATGTATAAGATAAATTACCATAACAGATAATTGCCACCCTTATAATATAGGTATTTTGTAAATTACTATGAGTCTGCAGAAGAAAGAGTTATTGAGAGGAGCTTAATTCTTTTCCTACAAAGATTTTGTAATACAAATGATGGAGAAAGCCTAGTGGAATCACCTACCAGGAAGATAGTGGCTTAGCTTCAGGCAGATCTTATTCATTTACTCTACAAATATTTATTGAACATCTATCATGTGTTGTTAGGATATTGGAATCCATCAATGAATCAAAGAGAAGAGGATCCCTGTTGTGATATTCTAGGAAAAAAATAAACTAAAAAACAAAATTGGCAATGACCAATTAAAGCATTCCTTCTTTGATAACAGGTAGAAATTAATTGGTTTTTGGTTGATGGGGATACTAAAAGCTGTAGAACATCATACCTTTTGATCCTGAAGTCTCACTAAATGACCATGTCAAGCAGTATGTTAGAATAATGACCCACCCCAATATCTACATACTGAAGACCACCATGCCACTTCAAGCTACCAATGAGATGTCTCTGAACATACAGTTGGGAAGAGATGCATATAATAAAACAACCACAGAAACACAAAACCCTGAATCTTAGAACCAAAGCAATATTCAGTAGGTAAGGTGTCAATATTGATAAGAAATGCAGTGTTGCTGGCTGGCTTTCAAAAGAGAGGAAGAAGGTCATAACCCAATGAGTGTGGGCAATCTTTAGAAGCTGAAAAATACAACGAAACAGATTCTAACCTAAAGCCTCCAAAAGAAATGCCATCCTGGCAACACCTTGATTTGAGCCAGTGAGATCCATGTTGGACTTCCAAACTATAGAACTGTAAGAGAATACATTTAGGTTGTTTCAAGCCACTACATTTGTTACAGCAGCAATAGGAAACTAATACACAAGTGCTCCTCCACATTTCCTAGCCTCCCAATCATGTAGGTGGGGCCATGAGACTTCATAGAATGTGGGTAGACATGATGTGTACCCCATCCAGGCCTGGCTTCTGAACCTTCTTTTGCAACCTCCTCATAATCTCTCTCTCTGCTGGTTGGAGAACCAAATGCAGGAACTCAGTGGAGGATTTCAAGGAGGCTTTAGTGAATGGCAGAACCACTGGACACAAGCAGCTTGGGATCCTGAGTTGGCATTTGGAGATCTTTCCATGTCAGCATGTAGAGAAAGACCCAGTTCATTTTTTAGCAACTGGAAGATGATCCATTTTATGGAAGCACCATGAAGTATTCAACAAATTCCCAGTGATAGATTATTTGTATCCATTTGTTACTATAAACAAGAGTGTGGTTATATCTATCTATCTAGCTAGCTATCATCTATATATATATCTGTTATCCATATAATGATTTCTTTGCATACTTACAAGCACATTCTTACAAGCGGGATTTCTGGCTAAAGGGTACTTGTATTTCTAAGGCTTTGTACCAGCTGTCCCTCCAGCCTGGACTGTTCTTTTTTAAGATCTTCACAAAGCTAGATTCTTCTTATCATTCAGGTTTCAACTTAAGTAGTACTTGATACCATATCACCTGCTTTGTTTTTACCATAGAACTCATCACTACCCTGTCTTTTATCTTTTGATTTACCAGTTCATTTTTCCCTCTCTCCACTAGAATGTAAGCTCCTCTTGAGAGCTCAATAAATGTAATTGTTGGAAACATGAGTAAATGATGAATGAATGAATGAATGAATGAATGAATAAATGAGTGAGTGTTACATGTAGAAATTAAAAACAAGGCAGCAAAATGTTAACCGTGGTTATAGATGTTTTATTCTTTATGCTTATCTAAATTTTTTAAATTTCTTGACATAAAAATATATGCTTTTGTAATCAGAAAAAGATCTGAAAAAACCTATATTTTTAAAGCATGGCTGAACCCACACAACAGTTGGGAGAACATAGTGAAAAATATCAAGAACCAAACTTAAATATAGTTTTGGAGAAAAGGAATAATGCAGAATATTGTTTACAGGGTATGTCTGGTTTTTATTTATGTTTTTGGATGGAGATGGTCTCATTTTGGCTATTTAGTGTTTTCTATATTTAGTGTTTGGTTATTTAGTGTTTAAGAATTTATTATAGATCAAGTGTATGTACTAATTAATAGCTACGTAGTGTTTTTGCTATTTGAATTGCAAATATGCTTAATTTAAAGAAATCTGTTAAAAAAGATAGGAAAGTTATTAGGCTAAACCAACAAAGCTGAAGTAAAAATGTTTATAAAATCTATTTTTTTTTTTTTACATTTTTTGCCTTAATTTCCACCTTAGAAGGACCTTCTGTTGGAAACTGGTTGCTCTTTACTTTGCCTTAGACTCATTTCTTTCTCTTTTTTTCTTAATTTTAGAGACAGGGTCATTCTCTGTCCCCCAGGCTGGAGTGTAGTGGTGCCATCATAGCTCATTGCATCATCAATGTCCTGGGCTCAAGCAATCCTTCCACCTCAGCCTCTCTAGTAGGTGGGACTACAGGAGCGCATTACCATGCCCAGCTAATTTTTTCAATTTTGTAGAGATAGGCTCTTGCTTTGTTGCCCAGGTTTGTCTTGAACTCCTAGCCTCAAGCGATTCTCCCATCTGGGCTTCCCAAAGTGTTGGTATACAAGCATGAGCCATTTCATGGGACCTGAGACTCATTTCTTGTGTCTGATGAGGCCAGCTCCTCCTCCAAGGTGACGTGCTACAACCAAGGCACTGTAGCCCAAGAGTATCTATTGCTTCACATTGGAACTGGACAGCTGGCTTGTGGTTTCATAGATTTCATAAACATGTTTCAGGCACCGAGGTATCTGTTGCAACTCCAGATGCTAAAGCCAGCAAGGAAGCCAGCTCTATAATGATCAGTTGGAAAGCCAGAATTTGAACTCTGGACCTGATAAACTCCCAGTGTCAGCTTTAGGAGATGAAATACAAATTCCTTGGGAAATCTAAGTAGCACATTTTTTTTCCCAATATATGTGCCATGGCAGTACAAATTTAACTGAGATAAACTGATGGTCTGGATAGGTTAAAGAAGATAATCACATGAGGTCAATAGCTGGGCTGAAGTAACTCTTGAATTTACCTGCTGTTGCTAAGCCTTGACTGCTGTTATGAGTCCTGATGCATGTAAGTCTCTGGGATATTTCCAACTATTTAAGAAATCTATGGGATGATGCTATAGGCTGAACATTTGTGTCCTCTAAAAATTCATATGTTGAAGCTCTAACCCCCAATGTGACTGTATTTGGAGATAGAGCCTTTACAAAAGCAATTATGGCTAAAGGAAGTGATACGGTTTGACTCTGTGTCCCCACCTCAAATCTCACCTTGAATCGTGTAATCCCCACGTGTCAAGAGTGGGACAAGGTGGAGATAACTGAATCATAGGGGCAGTTTCCCCCATGCTGTTCTCATGATAGTGAGTGAGTTCTCACAGGATCTGATGGTTTTGTTAGCTTCACTCAGCTCTCATTCTCTCGCGTGCCACCATGTGAAGAAGGTGCCTGCCTCCCCCTCAGCTTCTGCCATGATTGTAAGTTTCCTGAGGCCTTTCTAGCCATATGGAACTGTGAGTCAATTAAACCTCTTTCCTTTATACATTACCCAGTCTTGGGTATTTATTCATAGCAGCGTGAGAATGAACTAATACATCCATAAGGGTAGGGCCCTGATCTGACACAGTTAGTGTCCTTAGAAGAAGAGGAAGAGAGACAGGAAGGTGCTCTCACTTTCTCTCTGTATGTCTCTGTCTGTCTGTCTGTCTCTTTCTCTCTCTGCTCACCCACACCGAGGAAAAGCCACATGAACACACATGGAGAAGGTGGTCATCCACAGACCAGGAAGAGGACCCTCACCAGAACCTGACCTGGCACCCTGATCTCAGACTTATAGCCTCTAGAACTGTATAAAAATAAATTTGTTTTTTAAGCCACCCAGTATGTGATATATTCTGTTATGGCAGTCCAAGGACATTAAGACAGATAGGGACAGAAAGATGTCTTTTGGGAGTGAAGTCCCACAGTAAAGGTTAAAAAGAAAAGTACCCATTCTAGTAAAGAAAATGTGCAGGCATCTTAGCCAGGGTCACCCTTTTTAAGCACAGGTCAGATTATATCACTCCTTAGTTTAGAAGCCTTCCAAGATTCCCTGGACCTTATAGGACAAAGTTGAAACTTTTTGCATGGCTAACTTAGCCCTCCCAGCTCTACCAGAGCCTACAATTGGGGGCTCTGCTTCAGCCACCATCATCCTGCCCTGGTTGTGGCATGTCACCTTGGAGTAGAAGCTGGCCACAAAGGACTCAAGAAATGACCCTGGGTCAGAGTAAGAATCAACCAATCAGCGTTTCCAACAGAAAGTCCCTCTAAGGTGGCTTCAGCTTCTCTGCCTCAGAAGTTGGCCACAGCCAATGATAGCAATCTACTCATGGGGCTGTCCCTTCTGTCTTCTCATTGGTTTCACATTGATCCTCTCACTTTGCTCACCATATTCCCCCTGACTGAAGCATTTCTTCTGCCGATCCTTTCAAGGCCACCTGACTTCCTCCGTGAAGCCTACACTGATGCCCATTTCCTCCATTGCTATTCCATTGTTTTTAAGATGCACATTTGTTCACATCCTATCTTCTGTAGCAAACATTGTTGGTGTTCTGCCCAGATCCTCTTGGATTCTTTGTAGATTTCTGTGCACCTTTCCTCATATAAATGTGGGCTTCTGCTTCCAACTGCCTGCCCTTGCTATTCTCTTCAAAAGACTGCTCTAGGGCTGCCCAGAGCAGAGAGCTGAAAATATAATGTCCCCGGGCATCCTTGGCCCAGGACTAGTGCAGAAGTATGAAAGTCCAGTTCCTTGCCCCAAATCAGGACAGACTCTGAGATGCAACTTCCACCCCAGAGTTCCCCCTGGGGAATCAGGCTGCAGCTGCTGTCTTGGGACTTTGCTTGGCTTCCTCCCCTTCCCTGGCCTGCTTTCCTTATTCCCTTATTGGGTTCTGCTGGGAGCCCTTCCTAATTAATCAGTTGCACATGAATGTTGGTCTCAGGGTCTATCTCTGGGAAACTTGACCTAAGACACCATTTCTAAAATTGGAGTTCATCTTCTTATCAATAGCATTTTAAATTTGGTAAATAAGATAATAGCATTCTTAACTGAGTTCTCTTTTTACTATATACCAGCTCCAAACATAGCATTTTTCACATGAAGATAGTTTACTGTGAATGCATGGCTCTCTCACTTGGCTCTGAGATCTTAAGGCTGTGCTTTGCATTCCTTTATCCTTTCATCCTGACTTCCAAGAATTTCTCTGTAAATGTGTGTTTAATGAACACATTAAACACAGTAGAAAGAAGGAACATGATTTTTCTCCCCCATACTGAAACAGAGGCTGTATCATACAGTTTCTTTCTATCTTAAGATATAATTATTTTAGGCCGGGTGCAGTGGCTCACACCTGTAATCCCAGCACTTTGGGAGGCCGAGGTAGGCAGATCATGAGGTCAGAAGTTCGAGACCAGCCTGGCCAACATGGTGAAACCCTGTCTGTACTAAAGACACAAAAAATTACCCAGGGGTGGTGGTGCATGCCTGTAATCCCAGCTACTTGGGAGGCTGAGGCAGGAGAATCACTTGAACCAGGAGGCGGAGGTTGCAGTGAGCCAAGATCATGCCATTGCACTCCAGCCTGGGCAACAGGATGAGACTCTGTCTCAAAAAAAAAAAAAAAAAAAAAGATTGCCTTTATGAACTGACCTAGCCATGTGAAGGGAGCAAAAGAGCAACAGCTATTCCAAAGTGAAACTCTGTTGTGTGTGCATGCATTTTAGAGTTGAATAGGAAAAGTACTCCATCAATAATATAAATAAATAATGTTTCAATCTGTGAGACTGTTATCACATCACTGAAAAGAACTTGTAGGATTTTCATCCAATTTGAAGAATAAGTTTGGAGACAGGCAGCCTTTTCTCAGAGCGAGTGAAACTAAGGGGCAGCAAGAGTGTCCCCCAGCCAGGAAGATGTGCCTTGGACAGTGGTTTAACATATGAGCCTGCATAGACAGAGAAGGGACAGATGATCTGGATTGCAGGTATTTGTGTTCAAGCTGCTCTTCACTTCAGCAGTTTTTATATGGTGTCCTCTCTATAGTGTAAGAACATCAGAGATCTATTCACTTAACAGTGGTTAGTTTCCTGAGAAATGTTGGGGAGATCCATCTGCTTATGGATAAAAACTAAAATAACTATCATTTATTGAGCACTTACTATGTGCCAAGCACTGTGCTCAGCACTTCATATGCATGACTTCATTTACACTTCATAGCCCCACTATGAGGCAGGTACTACTACTGTCCTCATTATACAAATAAGAAAACTGAAGCTTAGAGGGTGTGAGTTTCCCGAAGTTAGCAGGCAAAGGGACAGTATTTAAAATCTAGGGCTGCTCAACTCCATAGTTCCTCCCTAACCTGAAAGAACCTATCTATGCAGTTGAGTAGTTTTTTATCATTTTTTAAAATGAGTGAAAGAGAGGATGGGAGGAAGGGAGAAAATCAAATTATTTGAAGGTACCTTACATTTTTGTCTTGTTACAGACCATGTACAAATCCAAGCCTGCCATAGAAGTTGTTACCCTACATAGAGTCCATGCCTGTTTGTCCAGAGTTTGGGAAAAGTCAGAGCACAACCTAGAATAAATGCGATAATGTATCACATGTATTCTTTTCCCTCTTATTTACATTTCTTCTGACAGAGACCTGTGCTGCTTGTAGGACAAAGATGAGCTCCAATGCTTAAGTCTCATTATGTGTAACTTAGTAAAAATGTGAAGTTAGAAGCAAAAAACCACATTATAAGTGCATAATGACTGCAACTCTTTAAAGACATGAATATTTGGTGGGAGGAGGAAGAGAAGGAAATAAGTGAAAATGAAAATGGTCCTATTATCACTCATAATGGCATTATGAGTGATTTTTGCCACAATTTTTCAAACTTTCTGTGATCCTGCATGATTAGTCCATTCACTGAGTTGGTTGTGTAGTGATTGCCTCCTGTGTGTAAAGCTCTCTATTCGGCAGTAGGGACGCATCAGAGAACAATGCAATCCCTGCCTACTGGAAGCTCATCAACTAGTAGAGCTCATCATCTAGCAATTCAACAATAAGATCCAGTAAAGTGTGACGAGTGCTGTTGAAAAGGAAGTTCAGTGTGTGATAGGAGCACATACCATGGATAATTAGCCTATTGAAAGAAGGGGGAGAAGTCTTCCTGCATGAAGTGCAAGAAAAATGATACCTGAAGGCCAGCTAGGGTGTGGGGAAGTTGAGGATCATACTAAATTAAAGCAGCAGCACATTGGGATGAAAGCCTAGAGGCAAGAACTTGATGAGTTGCAAAGACTGAAGTAAGCACAGAGCACATTGTTAGGAAGTGACAGAGGCAAGACTAGAGAGGCATACAGAGCTGAAGCTGTTAGAGGCCAGGGGAGTGCAGGTGCTGAGCAGAGCTCTATCCCAAGTCAATGGGGAGCTGCAGAAGAGCTCTAAGGGCAGAGTGATCTGATCATTCTTGGATGAATGACCTGACTATTTTTAGATGGTAAAAGGGTATCAACCTTTGAGAAGAACAGAGAAGGTTTGATGTAGCTATCTTAGGAAAAAGGAGAGAGACCCAGTTGGTGAACCAATGGTGGATTGGCCCATGTTTTCCAAACTCAACTGGTTGCTGAAGGTCATCATCTAGCAATTCAACAATAAGGTCCATTAAAGTGTGACAAGTACTATTGAAACGGACACTGAAGGTCAAATTGAGGTTGGAAAACGTGTTTAATTAAAGATTCATCTGAACCATCTGCTAGACAAGCTTGTCCAATCTGTGGCCCATGGGCCACATGTCACCCAAGATGGCTTTGAATGCAGCCCGACACAAATTCATAAACTTTCTTAAAACATTATGAGATGTTTTTGCAAATTTTTTTTAGCTTATCAGCTATCATTAGTGTTGGTATATTTTGTGTGTGGCCCAAGACAATTCTTCTTCTTCCAATGTGGTCTAGGGAAGCCAAAAGATTGAATACCCCTGTGCTAGAATCCCAGTAAAGAACCAATTACACCAACCACTGCCTCCAAGAAGCTGGAGTTTGGAAATGTCTGAGTGAAAAGGGGTCAGTGTAGGGTCACTCTGATCAGAGCAATTGCTGGTTCTGAGGTGATTTCAGATCTCTGTCCCACCTGAATCCACATCACCATCTCTATTTTTGTTTGTTTGTTTGTTTGTTTCTTTAAGTGAGAGAGATAGCAGGCTGAGCACAGTGGCTCATGCCTGTAATCCCAGCACTTTGGGAAGCCAAGGTGGGAAAATCACTTGAGCCCAGGAGTTTGAGACCAGCCTGGGAAACATAGTGAGCCCTCCTCTCTACAAAAAATATTAGCCAGGCATGGTGGTGCATGCCTGTAGTCCCAACTACTCAAGCAGCTGAAGCAGAAGGATCACTTGAGCCCAAAAGGTCCAGGCTGCAGTGAGCCATGATTGCACCACTGCACTCCAGCTTGGGAGACAGAGCCAGACTCCATCTCAAAAGAGAGAGGGGCAGAGGGAGGGAGAGGGAGAGGAAGAGGGAGAGACTGCCAACGAGACTTAAAATCTGAGCCTGTGAAAGACTTGAGAGAGGTATCTCCTGGTTCCGGGCAGTAAGACATTGTGACCAGTTTTTACCACAGGAGGACATTGCTGCTTTCAGTCTTGCCTTTCCAAAAGCCAATGACAAGAAAATAGTTTTAGGGAACTGGCGATAAAGCATAGGTCCCTGCTCTCTAATTTACTTAGATGAAGCCACAGAGGCCTATAGTAGGATGAGGATGAGAGAATGTGAAAGGAGAAAATATAGAGAAATAAATATGTCACTCTCTTCTCCAAAGTCACAATGGCAGACAAAATTGTAACAGACAAGAATTTATTAGCCTGGAAAATGTGACAGAGTATCTGAAATTGGCATTGTGCAGTGTCTTAGTCAGTTTGCACAGCTCTAACAAATGTACCATAGACTAGGTGGCTTATAAACAGCAGAAACTTATTTCCCACAGTTGTGAAGGCTGAAAAGTCTGAGATCAGGGTGCTGGAGTGGTCATGGTCAGGTTCTGGCAAGGGTTCTCTTCCAGGTTGCACACTTTCCATCTTTTCACTGTATCCTCTCCTGTTGGAAGGAGAGTAAGAGAGTCTCTGGGGTGTCTTTTATAAGGTACTAATCCCATTCATGAGGGCTCTACTCTCATGACCTAGTCACTTCCCAAAGACCCCTCCTCCTAATACCATAATATTGGGGATTAGGATTTCAACATATGAATTTTGGGGGACATGAACATTCAGTCCATTGCATCAAGATATGAGTCATCTATGTTATTCTCCATAGTACCCACATCATCTAGCACAGTGCTTAGTACAGAGAAGATGCTCAAAATAATTGTATAATGAGTGATTGAATGGTGTTCCTAGGTGGAGGACAGATCTGCTCATCTCAGGGCACCTGCCTCCTTCTGCCTTATGCCATACACTCATGGAAGGCTGCTTTTTTTCCCTCTAAATATCCATGGGGATTTTCATGTTGAAAAAAAAAAATCAGACTCTTGGCTGAAGGAGAATTTCTTAGCCTGGTGACATTAAAACCAATAAGAGATGAATGTTGAGCCAAGGCAGAAGAGAATGGGTTCAGTGTAAAGACTGTGGGTCCAGTCAGGCTGGCAGGAAACCTGAGAACTTCAAGGTTCCAGGTCCGTCTGAAATGCCTGTTGCTATGGACTGAATTGTGTCCCACCACCAAATTCAGATGTAGGAGCTCTAACTCCAGTGCTCATTGTGATGGTATGGGAGATAATTAAGTTTAGATGAGGTCACGAGGGTAGGTCTTCATGATGGGTTGGGATTAGTGCACTGGTAAGAAAAGGAAGAGATACCAGAGCTCATGCACTCTCTCCTCCCCACCCCAACCTCTCTCTTTCCATCATGGGAGGACACAGCAAGAAGGCAGCCATATGCAAGCAAGAAAGAGAGACCTCGTCAGAACCTGATCATGCTGGGACCCCAGTCTTGTACTTTCAGCTTCCGGAACTAAGGGGAAAACATTTCTATGAAGCCATCCAGTGTGTGATATTTTGTTATGACAGCCAGAGCTGACTAATATACCCATAAATCAGCTGTAAAGGAGTTTGCCCACTGGTTTTGGTGGTGAGCTGCTAATATCATTCCGGTGGTGTGATGCCTGCTACCAGAAAGCTGCCATTAGAAATTCTCCCTGCATGAAAGTACAGCCCTTTCCAGCTGAATGAGCCTTGACAAACAAATTAGATGATTCATCCTATGCCTGAAGGCTGTTTGGCTTTGCTGGAATCCTTAGCATACCACTACTGAAGAATTTTTTAAAACATTATTTTGTTTTAAATAGAATCTATGTCAAGCATTAATTGTTATCTATGCATTGATGCTGGAAAAATTTATCATCTTGTCTGTCTGTAATGAATTTTTTAAAATTAACTTCTTTTTTATTTAAACTAATGGTCAGCACTAAAATGGTAAGCCCTCCTCTGATCTTCTGAAATAGGAAAAAGAAAGTAAATGAATAACAGCCACATACTAAGTTATTGAATTACAAGTGAACCAATTAATACTTAGATTTTGTAAGCATTATTGTACCCTAAGAATCATAGATAATGCATGGAATCTCCAGTAGATTACATGCCCTGCTGCTTTTGAGGATAATACATGGGAAGAAGTTTGCACATTTAAGGTTTAAATGTGCCTGCCAAAAAACCATGTGCTGGTAACTTAATCTCCATTGCAACTGTGTTGAGAGGTGAGGTCTAGTGAGAGGTGATTAGGCCATGAGGGCTCCACCCTCATGAATTGATTAATACAAACCTACAGGATTGAGTTCATTCTAAAAGGGTGAGTTTGGTCCCTGGTCCCCAGCCCCCTGTGCCTTCCACTATGAGATGACTTAGCAAGAAGACCCTTGCCAAATGCCAGCCTTTCCATCTGGGACTTCCCAGCTTCCAGAACCATAAGCCAATACATTTCTAATCTTTATACATTACTCAGTCTCAGGTATTCTTTTATGAAAGCACAACACAGACTAAGGCAGGATGGTTTGCATATGTCAACTTGATTAACCTGGAAGTATATTTCCCAGAGTTCCCCCCACCGATATGGTTCTTGATTGGAGTTGTCAAAAAAGAAATGTGCATGAGATTTGAAAGATTAAAGTGAAGCAGCATGATTACCTCTGAAAGTCATTGTGATTAGACATGACGACAGATGCAGAGGTGCTGGCAGGTTCCAGTTTGTCCTTGCTGTCATCTCCTCTACATTCTACCTATCTTCCTACCTGACCCCACTGATCAACAGTGGTCTGAGAGTCCAGGCCTATCGCCATATATTGGCAGTGGAGGCAGTTTCTCATGGGCTTCCCATGAGCTTGCCTTTGCAGTTTCACTTCTGCAGTAGGACATGCATAACTGTTACTTACTCTTGCTCTGATCTTTCAACTCTCCAGTGGCACCTTCACTTTCTCTGCTTCTTCCATAATTATGTAAGGTCTAAATTTTATAATAAATCCCTTGCTTCATAACTGACAGTGGTTCTTCTTTCCTGTTGGAATCCCAAGATGCCCCATGGGAGGGAATTATTGTTAATTACTGGAGGATTCCTGTTTGGAGAAGCATTACAGTTTGGACTCAGAGATACTGGGTACCCACCTCAGTTCTACCACTACCAGCTGGTTGACCTCGTACAAGATATCTAACCTCTCAAGCCTCATTTTCTTTTCTTTTCTTTTCTTTTCTTTTCTTTTTTTTTTTTTTTTTTTTTTGAGACAGGATTTGGAGTGCAGTGATGTGATCTCAGCTCACTGCAACCTCCACCTCCTGGGCTCAAATGATCCTCCCACATCAGCCCTCCTGAGTAGCTGGGACTACAGGTGCATGCCACCACCCCCAGCTAGGTTTTGTATTTTTTGTAGAGATGGGGGTTTCATCATGTTGGCCAGGATGGTCTTGAACTCCTGGGCTCAAGCAATCCACCCACGTTGGCCTCTCAAAGTGCTCAGATTACAGGCGTGAGCCACCATGCCTGGCCCCCATTTTCTTTTCTTGTAACCAATAACATATAACATATATATATATATATATATATATATATATATATATATATATATATATACACACACCCACACACACACACACATATATAAGCACATGTAACATATATTAACATATAACAAATAGCCAATAACATGAGCTACCTTATATGAGAGGGTCTTTGTGAGGTTTAGATGATATGTTGCATGTAAATCACTTAGTCTAGCAAATAGTAAATGCTCAGTAAATGTTAATTTTTTTTCACTGACAATTCTTGCTCCAGAATTGTTAGTTATTATTGAAGGAGCTTAATGCCTGAAGGGGAATCAGGTACTAGAGCCTAAAATATACAAAGAAAAGCAGACTGTTGAGCATAGGTGTTTTAAGGTTTGGGGAGAGCTGACGTTGGCAAGACAAGCAGGAATCAGCAACGGGTGGAGCACAACAGGGAGGCAAGACAGGAGGAATGGCGCAGCTCAGGAGAGAAGCTGTAAACATCAAGTACCCAAGCACCAGGGGAACAGAGACTTAAAACTGCAGGTTCAGAATGGGCATCACTCACTCTCTGCCGTGGAGCCCTCCTGCTAAGTCAAGCCAGGTCTCCCTGGGATCACTGGCTGCTATGTAGGATTTGGGGGATTTCTGGATCACTCTGCTAGTTCACAGCTGTTACTCTGCTTCAAGTATTGAAGAAGTTTTTTGTGGCACTAAAAGAAACGCAGAATGGCCAGCACCCATTTGGTCCCCTCTCAGAGTGTCACAGCAGCCATCATGGGGGAAGGAGGAGTTATGTCATACAGAAGCTCATACCTCAACCCTAGTAAAAGAGCAGAGATGCAGGGTGAATGTGCATGTGTGTCTGGGGTGGGTATAATGAGTGATAACAGCTAGGTAGATACCGTGTTCATAACCTCTACCTCTTCAAAGAGATCCAAGAAACTATGTTTGAGTTGGAATCATGCCTATGTTGGAGAAGAAAAAAGCCCACACTTCCTTCTTCCTGAACTAACTGCATTAGGATCGTGTGCAACTAAGGCATCACCCATAGGCAATGAAAAGGCTTTAAACAAATGGAAAAAAATCTGGATATCACATGGAATGAGAAAACATGATTAGAGAGAAGTGTAGATGTGTGACTTTACAGAAGGTTCTGGACGTACTAATAGCTATCTTTGGCTGTCTGAAAGCCTTCATGGGAAGACAGGTTGGACATCAATGAATGGAAATAAAGAGAAGGTAGGTTTGCCTCAGTGTATCTCTGTCATTGAGGATTTCCAAGGAGAAGCCAGATGAAGAAGAAGAGGAAGGGAGTGATGAGGAGGAGAAAAGAAAAGGAAGAAAAAGAGGAGGAAGAAGAAAGAGGAAGAGGAGGAGGTCAGCATTTATTGAGCACTTCCTATGTACCAGGCATTGTTTTAAATAAGCTAAATATATTATCTTATTAAAATCTTACAGTATCACAACCCAGCATCAAGGGAAGCCCAGGCCAGCCCAGTTATGTCCACTGTGGGTTGCGTCCTACCTTTCACTTGCTGTAGGGAGGGTTGGTGTGTTCTTGCAACCCCTTTATTCTACTCACCTATGCAGGTTTTTAAAATTTCAGCTCCAAAAATGGGCAGAATTTTCCTTGATTATATTGGCAGTACCCATTTGTTTTCTCGTGCAAACTGTGATATAATCCTGACCAATGGCTCAGAACTCAGCTCATCTCTACTAGGTGCACAGGCACCACTAGCAGGGCGTTTCTTTGTCACAAAGTAGTTAACCTACAGTATGGTGAAGTTCAAGATCGGATCATGCTCACTGGCTGCCACATGGTTCAAGGTGTGAGCTACAAAAACCGCAACAGCCAACTGGGATGGATCTGTGAGTTTGCCACTGAAGACAGCCAGCATTATAAGGAAGGCTGTGTGATTCTGAAATGTGCTCTAGTTAGAGAGAATGAGGGCTTTGAGGAGCATGTACCATTCAATAACTCTTGGAAGAAAATGAGCTCAATCCATCTTTTTCCAGGTTTCCTTCACTGAAAACAAAAATCTGCTTACACACACTGCCAACTTAGTATCAGAGTCAGGTTCATAAACTGTGGAACAAGAGGTTGTGAGAATCTAAGATGGAACCTTTCTTTCTTTTTTTAAAAAAAGTTTTGTATTTTCCATGTAATAGCAGAGTGTGGAAAGAGTATTATGCAGATGTCATCAATTTTTCCCTATGTTTACATCTTAAGGCAGAAGAGTCTGTCTGCAACCATGTGATGGGCTGTGTAAAGAAAAAATCTGGGCTATTAGAGTGGAAAAGTGTGTTTTATATAAAATTTGAAAGGAAATATGTCAAGAGCATGGGTTTTTAACTTGAGCTTCATTTTAAACTTATTTTTTAAAAACCCAATTATTTTACCTGATTTGCTACCTTCAGAGAAGAGATCCAAATCTGGGCCGAGCACTAAGGACTCAGTTTTGGCATTACCTGTGCCGGCCAATGTGCCATATTCTTGTTGGAGATGAACCATAGCATTTTCCTTGCCAGTCTTGACCCAAAGGTGTCACCATTCCAGTTATTTATCACCATGTAATTGGTGTTGATTGGAAACTTTTTGTGAAATGGGGAAGAACTGCTTTGTTGTCTTTTTCTTTGTAACAAGCATAGTAATATAAATAAAATAATAGTTGGGAAAAAAATCTTACAATATCCCTATAAAGTATTGAGGCACAGAGAAGTTAAATAAACTGCCCATATTTACAGGATTTGGGATGATGGAGCTGAGACTTAAACCCAGGAAAGTCTGTTTCCAGATCCTATGCTCTAAACCACTACACTCTTTGATTTATAATGCGAGGAGATTCCTGTATCCAGCAGGAGTTCAGGTGTTATTATTTCTGAGCTTCCCTCCAACTTAGATCACTCAAGCTCTTTCCAGGGCTAAGATGGTTGGTATCTAGTGCCATTCAACAGTTATGGAACACTGACCATTCACCAGGCTCTGGGCTGGGCACTAGGGGCATTCAGATAAGTAAGACAAGACAGTCCTGTAATAGACAAAGGTGCAGGGAACTTCCATGGTCCACAAAGACAGAATCACAGTCTTTCCTCTGAGAGTTGGCAAGCTTGTAAAGAAGGCAGTATTTGCTTTTGAAACACCCTGCTCTCACCTTAGCTCATTTTGTCACCACACTCTCCTTTCCAGTGTCAACCAGCAAACCCACAAACATCTCACTGTTGAGGGAGGGTTCCTGACCGTATGTGGCACTAAGAAGGCTGAGCAGCAGAGTGAGCATGGATATAACCAGGCAAACTTGTTTTCAAGGCTCAGCTCAGCCACTGCTGGGTGGAATAAATCATGTGTTTAAGGCAAAGCAGCCAGAGATATTAGCCCCCCTCCGATACCTGCCAGTTATGACTCATTCTCCCCACTTCACCTAAAGCTATCAGATCTGGACAGGAAAATAAAGAAGTATTGTGTAATCTGTGCAATCATTCCGAATTCTATAAACATGGGCATTATATTTAACTTCTCTGTGGCTCAGTACTTTATGGGACTATTGTAAGATTGTTTTTTCCCAACTATTACTTTATTTATATTACTATGTTTGTTACATGGAAAAGGACAACCAAGCAGTTCTGTCACATTTGAGAAAAATATATAGGTACACACACACACATATCTATATATGTGTATATATATATGTATGTATGTATGTACAATTGTCCTATAACTGAAGATATTTATTGAGCCCTTGCTATATACCAGGCAGCATTCATGAGCTTTACCCATCTTAGTTCATTAAATCCTTATCATAACCATGTTGGATCAGTGTCATGGCAGCTACATTTTACAGATGAGAAAATGAGACACAGAAAAATAAAGCAAATTGTTCAAAATCACGGGGCTAGTAAATAGGGAGTCAGTTTAGCACATAAACAATACTGTTTCTGTCACTAAAATAGAAAATTGAGGCACTGAGAATCAATAAATTAGCCTGAAAGCCATGGTAGGGCAGTGAGAGGGTCAGAATGCCACCGGTTAAGTGTGTTCACCATGTAGGGGCCTGTTTCTACCACTCCTGTATCTCCCAAGAGGACACAGAAAAGATCCTTGGCGATCCTTCCTCCAACAAACATGGCTGTTGGTGGCTTTGTGTAGTGATATACATTCCTCAATGTCTATGTATGCTCATGTATATATAGGTTGGTGCAAAAGCATCTGCAGTTTTGCCATTGAAATTAATGGTAAAACTACAATTACTTTTGCACCAACCTAATACTTGCTTTTCAGGGTCCCAGTTGCATAAAGGCTAATCCCTCTGCTCATCCATTTTTAGAATGTCAGATGCTAATCACTTCCAAAGAAGTGATTCTCTGCATTTTGCTCCAAGCATTGATCCATCAGTTGCCTTTGCTCTTCACAGAAGTGAATCAGGACACTGGAGATACAAACGGTGCCAAAAACCTCTGCCCCTAAGGAAAGAAAAAAGGAGCATTGGATTGTTCCCTTCACAATCTGACAGGCGCTTGAGAAGAAAGAGCCCATATTTAATATGGTTAATGCATTTTGACTTTAGAGAAATAATAATTTTCATAGAAAAAAAGGGTAATATATTTCAAGCGTAAGAAGTCATACCATCAAGATGAGAAAGTTCAAAGTATATCCATGAGACAGGAACTTAAATTCTGGACTGATTGTGCTTGTATAATCTATAGCAGGTAGTTAAACTCCATGAATCTCAGCTTTCTCATCTATGAAATGAACCGAGTTTTATAGATGAGGAAAGTTTGTCTGGCAGAGCATCACAATGCAGTAAATGCTAGTTTATGTTTCAGTAGTCAGAAAGAGTAACGCGCAAAAAAGCATATTTTCATATTTTTCTCTCTTTTTTTTTCTGACATGGAATCTTGCTCTGTCACTCAGGCTGGAGTGCAGTGGTGCAATCTCAGCTCACCGCAACCTCCACCTCCTGGGCTCAAGCGATTCTCCTGCCTCAGCCTCCCAAGTAGCTTGGATTACAGACGCACACTACCGCGCCCAGCTAATTTTTCTATTTTTGGTAGAGACGGGGTTTCACCATGTTGGCCAGACTGGTCTCAAACTCCTGACCTCAGGCGATCTGCCTGCCTCGGCCTCCCAAAGTGCTGAAGTGATTGCTTTAGTGTCTATCACCCAGAGACGGAGTTAATGGAGTTATAAGACTGCCTGAAAAGATTCTCTGAAACAAAGCCTCTGGCTTCATACAAAGCATCTCAACTCACGTTAAAAAGTTCAAGGAAGTAAATTTTAAAGTTGAAATTGTAGAACTTTTAGAAAAGAACCTACATCCAAATTCCTGCCATTTGAGGATAGTCAAAAATTTATTAGACTCAAAAAGCATAAAGCATAAAAAGTTAAAAATTGATACATTGGATTTCATCAAAATTAAAAATTTCTTCCCTTTGAAAGACATCATTAAGAAAATAAAAAAGTAAGCCAAATACTGGGAGAAAATAGTACCAATTCATATATTAACAAAGGATTTGTATCCAAGACATATGCAGAACTCTTGCAACTAAATCATAAGACAATCCAGTTAAAATGGACAAAAGACTTGAGCAGACATTTTACGGGAAATATATGAAGGGCTCCTAAAAGATGCTTGACATCGTTAGATAGACACACACACATTAAAACCATTCTGAGATACAATACATATTCATTGAATTACTAAAATTAAAAAGACCAACAAAATGTATTAGTTTCCTATTGCTGCTATAATAAATTACCACATACTTACAACAACACAAACTTAATGTCTTACGGTTCTTGAGGTGAGACATCTGAAATGGGGCTTACGGGGCTAAAATCAAGCTGTCTGCCGAGCTGCATTCCTTCTGGAAGCTTTAAGAGAAAACCTATTCTTTGACTTTTCTATTTTTTTAGTGGCTGCCCTCATTCCTTAGCAGATGACCACATCACACTGACCTGTTTTCATCCTCACATCTCCTCTAACACTTCTGCCTCCACCTTCCATATTTTAAGGACCTTTATGATTATATTGGCTCACCTGGATAATCTCTTCATCTCAAGATCCTTAACCAGGCTGGGCATGATGGCTCACACCTATAGTCCCAACACTTTGGGAGGCCAAGGTGGGAGGATCGCTTGAGCTCAGGAGTTCAAGAGTAGCCTGGGTAACACAGCAAAACCCTCTCTCTACAAAAAATAAAATAAAATAAATAGCTGGGCATGACAGTGCATACCTGTAGTCCCAGTGGGAGGATCGCTTGAGCCCGGAGGTTGAGGCTGCAGTGAGCCATGATTGCACCACTGGACTTCAGCCTGAACAACACAGAAGAGTTCTCTCTCAAAAAAAAATACTAAAAAAGAAAAAAAGATTCTCAATCACATCTACAAAGTCCCTTTTGCCATGTAAGGTGACATATTTACAGGTTTTGGGGATTACAACATGGACATCCTTTGGGAGCTATTATTTTGCCTACTGCAAATATCAACTGTTGGTGAGAATGTTGTGATGGTTAATTTTATGGGTTAACTTGACTGGGCTAAGGGATGCCAAGATAGCTGGTATAACTTTTTCTGGTATGTCTGTGAGGATATTTCCAGAAGAGATTAACACTTGAATTGGTAGAAAGAAGAAAAACACCCTTCAATGTGGGCAGGCATTGTTTCATCCATTGAGGACTCAAATAGAGCAAAAGAAATAAATAAGGGCAAATTCACACTCTCTGTTTAAACTGGGACACCCATCTTCACCTATCTTTGGACAAGAGTAGTACTCCTGACTCACTACTGGCTTTCTTGGTTCTCCAGCTTGCAGACAACTTCTTGCCCTCTGTAATTGTGTGAGCCAATTCCCATAATAAATTATATACATACATAGAATCTCCCATTGGTTCTGTTTCTTTGGAGAACTTTGATTAATACAGATGTAGAATACCTGGAACTCACACTGCTGGTGGGAACATAAAATGATACAGCTATTTTTAAAAGCTATTTGCCAATTTCTTAAAAGTTTCTTACCTAACCACCCAGCAATTTCACTGCTAGGTATTTACCCAAGAGAAAGGAACACATATATCCACACAAAGACTTGCACACACATGCAACTTTATCATGTCCACAACCTGAAAAACAACTAAAATGTCCATCTACAGGTGAACAGATTTTAAAAAGCTATAAGATACAATATTATATTATACTCTAATAAAAATGAACAAACAATGGGTATATGCAACAACGTGAGTGAGCAAAACACCACCAAACACAGAAGAGAGAGTACATATTGTGTGATTCCATCATATAAAATTCTAGAATAAGCAAAATTAACATGTAATAACAGAATCACTCGGGACCCAAGTGGACTGTAGACAGGAAAGAAGAAATTCTTGGGGTGATGAAAATGTGCTAAATCTTGATTGCAGTAGTAGTTACATGAGTGTATTCATTTGTCAAAACTAATTGAACTCCATCCAACAAAGGAGTGCATTTTGTTGTATATTAATTATACCTCAATAAAGTTCAATATTTTTCTGTTCTGAGAAGGATATTAACTGCCCCCTCTGATGAGGCTAAATAACTTCCAGGAATTTCTTCCTGTCTAGCAAGAAGTTCTTCAGGGGCCAGTAGGCTCCATTTCCTCTTACTTTGCTCTCAATTGAGGTTAAAAAAAAAAACTCTATGGAATTTGGATCTCAAAGAGATATCTGCACTCCCATATTTCTTGCAGCATTATCTACAATAGCTAAGGTGCGTAAGCAACTTAAGTGCCCATCAACAGATGAATGGATAAAGAACATGTAGTATATATACACAATGGAATACTATTCAGCCTTGAAAAATGAAATCCTGTCATTTGCAACAACATGTATGAACCTGGGGGATGTTATGCTAAGTGAAGTAACAGGCACAGAAAGACTAATATCACATAATTTCACTCATATGTGGACTCTCAAAAATTTGAACTCACAGGCGGGACATGGTGGCTCATGCCTGTAATCCCAGCACTTTGGGAGGCCAAGGCAGGTGGATCACTTGAGGTCAGGAGGTCGAGACCAGCCTGGCCAACATGGTGAAACCCCCATCTCTACTAAAAATACAAAAAATTAGCTAGACGTGGTGGTGCATGCCTGTAATCCCAGCTACTCAGGAGGCTGAGGCAGGGGAATCGCTTGAATCTGGGAAGCAGAGGTTGCAGTGAGCTGGGATCGCACCGAGACTGCATCTCAAAAAAAAAACTTTTTTTTTGAACTCATAGAAGAAGAGAATAGAATGGTGGTTACCAGGGGCTGGGAGGTTGGGGGCAGGAATGGGGAACTCTTGGCCAAATGGTACAAAGTTTCAGTTAGACAGGATGAATAACATCTGGAGATCTCTTTTACAGTATGATAACTATAATTAATAATAACGTATTGACTACTTGAAAATTGCTAACAGTAGATTTCAAGTGTTCTTACCACAAAAATTGATAAATGTGTGAGATGATTGCTATGTTAATTATTTAATTTCAATATGTATACTTATATCAAAACATCATAATGTACACTGCAAGTATATATAGTTTTGTCAAGTATACCTTCATAAAACTAGGGGGAGTGGAGAATGGCTCCTCAACAATCTTCAAGTGCTGTAAGGCACTTAGCCAGGACCTAAGTCCCCTGAAAACCATTCCTCCAGGAGGCTTCCTCCAACTGTAATTTGCCCCTGTGAATATGCCCATTCTCCCTATTGTGAAGAGCCCTAAGTTGCTCACAATTGGAGAAATGACTGAGCCAAAACAAAGGGATGAGCTGCAATGTGATCACAAATTTGGAAGGAATCCTGATGGACTGTCTCATTCTGATTTGTTCTGCTTTCTCCAAGCTGGGTCTGTTTTACTCAAGCAATTGAAAAATGTCCATGAAATGCCACATGCTATGCCTTGAATTAATTACAACAGCTCTCATTTATTCAGACCTTATTCTGTCCCAGGGGCCGGGCCAAGTACTTTATGTGCATCGTATATAAATTAATCTTCCTAGCAACCTCATGAGACAGATACTATTACCACCTTCATTTTATGGATAATGGATTAAAAGTCAAAGTGGTTAAGTGACTTCCTCTTTGTCAGTGGAGAACCATCCAGGGTTTTACAACTGCAGAGCCCATTAAACCATTGTCGTATACTGTTGATCCTTGTTCTCACAGATTTCAACATGTTGGGAGGATGACATAGAAACCTGAAACTAAGCATACAGGGAAGTGGGCTCTAGCCTATTTGAAAAGGCTCTGGAGGGCTGGGCGTGGTGACTCACATCTGTAATCCCAGCACTTTGGGAAGCCAAGGTGGGAGGATTGCTTGAGCCCAGGAGTTTGAGACCAGCCTGGGCAACATGGTGAGGCCCTGTCTCTATTAAAAATTAAAAAATTAGCCCAGCATGATAGTGCATGCCTGTAATCCCAGCTACTAGGGAGGCTGAGGCGAGAGGATCACTTGAGTCTGGAAGGTCCAGTCTGCAGTGAGCCTTGATCACACCACTGTACTCCAGCCTAGGTGACAGTGAGAACTTGTCTCAAAAAGAAAAAAAAAGGATAAGGCCAGGCACAGTGGCTCATGCCTGTAATCCCAGCACTTTGGGAGGCCAAGGCTGGCGGATCATGAGGTCAAGAGATCGAGACCATCCTGGCCAACATGGTGAAACTCCATCTCTACTAAAAATACAAAAATTAGCTGGGCGTGGTGTGTGCCTGTAATCCCAGATACTCAGGAGGCTGAGGCAGGAGAATTGCTTGAACCCGGGAGGCAGAGTTTGCAGTGAGCCGAGATTGCCCTACTGCCTGGCCACAGAGTGAGACTCCGTCAAAAAAAAAAAAAAAAAAAAGAAGAAAAGGCTCTGGAAAAACCCTTTTCTACTCTCCCCTCTCTAACCTGTGCTTTTTCCACACAAGCATCCTGGGCTTTTGTAATTAGCAGAATGCTTCCAGACTGATGAGCTGTATGCCTCATCAAATTCCTGATTCCTGATATACAGAAGAGAGACATGAAGGAGATGCTTTTTAAAGAGTGTTTGCAGAAAGCAAGAACATGGCATTCATTCACTTAATCATTCTGGAGCTATTACTAAGCCAAGTCATTGTGTTGGTGCTGAAGATATATTAAACAGACTTGGATCCTATTCTCAAAATGTCATGTTCTAATAATTATCACGTCCTATCACACCTTCCCTGTTGTTGGCCAAATTTCACCTCCCAATCTGAACTGTCATCGTAGCCTGACACAGCCAGCCCTGGCTCTGGGATGACTCTCTGAGTACTGCTTCCCTGATGGGAGTAGGATGGCTGAGGTGTGGCGTTCCTGTGGATTGGCCAAACAATCATTCAGGAAGGAAGGAACTGGTCTCCCCTTTCCTGTTCTCCCTTCCCTTCTCAGTGAACTATAAGGAAACAGTGAAATAGCGGTCTGGGACTAGCCGCAGGGACCCTTAATAAATTGCTTCTACACATCCCTCTTGCTTTTTAATGGAAAGAAAAGGGGTGGAGTAGATCTCTTATACAATTTCAAAATTGAATTGAGTTCAGTTCTGTAAAATAAATTCTAAGTTACATCATAATGGTATGGGAACATAGAGATCTGAGCCAAGGAAACATGAACAGACTGTTCCTAAAAATAAAAAATAAAAAAGTCTTGGTGCAAGAGCAAACATGAACAAGGAGTAATTAGCTTCTCCAGATGCTGGGAGTTACATTTCCCTGAAAAGAAAGAAGTTCTGGAAAGCTGAGCCTTGGCCAGAGGCTCAGGCTGACAGTGAGTCACTCACACAGAGCCTGGCACATTGTAGGCACACTCTGCAGGTGGTTGCAGCTGTCTTGATAGTTACAGAGGACACACTATTCAGGATCGTACCTACTTTAGAGGGAGGATTTCTGAATTTATTTTTTTTTTTAAGTTTTTGTAGAGACTAGGTCTTGCTATGTTGCCCAGGTTGATCTTGAACTCCTGGCCTCAAGTGATCCTCCTGCCTCAGCCTCCCAAAGGGCTGAGACTACAGGTATGAAACAACATGCCTGGCTTTGAATTTATTTGTGAATGAATAAACAAACCTGTCGTGGGAGCCCTTACTCTGTAGAATGGAGCAGGGCTACATGATAATTTAAAAGATACTACATGGCTGTGTCTGCCAAAAAAAAAAAAAAAAAAAAAAAAAAAAAGATGGTTTTACTAAAATTCAGAAATGCATTGAACTTTTTCTGCATTCTGAGCACATGTTATGGTGAGGGCAACAGTGAGTAAGAAATAGTATCTATTTTCTAAAAGCTACAATTTAGCATATGCATGTGTATGTATTATATGTATACGGGTAAAAACTGGTGCCATTTGGAATTTAAATGGCCACTATGAAATGAGAAGGGTGAGCTAGTGGGAATCAGGGGCCTTAGATGGACTCACTGGTTTATTCACTCAATTTGGAATTCATCCAAATCCATCACAATTTGTACTGAGGGGTGGCATGGGAAGGGTCAGTTATAAATGTAATAGGTATTATGAAATAATACATGTAGAGGAATAAAATCTATCACTCCTTGGAGAATCTAGGAAGTCTTTTTGGAAGAAGTTAAATTGACCTGAACTTGAAGGAGAAGTTAGGGCAAACATTCAAAGAAAAGGGAATCCCCAAACAAAAGTAGAAAGCTACAGGGATGGAAAGAATATTTGAGAAAGGGCTGAAAGACCCTGTAGAAACAACAATGAGCTGTTTGTCTTTACTCTGAAGCTGTGAATCCTCAGTGCTCTGGTAAGCAGAGCTACTGCAAGACCTTCATAAGCCCCAAGCATAGAAATTATTATGGTATTTCCCCATATGCTATTTCAAAGTACTAAATTACAAAATAAGGTTAAGTCCAATAAAGTTCTCATTTTGCCCATTAAGAATAGTTTAATCCTTTAAAAAAACCCAAATATCAAATTCTTTTTTAAAAATATGCTTCAGAATCTCTGGTTTGAGATATTATTTAGAATAGGAGAAGCTTTGCTACAGCAAAAATGAACTCTAAAAACTCAATGGTTTAACACTCATGAGTTTGGTCAGGGTAGCCCCTATGGGCAATTCTCCAACTGAATTCCACCTTTTAAAATTTATTTGTAAATTCAGAGATACGAGAGTTTGGTTTGCCATATACTTGCAAATATTCACTCTCCCTTTCATCCAACGAAACTTCCAGAGAGGCATGTGAAAGTGATTTTTAAAACCATATGGTGCACCCTTCAAATTGAAACATTATTATCAACAGTAACAAAGTGGAAAAATGCATACACTTTTAAATTATGTTATCAAGATACTCCTCTCAGCACCTTTATTCATTGGACTTCAGATTGCACTTCCAACTCTACAACCTTCAGCTAAGGAAATGCTCTCAGTTTTGGCTTCCAGGATGCAAGGCTGAACAGACTTGGTCTATGTTCTGGATGAATAAACCAGCGAGTCCATCTAAGGTCCCTGATTCCCACTAGCTCACCCTTTTCATTTCATAGTGGCCATTTAAATTCCAAATGGCACCAGGTTTTACCCTTATACATGTAATAAGGCCTTATATTCCAGTGACATTCTCAAATGAAGAAATGACGTGCCTCATAAATTCAGAATATAATCCCAACTTCAGAAATGTTCAGCAGTAGTAGCGTTGTAGAATACCATTTTTCTGAACTACATCACTGTTACATGGATCCAAGTGACTTTTCCACTGAATTATTCAGAAAATATTTGAGCACATCATGTTTCATACACTGAGTAGTGGACGAAAGTAATAGTTATCATTTACGTATTGCTTACTATATTCTGTGTGTTTACATAAACTTACTCATTTAATTCTCATAATGGTCATATGAGAGAGCTACTAGTATGAGTCCCATTTTACACATGGATAGGATGACTATCTTAGAAAACTAAGGTGCAGAGGCCATAAGTAACCTGATTAGTCTATACCAGTGGTTCTCAGCCCTGGGGTGATTTTTCCTGTCTTCCAGGGGACATTTGGCAATGTCAGGAGACATTTTTAATTCTCATGACAGGTGGTGCTGAGGGACTATAAAGCCTAGGGATGCTGCTAAACATTCTATAGTACACAGAACAGCCCCCACAACAGGAAGAATCCAGTCCAAAATGTCAGTGTTACTGCTATTGAAAAGCCTTGATCTATACCAGTTAGCACATGACATCCTTCTGGCAACTGTTATTAGGCCAATGATGAATGTATTACTTAATTTGGCCCAATCAGACTAAAGGAGGGGCCTTTGGGCAGAGGTTACTTCCATTCATTCTTTCCTACTGGATATGAACAGGAAGTGTGTGGCCAGCTGATATCCAGTGGCCGCCATCTTGTTGAATGAACCCATGCTGAGGACAGCAGACTGGAAGGACAGAAATAACCTCTGTCCCTGATGACATTACTGAATAGCACTGAACCGTATCTTTCCTGAAACCCAAGCCATCTCTGGACTTTAAGTATGTGAGACAATACATTTGTTTGCATTTTTCAAGCTGTGTGAGTGGGAGTTTTCTGTTTCAGGCAGCTGAAAGTGTCATAACCAACATATTTGGTTAATCACAAAGATTTCTTAGAAAATACAGCAAAGTCTCCTCCACGTGGTCAGATTCCTCTTCTGAAACTTATGCTTCTCCTTTCTAGCTGTACTTCGTCTTACGAGAAAATTAGGAGACAATGCTGTCAGCTAGGTTCTCCTTCTGTCTGAAAGACTACATAAGGTTGAGACTTCCTGGCACCCGTCGACAAGCAGTTAGAATACATGCCAGAGAAGGAGGGGAAGGCCAAAGGGGGATGCTGCCATCTATATGGAAACATAGAATAATAGACACATGGAAAAAACAGAGGGAAATGAATTGCTGAACTCTGTGGTAACGACACTCTGTTTATCGTAATAGATAAAATGGAAAAGAGGAGCTGGATATGTTTGGAGGAGATGAGCTTGGGAAGGAAGGCCATTCACGGTGTCCCAGGTGACTTGGGACAATGTATTGAAGGAATTGGAAGAGATAATCTTTAAACATTGTTATAGCCTAGCATTTTATCATTTGAAACTAACAGAGATGCCAGCCTGAACTGTTTGGCACTCATACAGCATCCTATGGACTCCGATGGTGGCAGTGCCCATTATTTATTCTGGAAACCACAATCTTGTTATTGCCCAAGTACCTGTATGAGGTAGCATAGAGGGGCCCACCTCCTTTTAGATCATTAGGCACATCTTTAGAAAAGGGAGGTAGAAGCTAGCTTGCCTTAGGAAACCTGAGAATGCCTTAAAGGAAGTGTGTGGAATGAGTTTCTTAAACATCTATGGCACATTAGGGAGTGTTCTGGAGCTGCCATAGACAGGTATCATTTTGTTTTGAATGTGAATTATTAGTTTTTTTTTTCTTTTTTTTTTTTTCTTTTGGAGACAGGGTCTCACTCTGTCACCCAGGCTGGAGTGCGGTGGTATGCTCGTGACTCACTGCAGCCTCTACTTCCCTAGCTCAAACAATCCTCCCACCTCAGCCTCCTGTAGCTGGGAATACAGACACACGCCACCATGACCAGCTATTTATTTTTATTTTTTATTTTTTTGGTACAGATGAGGTCTTGGCATGCTGCTCAGGTTGGTCTCAAACTCCTGGCCTCAAGCAATCCCTCCACCTTGGTCTCCCATAGCCCTGGGATTCCAGGCATAAACCACCACACCCAGACTTAGTTTGGTGTCTCAGCCCTGGAAAATATAATAATTTGAACATAATCTGCCAAAAATAACGTGTATTTATGGTGCCTGGTACTTGTCTCTACATTATATGTGCTTCCTCATGACATTCATGATTTCAATGAATGTCAATTCCCATTCTGGGTTTGACTATGAATAGCCAGTAAGCACACATTCCCCAGGTGGCTAACTTCCTCCAGACCTCTCTGACATGCACAGAAAAAAAATCAACAGAGAAATCAGGCAAGAGGTGCGAACATTCTGTTTCCCAGATCCCTAGACAACACAGCAAGAAAGACAGAGTTAGAAGCATGGTTAAGTGGGTGCAGAAGGCTCCAAAAAGTACAGGTGACACCACGTGTGTTCAAAGATTTCCTGACTTTAAATTCTCTCTGAAAAACTAGCATAGTCTATGGACTCCTCTCATTACTGAACTCTTTAGCAAGACCACAGAGTTTCCTGTTTTTGCCTTTTCCCCGATTTCCCAAATTAGCTTTGATTTTATAATTTTGCAGTGATATCCAAGAAGGGTGGACTTTGCTGACGGTCCATATTCAGTGTTCCTGCTGAAGTGCAGACACGTGATCCTGGGCTCTCCTGCTGAGCCTTGCCTGTAGACCCGTGGCTCACACGCACTCGTTTTGCAATCCATTTCTGTGCTACCACATCAGGCTTTTTCCCCTCTGAGACTGAAGAGAAATCGACCTACCCAATCAACTCTCTCACTTGCATAGGAGTCTCACCTGTCGTTAGTCCTCTGGAGCAAGCAGTTTCATCTTAACCCGGTGGTGACAGCATCAGACACAGTTCAGTATTTTTCAAACTGCAGATCTAGACCTATTCGTGAGTCCTAAAATAAATGTAATAGATTACAACCAGCAATAATCCCAGCTATTCAGGAGGCTGAGGCAGGAATATTGCTTGAACCCGGGAGGCAGAGGTTTCAGTGACCCAAGATTGCGCCACGGCGCTCCAGCCTGGGCGACAGAGTGTGACTTCATTTCAAAAAAAAAAAAGGTGAAATAAAGTAGATCAGATCAGAACTGTGGAAAGGAGTGGCCTAAAATCTTAGCGTGGCCTTCATGTAATAGGGACAAGTATTGTATCACAAAACTTCAATTGTTTCTTCTGTTATATAAATGCGTCAATATGAATGCACATATTATGTCATGATGTAAAACTATTTCTTAATGTGGGTTGCAATCAAAATAATCTGAAAGCTACTGAAATATTTAATTGGAATATCATTCTACTATCTCCAAATCTCTTTCTATTGGGAAGTGGCAAGTATGTTGTTTATTTAGGCAACTGGAGAGAAATGCTTTTAGTCATCTACTACATAAACCCATGGACTCTGATATTTCTCTTAGGGAGTCTGTGCCACATGCTACCCAGAAAAATGCTTGGTAGTTCAGCCACCTTCCCTTCCTTTGGCGCCTTCCACCCCCTTAGCAGAACCCTCAAGAGGAGCAGGCATTGGGACTGGTAAGCTAAATTGAAAGATTGGAGCAGATTCCACAACCCTCCGATGAAATCCACTCAAAAACATTTAGTATAACATCTGTTATGGTAAACATCTGCTACTGTACAAGATGAGAAAAGGACAACCATTCTGTAATAGGTCCAGAGCAGGGCAGCTGTGCAAAGAGGGAGCAGAAACTTCATCCACTGCTTGGACATCATTCTTCTTGATGCTTCAAGTTTTTTTTGTGTGTTTGGTAAAAATATACATCACATAAAATTTACCATTTTAACTATTTTGGTACCAATTAAAAAGCAGTTTAGTTTCATAAGAAAAAGCATGCAAATCCAGGTATATTGTTTATTCCAAAATATCCAGGTATATTGTTCATTCCATGTTACTTCATGACCATAATAGTAGAGGGTGGCCATTCTGGAAATTATGTTAACATATGGGTAAAGGGGAGATATAAGAAAAACCTTATGCATAGGCACATGGATGACTCTAAGACACCTTTTTCTTACGTGGTAAAGTGCATATATAAATGAAACACCATGCTGTTTTAAACCATTTTTAAGTGTGCAGTTCATTGGCATTAAGTATGTTCACATTGTTGTGTAACCATCACCATTATCCATCTTCAGAACTTTTCCATCACCAGGCACAGTGGCTCATGCCTGTAATCCCAGCATTTTGGGAGGCCAAGTCAGGTAGATCACTTGAGCTCAGAAGTTTGAGACCAGCCTAGGCAACATGGCGAAACCCTGTTTCTACAAAAAATACAAAAATCAGCTGGGTGTGGTGGCTTGTGCCTGTGATCCCAGATATTCAAGCGGCTCAGGTGGGAGGATCGCTTGAGCGCAGGAGGCAGAGACTGCAGTAAGCCAAGATCGCACCACTGCACTCCAGCCTCAGAGACAGAATGAGAACCTGTCTCAAAAACAAAACAAAAACAAAAAACAAAAAACAAAAGAACATTTTGATGATTCCAAACTGAAACTCCATATTCATTAAACAGTTCCCCGCTTCCCTTCCTCCCAGCCCCTGGCAAGCATCATTCTATTTTCTATCTGTATGAATTTGACCACTCTAAATACTTAAGTAGAATCATATAGTGTTTGTCTTTTTGAGACTGGCTTATTGCAGTCAGTATAATGTTGTCAAAGTTCATCCATGTTGTAGCATGTGTCAGCATTTCATTCCTTGTAAAGGCTAAATATCATTCCATTATTTGTATATATTCAGATGTCATTTAAAAAATACCTTTGCTTCTCCCTGGCATTCACTGTGTCATACTCATTTTGGAACAGGAGCAGAGAGAGGAATGCTATGAAGCTATTATTGTTCAAAAAAGACCTGGAGACAGCGGATTGAAAATCTCACAGCCAAAACGCAATCTGGTGACTACCTTCTCTGGCTCTCATTTGCTGACTTTGGAAGTTTGAAAAGGTTAGAACAACATGCTTTTTTTTTTTTTCCTTTTTTTATTAGAATGCCAAACTTCAAAACCTTTTGAGAATATTTTTGGTTCTTAACTCTAGAAGGAGGGCCCAGCATCCCTTGAAAACAAGCTGATTACTCTCCCAGAAAAGCATCTCAGCATCTGTTATTGGGAAACAGGGGAATGTGCCTGCTTTGGTTTCTTTGTTTCTGTCATTCAACTCCCTCATCCCATTTTCCTTAATGGAACTTAACTATGATTTTTAGGGAAGACCTTATGCTGAGTGTAGTTCCTCTCTTTTCCTCACTTTGCAGATTCTAGACAACCTAGATGCTCAGTAAGAAAGTGAACAGGACATTCATACAGAGTGGAGTTGTTAGAAATGAGACTGGAACAGGGACAGAGCAAGGAATCCTCATGTTTAGGTATCTGATCTCATTATACTGAATGATTCAGCAACACATTCAGGTGTAAAATGCTGCTTGATAGGAGACATAGATACCGTTCATGTTCTCAGGGGCGGAATCCCATCTGAGCATGTCTGTGGGGCTAGGAGCTGTAGTCCTCATTCTTTGATCGTGAACCAACCGGTTCTGGTCACTACTCAATCACGTAATCATAGTAATGTTTATTGGGCTCTTACTATGGGCTGGGCTGTTTCCTAAATGCTTTGCAAGCATTCTCTCATTTAATTCTTGCAGCAACCCTACAGCAGGTTCTATTATGATCCCTGTTTTACAGATGAGGACAGGTTGAGTAATTTGTATGAAGTCCCACAGCAATGGATGATAGAGCTGGAATTCTAGCTCAGGTGGTTAGGGTCCAGAGCCTGCCTTCATTTAATCCTTCAACTCAGAAGCCTAACGAGTGATCAAGCTCAGTCTTGCAGGTGCCTCTGAAAGATCTTATCCAGCCAGTCCCTCTGGAGATTTGTCATTACAAACATGGCAGGTACACAGGCATACGCTAAGGAAATATTGCAGGTCCCTCTGTTGTCACCTCACTCCAGGGACAATATCCAGTAAATGCAGCTTAAAAATAGCTCATTGAGGCATTAAAACCATCTACTTTTTAAAATTCGCCAATTAACGGCTTTATGAATACTTACTAAATGACTAGCATTGTACTGGAAACTATGATGAATACAAAGAAATGTCACACGATCCTTATCCTTCATTAAAACCAGCCCCCAAGAACCTATACATAAAAGTGCGTCATTTTGTCATACATGAGCACTAAGTAGTGGATGGGCCCCTTCAGGGAAATCTCTGTGTTAACTTTTTTTTTTGAGACCAAGTTTCACCCTGTCACCCAGGCTGGAGGGCAGTGGCATGATCACAGCTTACTGCAGCCTTTACCTCCTGGGCTGAAGTGATTCTCTGGAGTAGCTGGGACTACAGGCGTGTGTCATCACACTTGGCTAATTTTTGTATTTTTTATAGAGACAGGGTCTCACTATGTTGTTCAGGCTGATCTTGACCTCCTGGCCTCAAGCAATACTCTTGCCTTGGCCTCCCAAAGTGCTGAGATTACAGATGTGAGCCACTGAGCCCAGCCTGTGTTAACTTTTGATATGTAATGCCAGCACATTTCTGACAGAAATCATTATGCGTTTTTATCTCTAGAACAGACAGCCAATCACTTCCCACTTCCTCCGTACTGTATACTCCTGCTCAATCAATTCCTTTGATGACTGAAATATTCCTTTGCAGAATTTCTTCATTTTTTGCCATAAATAGGGTAACTAAGGCCAGATGAGTCTCAGAGCAAAATTATTCACTGCACACAAAAATTAAAATAATTCCATTTAAAACTAATCAGCACCAAAGAAGAAAGCAAGGTCAACACAGACATTTCTTCTATTTCCAACATAAGAGAAATCCCTCCCGGCTTTTTAGTCATGGTCATTTCTGTTCATTTTTTGCTTCATTTCATGTGCTTTTCCCTGGGTCTGATTTGGGTTGTTAGAATCAGAAATGACAATCAGTGAACCCACTTTCACTTAAGTCAAGCATTGCTTGAAGTTGGTTCTTGAACCCAGAGCCACTCTGGAAGAGGGAATAGATCACGTGTTCACTAGGAAGAAAACTGGAACCTCCTTCTTTTGAAAAGTTTTAGTGTTGGCTGAAAGACATTGAAGGATACTCACAGCTCCAAAGGGCCAGAGGAGTGCACACCCTGGGGTTGGGAAGGACCTCTCCTCACACCAAAGGACATTTTCTCCTACGTATCTGCCACCCTGGCCCAAATATCCTTGGAAGTCAGTTGGTCCCATGGCCTTGGCTTCATTCCAATCCAAGTGACCCCTGAGATGGTGTTTCTTTAGTGTGTCTAGCATCCACCAAAATCTGCATAAACCTGCGTGGGAATAATGTGAATTTTTAGAACTCCATTCAAGGCATAATGACTCTGAATCTTGAAGGTGGGGCTCAGGAGTCTACTGTCTTTAACATTCCCAGGGTGCCTTTCCCTTTCCTTTAATCTGTCAGCCACTAAAAGGGCAGAGGGACTTTGGCCAGCTCAGATTTAGGGGAGGGACCATTAATTGACTTGGGAACAGTATCGGGCAGCAGAGCATCCCTTCCAGCAGGCAAGAATGATGACTAGGGAGGGCCAAGAGGAAGTAGTGACCAGTGGCCTTTGGCTATAAAAGAGCCTTGGGCAAATGCCAGAACTGGAAGGAAAGTTGGGCTCAAAAAAAACACAGCCTGATTAAAATTTGCCTATGGATCCAACAGCTTTTAATTCTCCGACTTCATGTGAAAACCAGGTATCTTCTTCCTATTCCTTGACACTCTCTCCAGTATCTACCCCCACTCCCAGCACCTCTTATCCAACCTGGACATTATCCAAAGTGTAGGTTAGATACAAATGGCAAGTTTATGAGGGGAAAAGAAGGGGATGTGGAGGTGCTGGGGAATTGTTGGTTGCCATGGGAACCCCGCCTGCTGCAGGGTCTGAATGGTTTTCTGTTTGCTGATGTCCAGTTCTTTAAGGCAGGCCCTGGCATCGGCAGGGACTGGGCACCACATCCTCTGTGTCTCCCGTTTCCGGCATCCGGCCCAGTGGCATCCACTCCAGCAGGTCTCCAGGAATGAATGCTTCCTCCTGACCTCTTGTCCTGCTGCTGCTGCCCTCCCCAGCTGGGAAATGAAGGGAAGCAGAGGGTGTTTCCCAACTGTTTGAAGAGAGAGTTCTTGTTTTCCTCTTGCATTTCATTCTTTCTTCCCTTGTCATCCAAACATGAACCATTGGCCATTTGCCTGTCTCCTGCTGGCCAGCTGTCCTTGCCATTCTCAATTCTGAATTTTTATTTATCTTGTAGGAACTGCGGAATTTGTTTTCACTCAGCGTGGTACACTGGATGAGCTGTTGCTGTCTCTAGTTTGTCCTCTTAAATGTCACCTCCAGAAGCTGATTAGAAAGGCTGAAATGACCACCATCCAAAAGACCCAGGGGCATATTTCATGGTTTTAGTCTATTTGAAAGGTTGTTAGAGTAGGTTAGGAAAGACCAAGGCCTCTAGCTCAAGGTGGCCAGCTCATGCTGTGTATGGACTGTACACTATCATGTTGTAGGCCACTAATTTCTCATGCCAATCCCTCCAAGTGCCACTGGTTTCATATTTCTAGGCCTTTACATGGCCCATTCCTTCTGTTTGGAAAGTCCTCGATGCTCATTTTTACTTTGGCCCACCAAGCCCTGAGTGCACCGATCTTTGCTTCCCTCCCCAGCAGCATATCACAACCTCTCTCCTTTTCTAATTCACCTTGTTTGACACCAAGGTCTTTCTGCAGTTTTTAAAACAGACTTAGCCATTTTCTGCTTCAGGGCCTTTGCACACCCACGTCCCTCTGTCTGGAACTCTCGTACCTGGCTTTTCACGTGGTTCATTCCTTCTTATTGTTCAGAAACAATCTAATAACCTCCTCAGCAAGGACTTTCTTGATCTCTAACGGGCCCCCTTCTTGTTCTCCCTATCTTAGTATCCTTCCTAGCCCTTCACATTTTGTAAATATTTGTTTACCTATTTATTGCCTGACTTCTAACTAACTATAAGGGCCAGTGAGACAGGAACTGTCTTAGTCTGTTTTGTGTTGCTATAAAAGAACACCACTGAGTGGGTAATTTATAAAGAAAAGAAATGCATTTCTTACAATTCTGGTGGATGAGAAGTCCAAGGTTGAGGAGTCTACATCTGGTGAGGATTTTCATGCTGCGTGATCCCATGGCAGAAGGCAGAAGGGTAAGAGAGCAAGCATGTGTGCACGTGAGAGGGACTAAACTTCCTTTTAGAACAAACCCACCCTGCACAATAATGACATTAATCCATGCATGAGGTGGAACCCTCATGACCTAATCACTTCTTAAAGGGCCTACCTCTCAACACTGTTGCATTGAAAATTAAGTTTCCAACACCTGAACTTTGGGGGTCACAATCAAACCATAGCAGGGACTTTTTCTGTTTCCACCAACTCTGTACTTAGAATGCCTTATCTCAGTATATGGTGCAGAGGGTACTCTTTGAATATTTATTGAATATACGGAAGAGTGGCTAATTTCTACTCATCTTTTTAAATTCCACCCTGGAGTCACTTGCCTCTTTCTATAAATCCTTCCCAACTTCCTCTCCCACAACTCACTTCCCGGATCTAGGTTGGTGTCTGCCTGGGTGCTCTACTGTGTCCTGGGCCTACCTCCACATGCTGCATCATGGTGCCTGTTGGCAGTCCCTTTCTTCAAGAAGATGGTGAGCTTTGTAAAGGCAAGATTGTAACTTTGGTTTCTATATTGCAGGATCCAGAAAAATACCTGATATATAGAGATTGCTTTCCTTGACCAATGTTGGTAATATGAATGACTGGATGATTAAATAAATGACCGTTAGGTGACATTTCAGAGATGTATAGAAAATTTGGTGTGGGGGCTACTACCAAGTTCAAAAAGAGACAGGGATAAGTTTCAGTTCTTATGTTTCCTGGTCCTTCATTTTATCTGATGATATTCCAGTAATTTAGACAGGAAGTAATTTGGTAAAAGCCTTAAAGATAATTTAAACCAAGGAGTCCTGACTCTTTTATGACTGAAAAGACCCTATGTTTACGGGATATCATGATGTTCAATTTCCAAACGTTGAAACACTTGAGTGGGAATTGAGTTTCAGACACCTCTTTGGGCCTCAGTTTTTTCATCTGTAATCAGAAGGATGGATAAGATAATCTCTAAAGTATGTTCCAGCTCTAACATTTTGTTATTAAAAATAAAAATCAAGGCAACTAACATTAACCTTCCAATGCATTGAAAAATTCCCAGTGACTTTAGAGCTCACTAGAGATGCTCTAGGGAAGAAGAGAATCCTGGCTAGGAACCTCAGCTTTGAGCATCTCAGGTCTGCTGCTCTCCCTCAAGTTCAGAGTCACCTCCTTTCCCACATGAAGTGCGTCTTGGTTCAAGAGATTATGGGGGGAAAGCAGAATGTGAGACAAAGTGTATTAGGAGCCAAAGAGAGATGCTCAGGACATGACTGTAACTCATTGTTCCAGGGAGGAGTGATGCTAAGGGGGCAAGAGGCAGGCATGGCTGCTTCAGAGAGCATGAGAGGGCTCAGAAGGAGAGAGAGAACAAAGATGGTGGAGAAATTGTTATTAAAGTTCACATGAGTTGAGAGGAAGAAACATTGAGACAAAGGAAGAAGAGGATAAGAATAAAATGTAGCAGAAAAGTTACAAGTCCAGTAGTCAAACTTTGTATTTAGCTTAGCTTGGCCACTAATAATTGTGTGAACTTAAGAAAATCTCTTGACATCTCTGGTCCTTGATATCTGAATCTGTAAAATTGGGACAAATAACACCCTTCCCACAACACAGACTATTTTTCAAATAGAAATAAACATATGGATGTGAAACTGCTTGAAAAGAATTTTTTTAAATATAATAAATGAAACAACTAGACAGAAGATAAGGAAATAGGGGACTTAAACGACACAATAAATCAACTAGGTTTAACATACATGTATAGAACACTCTAGTAAACAACAATAGCATTCACATTCTTCTCAAGAACACATGGGACATTTTCCAAGATAGACCATATGTTAGGCAGCAAACTAATGCTCAGTAGATTTAAGAAGATAGATATTGTACAAAGTATATTCTCCAACCACACAGGGATGAAGTTAGAAATTGATAACAGAAGTAAAACTGAAAAATTTACAAATTTATAGAAATTAAACAACACAACCTTTAACAACCAGTGGATCAAAGAAGAAATCAAGAGGGAAATTAAAAATTACTTGGAGATGAATGAAAATGAAAATATAACATACCAAAACTTATGAATGCAGCAAAAGTAATAGTAAGGGGAAAATTTATAGTATAATTTATTACTTTATTTTTTAATTTAATTTAATTTTTTTTTTTTGAGACTGAGTCTTGCTCTCTGTCATCCAGGCTGGAGTGCAGTGGCATGATCTTGGTTCACTACAATCTCCTCCTCCCAGATTAAAGCAGTTCTCATGCTTCAGCCTCATGCTTCAGCCTCCAAGTAGCTAGAACTACAGGCATGTACCACTACGCCCAATTAATTTTTGTATTTTTAGTAGAGATGGGGTTTCACCATATTGGCCAGGCTGGTCTTGAACTCTTGACCTCAAGTGATCCTCCCACCTCAGCCTTCTAAAGTGCTGGGATTACAAGTGTGAGCCACTGCAACTGGCCTAATTTCCTTCTTTAAAAAACAAGAAAGATCTCAAATCAATAGCGTAACATACAACTTAATGAACTAAAAAAAAAAAAAATGGAAAAACAATAAAAAAATTAATGAAACCAAAAGTTGATTCTTTAAAAACAGCAATAAAATTGACAAACCTTTAGCTATATGGACTAAGAAAAAATTACTAAAACCAGAAATGAATGTGTGGGCATTACTACCAATTCTACAGAAATAAAAACAATTAAAAGAGAGAACTATGAAGAATTACACACCACCAAACTGGATAACCTAGATGAAATGGACAATTTTCTAGAAGCACAGAAACCTACTGAGACTAAATCATAAAGAAATATAAAGTCTAAATAGACCTATAACGAGTAAGGAGATTGAATCAGTATTCAAAAATCTCCCAACAAAGAAAAGCACTAGACCTGATGGAATCACTGGTGAGTTCAACCAAACATTTAAAGAAGAACTAATATCCAACGCTTCTCAAACTGTTCAAAAACTGAAGAAAAGACAACACGTCCTAACTCATTCTATGAGGCCAGCATTACCCCAATACCAAAGCTAGGTAAAGGCACTACAAGAAAAGAAAATTACAAATCAATATTTCTTATAAACATTGATACAAAAATTACCAAAAAAAATACTAGCAAACTGAATTCATCAGCATATTAACATGATTATTTATTATGACCAAGGGGGATTTATTTTTGGAATGCAAGGATGGTTCAACATACAGAATTGATCAGTGTAATATACCACATCAAAAGAATGAATGAAAAAAAAGATTATATTATTGATGCAGAAAAAGCATTTGACAAAATTCAACACTCTCATGATAAAAAACACTCAACAAACTAGGAGCAGAAGTAAACTACCTCAGCATAATAAAAGCCATGTGAAAGAAACCCACAGTAAACATCATACTTCATGGTGAAAGACAGAAAGCTTTTCTCTAAGATCAAGAAAAAGTCAAGGATGTTTGCTTTTACCACTTTTATTCAACATAGTACTGGAAGTTCTAGCCACAGCAATTAGGCAAGAAAGAAATAAAAGACATCCAAATTGGAAAACAAAATGTAAAACTATTTCTGTTTGCAGATGATATGAACTTGTATGTAGAAAACACTAAAGATCCCACAAAAATTGTTAAAATTAAATGAGTTCAACAAAGTAACCAGCTAAAAAGTCAACACAGAAAAATCAGTTGCATTTCTATACACTAACAATGAACAACCTAAAAAGGGAATTATGAAAAAAATTTCATTGACTATAGCAGCAAAAAGAATAAAATACTTAGTAATTAATTTAACCAAAGAGGTGAAAGACTCATATGATTAAAACTATAAAACATTGCTGAGAAAATTAAAGAAGACATAAATAAGTGGAAATACATTTCATGTTATTGAATTGGAAGACTTAATATTGTTAAGATGGCAATACTACCAAAAGCAATCTACAAATTCAATGCAATCACTTTCAAAATCCAAAAACGTTTTTTGTAGAAATAGAAGAGCCTATCCTAAAATTCACATGGAGTTTTAAGGGATCCTGAATAGTCAGAATAATCTTGAAAAAGAACAAATCTAGAGGACTCATATTTCCTGATTTCAAAATTTACCACAAATCTGCAGTAATCAAAACAGTGTGGTACTGGCATAAAGACAGACATACAGATCAATGAAATAGAATCGTGAGCCCAGAAGTCAGTCCTCACATATATGGTCAAGTGATTTTTGACAAGGGTGACAGGATCATTCCATGAAAAAGGACAGTATTTTCAACAAATGATGTGGGAAAAACTGGATATCCACATGCAAAATAATGAGGTTGAATCCTTACCTAACACTATATACAAAAATTAACTCAGAATAGATCAAAGATCTTAATATAAGACCTAAAACTATGAAACTCTTATAAGAAAACATAGGGCAAATCCTTCCTGACTTTGGGTTTGGCACTGAATTCTTGGATATGACACCAAAACACAGGCAATAGAAGAAAAAATTAGACAATTGGACCTTACGAAAATTTAAAAATTTTGTACATCAGAAGATGCTATCAACTTAGTAGAAATGTGGTCCACAGAATGGGAAAAATATTAGCGAATAGTATACCTGTAGAGATTGTATCCAGACTATATAGAACACTCCTAAAACTCAATGAAAAAGCAAATAACCAAATTCAAAAATGGGCAAAAGACTTTAATAGACATTTCTCCAAAGAAGATATACAAATGGCCAATAAGCATATGAAAAGATTTTTAACATCACTAATCATTAGATAAATGCAAATCAACACCATAATAAAATACCACCTCACCTCCTTTAGGGTGGCTACTGTTTAAAAAAAAATCACAGAAAATAACGTGTATTGGTGAGAATGTGAAGAAATTAGAACTCTTGTGCACTGTTGTTGGGAATGTAAAATAGTACAGCCACTGTGCAAAACAGCATGGCAGGTTTCCAAAAAATTAAAAACAGAATTTTTATATTACTCAGCAATTCCAGTTCTGGAGATATACCCCAAATAACTGAAAGCACGGTCTGGAAGAGATATTTGTACACCCGTGTTTTTGGCAGCACTATTCACAATAGCTAAAATGTGGGATCAACACAAGAGTCCATTGATAGATGAATGGATAAGCAAATGGTGGTATACAAATACAATGGAATATTACTCAGCCTTATAAAGGAAGGAGATTCTGACATATGCCACAACATGCATGAAACTTGAGAACATTATGCCAAGTGAAATAAGCAGCCACACAAAGATAAATACTGTATGATTCCACTTATATGAGGTAGTTAAAGTAGTCAAAAATCATAGACACAGGAAGTAGAATGGTGTTTGATGTGGACTAGGGTCGGGGGAATGGGGCGTTATTGTTTAATGGATACAGAGTTTTAGTTTTACAAGATGTAAGAGTTATAGAGATGAATGGTGGTGATGGTTGCACAACATTATGAATGTATTCAATATCACTGAACTGTACAATTAAAAATGGTTATGATGGGAAATGTTATATGTATTTCATCATAAAAATGTTATGTGTATTTAATCAGATAACAATTGTAAAAAAAGTTTACTATGTCAATTAATAAGTCAACAAGTTTGCAAAAAACTACTTAAGAGAGTAAATGGTTTCCAAGAGCTCTCAAGTATTTCAGAAAGGTACCTTTAGATTTTGATGGTAGAGTCACTAACTGATTAATAATGTTGATTTTTGTGCTAATTTAAAATTGTTCTAAATGCTATGTGATGTCCTACATTATGTTTCAGAACAGAAAACTGAAATGTGAATAAAGTGTCAAGTTTAGTTAATAGTATTGTACTACTAGTACTAATCATAATGCTGGCTTCTTAGTTTTAGCAAATGTACCATGGTAATGTAGGATGTTAACATTTAGAAAATCTGGATGAAGGGTAAAAAAAAAATGAATAAAAGCAGAAATGATTGGGTCAACAGGATTAAGAGCAGAAAGATTTATGGAATAATACAGCAAAAAAAACCTACCAATTAAAGACATGCTACCAGGAATTTATAAATCCAAGGAAATGGATCAAAGAGGCCAGATAACTGTTTTTCTCCCCAAAGGCTTGGTCATATTTTCCCAATTGTTTAAAAGAGAAAAATTAATAAATGTTATCTTTATTTTGCCCAATGGTAACTTACAGGAACTGGAAGGGTTGGGCCAGGACATTGGGTTGATGGATCAAAATATGCTTTGATGGAGCTAAATCCCAGGTAATTACAGCCCTGGAAAGATTCCCTGAACTCAAGGGCCTGGGCTAGTCTGCCCTCCAATCATCCATGCAGTCAGCCAGGGTGACAGAAAAACCAAGTGACCAACAAAGTTTGGAATCCAGAGCCAGAAAGGATAGGCAGAGGGGATGCAGCTCAAATACTGGACATTGATGGAAGTTGTAAAAGCTCATCACCAGGTAAGAACAGACCTTTAAATACAGAAGAGTGACAAATGAAAGCAGGCAGCTGCTGTTATTCCTACTCAGTTAGGGTTCAAATCCAAAATCCATACACAGGAAAATGGGTCAAGCTGGCCAAATCCATCTTCAGGGCCCCTTCTTGCATGGAGTGTCACCTCCAAACCAGGCCCTCCTCTAGTGTCTTGCCAACTAGGATGTCCTTCCTTGCTCCACACCCTTGTATTGGGCCCACCTGACTTTCCTCTTTGCTGTGGCATCCCCATCAGCATTCCATGTTATTGGTAAGCCCTCTGAGCCTTTACTGTCCAGCCCCCTAACCCTTTCTGTAGAGGCTTGCTATGTCTCCAAGCCAAGCACTAGCCAAACCTTGCTTATATGCAAATAGCAGAGGGCCAGAAGGAGCCAGCCCTCGAGGGTAGCCTCTTATGCTTCCTCTCTGTGGATTCCTAGAGCACACATCTATCAGCTTTTTTTCTATAATGGATCAGATAGTAAATACCTTAGGCTTTATGGGCCATATGGTTTCTCTTGTAACTACTCAACTCTATTGTTCTAAAACAAAACAAAAAAACATACACAAAAAACAGCCATGGATAATATATGAATGAATGAGTATGGCTACATTCCGATAAAATTTATTTATGAACCTAAAATTTAAATTTCAGTTAATTTTCATATATTTTGAAATATTATGCTTCTTTTGACTTGGCCCATGAGCTATAGTTTGCGGATCCCTACCCTATTGCAGCACTGTCTAGTAGAGTATTCATGGGTGACTCCTGAGCACTTAAAATGTGGCTATCTAAATTGAGATGTGCTGAAAGTATAAAATAGGCCCCAGATTTTCAAGACTTAAAACCAAAAAATATAAAATATCTCAAGAGTTATGTTGATCACACTGAAATCATAGCATTTCAGATATATCGTATTAAAATATACTATTAATTTCACCTAGTTTCTTTTCACTTTTTGAAATGGAGCTACTAGAAAACGTACATGTACATATGTGGCTTGCATTGTTTTTGTTGGATGGCAATGCCAGAAAGGGAAAGCTGCAGCCTCCCCTGAATTAATTCATAGGTTAATTAGAGCACCCTTGGAGATCATCAGGCCTGGCTCTGAGAGGTGAAGTACTCCTCTCAAATCTCACAGCTGCTTGGACAAGGACTCTGGAGTTCTTGTGCTATCAGCCTGTGGCAATCCCATCACATCAACTCGATTCAGGTGAGATGAGGGGTTCTACCCCTGCAAGGAGCAGGCAGGGCCCTGTGATGAGCCTACATCCCCCAGAAAGTAAACACCATTCTGCTCTGTCAGTCCCCGATGTTATGATAACTTCTTTACAATCTTTCTCATTTACCAGTTCTATTTTTTTCCTCAAAGTCTGCCCCAGGGCCACTGATCAGCATTCTTGATGGACTCGTTAAAATATACAGATTACCAGCCTTGCCCCCAGAGATAGCAAATCAGTAGGTGTGAACTGGGGCCTGTGTGTCTGCATTTCAAAAAGAAACACCTTGGATGATTTTTTTAAAATTGTATTTTTTTATTTTAAGTTCTGGGATACATGTGCAGAACGTGCAGGTTTGTTACATAGGTATTAGGTATTTCTCCTAATGCTATCCCTCCCCTAACCCCCACCCACCAACAGGCCCCAGTGTGTGATGTTCCCCTCCCTGCGTCCATGTGTTCTCATTTTTCAACTCCCACCTATGAGTAAGAACATGTGGTGTTTGGTTTTCTGTTCCTGTGTTAGTTTGCTAAGAATGATGGTTTCCAGTTTCATCCATGTCCCTGCAAAAGACATGAACCCATCCTTTTTATGGCTGCATAGTATTCCATGGTGTATATGTGTCACATTTTCTTTATCTAGTCTATCACTGATGGGCATTTGGGTTGGTTCCAAGTCTTTGCTATTATGAATAGTGCTGCAATAAACATACATGTTCATGTGTCTTTTTAGTAGAATGATTTCTAATCCTTTGGGTATATACCCAGTAATGGGATTGCTGGGTCAAATGGTATTTCTGGTTCTAGACCCTTGAGGAATCACCACACTGTCTTCCATAATGGTTGAATGAATTTACACTCCCATCAACAGTATAAAAGCGTTCCTATTTCTCCACATCCTCTCCAGCATCTGTTGTTTCCTGACTTTTTAATGATCGCCATTCTAATTGGCATGAGATGATATCTCATTGTGGTTTTGATTTGCATTTCTCAAATGACTAGTGATAGTGAGCTTTTTTCATGTGTTTGTTGGCCGCATAAATGTCTTCTTTTGAGAAGTGTCTGTTCATATCCTTCACCCACTTTTTGATGGGGTTGTTTTTTTCTTGTAAAAGGATGATTCTTTACACACATTAACCTTTGAGTTCTGCTATTCCTGAGGTGGCTTTGGAATCCTGATCTATAATGACACAGCACCAAATTGTTTTATATAGTAGGAAAATAGACTAAAGATTAAAATGGGTTGAAAGCCCTTATTTTGCAAGCACTATGTTCTCCTTGAGAGAAAGTAATCACATAGGTAACATAGTAACGACTGCAGCAGTAGCTTTTGGATAATCATGATTTCCCTTCTGTGTACACTCTCAGGTCTCTCGAAAAAAGAGCAATTTTGGATCTGAAAGGCAGCTTTGATGCCTTTGAATTCCTTGCAGATTGTGCCTTTTAGTACTCTGTACAACACCAGCTGCATGTGGGTGCGTAATATATTTTAAATAGTTTTTGTCAAAATATTCCCGGTGTGTGCAGAGAATGAAGGTTTAGCCAATACTCACCACAAATATTGCCATGGTTGACAGTTCTGCATTCTAGCATGAGCCAGAAATGCAGAACAATTTATGTGCAGACTTTAAATACTAGGGGAGATAAATTAGAATGCTGTTTCTTTTGCCATGGAAGGGTCTTTAGTTTGAGATTTTGCTGGTATAATGGTGCATGAAACAAATGACAACATGTCTATAAGATACATAATTTGAAAATGTGGCCAGTGCAATCTCAATATTGTAGGTAAGATAAGAGTACTTTCAAATTAAAGTTAAGCAAAGAAATAATGCATTTATGAGAGAAGTAGCCACATCCTGTTTCAAGATGACAAACACAGGCTTCCCAGTTATGATCCAGGAAAGGGTTCAATTTTCCCAAGAAGACTTTGATGTGCCACTGCAATTTTAGTGTTAGTCAAAATATTTTAAATGTTGGCAATTGCCAGAAGGATGTCAGATACAAACTAAAAGATATTGTCTTAGCTTTGTGTAAACTCATGATGATCTATTACTTGGAATGCCTCAAGCAGTTAGAGTTATATCATTCTGATAAAGAAATGGAAATGTTCTGAGAAAGAAGTCAAGTACAAGTATTTATGTATATATTAATTGATGCATTGAGCCAATATGTGAGTACCTAATTTAATGTAAGTCACTAGAAAATATATACAGAACTTGGTCTCAAGTAGCTAGGAGAAATATGAAATAGTGCGACCAAAATCCAGCAAGAAAGTGATAAGTATCATGTAAAGAATACAGGATATATGGTCCTATGGTGTTATTTCACTTGAGAGTGGAATCTCTTCCATCTGGGGGCCATCAAAAAAGGCTTCAAGGAGGGAGGCAATATTAACCCAAAATCTACACTACAAAAAAAGTATAGATTTTGCTATGAGGATACAGGGAATAGGTGTTGAAAAGGGAAGAGTATTTTTATTTGAAGGGTGGTGGGAAAATGCAGGCACATACAGGGAACAGTCTGGAGCTTGTTGGTTCACTTGGAGCTTGGGGTCAGGAAGTAAGGTGTTGAGACCACCGCCTTATATAAACACTGTACACATAACTTTTTGGCCTGGAAATATGAGACCTTTAAAGCATGATAAAATAAATCTAAAGAAAACCAAAGGTTTCTACTAGGGGAAATTGAAATTCACAGATCTTATTGTACTAGAATTAAGGACTACTCTGTAATGACTGAAGACAGCATTAGCTCAAATAAGAGGAAGCACATAGAAAGCACTAATCTAATGAGAACTGTTGGCTGGGCGCGGTGTCTCACGCCTGTAGTCCCAGCACTTTGGGAGGCCGAGGCAGGCAGATCATGAGGTCAGAGTTTGAGACCAGCCTGGCCAACATGATGAAACCCCGTCTCTAGTGAAAATATAAAAATTAGCAGGGTGTGATGGTGGGCACCTGTAATCCCAGCTACTCAGGAGGCTGAGGCAGGAGAATTGCTTGAACCCGGGAGGTGGAGGTTGCAGTGAGCTGAGATGGCACCATTTAACTCCAGCCTGGGCGACAGAGCAAGACTCCGTCTCAGACAAAAAAGAAAAGAAAACTGTTACTCAAGAGTTTATGTAAGCAGAACATTCGGATTCAAGAGGAATTGAATTATAGATAACATAAGACTGTCAGGTTGTTAAGAGAACTAAACAGTGTTTCAGGGGACCTTATGTGGTCAGTGGCTTGTAAAGAGTGTGATTCTCCCCCAAAAAATGCCTTAGTCCAAGAGCTTTTTTTTTTTTTTTTTTTTTTTTTAGACGGAGTCTTGCTCTGTCACCCAGGCTGGAGTGCAATGGTGTGGTCTCGGCTCACTGCAATCTCCGCCTCCTGGGTTCAAGCGATTCTTCTGCCTCAGCCTCCCAAATAGCTGGAATTACAGGCACCTGCCACCACACTGGGCTAATTTTTGTAATTTTAGTAAAGACGGGGTTTCACTATGTTGGCCAGGCTTGTCTTGAACTGCTGACCTTGTGATCCTCCCACCTCGGCCTCCCAAAGTGCTGGGATTACAGGCGTAAGCCACCGTGCCTGGCAGTCCAAGAGTTTAATTGATTCAAAGCTTGGGTTTGGGATTCAGACAGATCTGGGTCCAAGTCCTGTTCTATAGCATGCAAGATAGGTGACATTGAGCAATTATAGGTGAGCCTTGACTAATGCAGGGATTAGGAGCACTGACACCCAGTGCAATTGAAAATTCATCCGTGTATAACTTTTGAGTGGCCAAAAACTTAACTACTGATATCTACCATTGCTTGGAAACCTTACCTATAACCAGAAACAGATGATTAACATGTATTTTGTATGCTATATGTACTATACTGTCTTATTACAATAAAGTAAGCTAGAGAAAAGAAAATATTATTAAGAAACTCATGAGGAGAAAATACATTTATAGTACAGTACTGTAGGTATTGTTACTGTAAGTTTATGTTGTCTGTTTCTAAGATGAGTCCTCCATCTGAAATGGCAGATGCCACAGCTGCAGACCTCAGTCTATGGTACATATCAAGCAATTCAACTTCTTCTAGGAATGTCATGACTTTTCTCTATTTTTTGGGAGCACTTCCAACATTATTAGTGGCACCTCATATAAGTCCCACAGTGTTACTCAAAGTTTATAGGAATGCACTAAACATGATGAAAAATAAGTGAGAACCAATTTACTGGAGAGACAAACTGCTCACTCTAGATGATCAGCATCACACAGTGTTTTAAGTGGATACTCATGATATTGGAGCTCACTGCAATAGCAGCAGGGGGTGACTCCAAACGGTTAACTTTATGCAGTGACAACTTAATACTACATCTTTATGTTTGTTTGGATTTCTCTTGACTGCAAATGGCACTGGTCTGTAAGTGTGTGTGTAAATTTTGATAAATTTTAACTTATTTTTACAGATTTGTATATTTTATGGTAGTAAATGATAAAATAGACTAACATCTTTTTATTCTTTATGTATTTGTGACATAACCTTTTCTTAATTTTTTGATATTTTTAGGCTACACCGTTGGTCTGTGAGTTTTTTTCAAATTTTCACAAATCTCCAAACAATATTCCAATATATTTGTTGAAAAAAATTCACCTGTAAGTTAACCCATGCAGTTCAAACTTGTCCAAGGGTGATCCGTGCTTTATCTAAGTTCCCTACTTGTTTGTAAACTGTTGATGATGATATCCACCCCTCAGGATTGTTTTGAGAACAACCATAGTAAGGAAGCAAATGCTTGAGAAGTGGTTAGCAGAATGTCAGCACCATGTAGCAGATGTTGGCTGTTGTTATTGCCTGATTTGGATGGACCATGGGCCCAATTTGAGGTGACATTTCCTTTGGTCTAAATTTAGGGTTTCAAAGGAGTAAGTATGTCAGTGCCTGCCTTCATGAGGGATCCTAATGAGCATGCATGTTGTATGTCACATAGCAACATACCCAAGGACTGTCCCTCTGTGTACTTGTAGCATTGAGTGGCCTGGGTCACAAGTGAGTTTGATTTTAGGTATCTAAAGTCTTCAACTGTCAAGTTCAAAAATCCACACAAGACTAATCCTGTCTTGTTCCCAGGGCTGGGCTAAGACTTAGAGGTTTTTCAGGGCAAGAAATGAATAAATTAGCTGTAAGAATGTCAGGGCCAGGCTAAAACAACATGGTCTGAGGGAATGTGATATTGAGCTGGGATTGAAATCACAGGGAGCCATGGCTGGTCTATGCAAAAAAAGAAAGTTAAAATTGCTTGTAGGGGAAAAATACCAAAACACACAGCTTTCAGGAGTCAAGGCAAACAAGGAGAGTAATGGCCTAGTAAGAGAGAGGCCATGAGGAACCTACCTGGAAAGACTGAATGGCCAAACTAGAGGCCATGAGGATCCTATCTGGGAAGATTGAATTCAAAGCTGAATTCTTGAGCCAATAATTTACCCAAAGCTGGGCCGTGAGGGCCAGTCTCAAGAAGCTCTAAAGAAATGCAGTGGACAGAGAGTGGGAAGTTAACTACAGTGACTCAGCAGGGCTTGATTCAGCCGTCCCTTCCCCTTTGCAGACTGCTTTTGTCATGTGTTAGGTGATGTATGTTGTAATGGAGCAAGGATGTTGCCACCATGGCAACGTGAAGTCAGAGCTCTTCTGAGCTCATTTCTCGGAACCACTTCCCCCTTCCCTTGACGAGCTTTCTCATGGAGCCCTCTGTTACCAGTCTTTCAGAAGCACCTCCACAGAGATCTTCTGTCGTCAGATGCTCCTATCAAAGACAGCTCCTCCTCTTCTTCTGTCTTCCTCTAAAACCTAACCCCAGGTTCCCCTCAAAGGCTTCTTCCTGAAGCTTCTCCTGAGTTCACATATCTCTGTTATTTTGAAAAGAAACCCCAGTACTCAGTAACAGTCAAGATGTGAAAGAAATGAGACTGAATCAGAACAAAGTTGGACCTCGGATAGTGAACAATAATCACAACCTCCAATCTTCCTTTAGTATGAAAGCTCTGGTCTCTGAAGTCCCTCTCCAAGGTCACTGCCTGGTAAGGGTGGCAAGGGCTGACATAGGTCTTAGGTCCTTCCTAGCAACCTGGCTGTGCGTGGGAAGGAATGCAAGTGTTTTCTTACTCTCGTACATCTTTGCTGTATCTCTTAGTTTTCGTCCACTCCTGCCTCTTGTCCCTGCATGTTTATCTCCCTGCCAGCAGCCCTCCACCTTTAGAGCTTTCCCTAATAACCTGAGGACTTCCAGAGTGAAGCAGGAATAGGGAGGCAGTGAGATGTAATAGGAAGATCTTCCCAGAGCTGAGATGTCCCAGGTGTTCAATGAAATATTTTGGGTTTGGTAGAACATTTTTAAAAAATATTTTTGAACATTGGCACTAAAAATAAAACCCAAACTCATCCCTTCTCCTTTAGATTTTTTCCCAGCTCCTTTGCACCAGACATTCAGTAACTGATACTCCTTGAGCATCTAGTATGTGCTGGGCACTATAATAAGCTCTAATGAAACAGAGAAATCAGAGTTCTTGCCCATAAGGAAGGAGTATACAGTCAAAGAAAATTCCAATTATATTTATCATTTGCTCACATACACCTTAGAGACCTACTATGTGCCAATTCAGTTTTTATCAAACATAGTCTACCGGCCTAACCTGATAAGTTTGCTGGTAGAGGAAAGGAGGTAGGAAAGTTGGTGCCTGCCACTGAGGGGTAGGGTTTAACAGTAATAGGAGAAGGAAGTAGGAGGAAGGAAGGATGGGAATCGGGTAGGGAACCACGGTGTCCTCCTCTTGCCTGGGGCCATTGGAGACCCCCCACATGCTGTTACTCACACCCATGCAAGGGGCTTCTTTGCTCATCATCTGGGTTTCCAGGTAGGGCTGGGCCAGCAGAAATCTATAGGGGCAGAACATCCCACCCTGGTGCCTTTCTCTGAGGCCAGGGCCCATGGGAAAAGCTAAGGCAGGGCTGTGGCCTCAGATTACACTGTCACTCCCACGAGGCCGAGGAGTTTGGAGAACAGGGTTCTGGCACCGAGGAAGGCCTCTGAATTCTGTCTCAAACCCATGATTAACACTGTAATCTTAAGTCACTTGACCACTCTGTGCCTCGGTTTTCCTCAGCCGTAAAAAGGGGAAAGAGTACCTAAATCATTGGGTTACTATGAGAATTAAATAATTTAACCCTGCATAGCATATAGTTCATGCTCAGCAAGGGGTCACTGGCCCAGACAGTACACCAAGGACCCACACATGTGTCTTCTAGTCAAGCAAGCGTTCAACCAGACTCAAATTTTATCAAAAACTATTGTCATTATCTGAAGCACATGGTAATGAAGTCGTCTGAATAACTAGTTCAAAATTGTTTTGAACATAGTGATCCTTGGAAAATGAAAAAAATATATAAGTATTTTTCTAAACTGGAATGTGGCAGGGAGTAGATTAGGAACCCACTTTCCATCACTTTCCAAACATGACCAGATTTAACTGGACATATTCTGACACTCCATCCTGGAGATGGCTTCTTTAAGGAGCAGTTGTTGGGCAACAGCTACTTTCATCATTTTGGTTAGAAACTAACCCTGAGTAACCAGTCTTATGAGAGAAAACAGTTAATGTCTTAAAAATCTTTCTGACTCCAACTCCAGTGAGTAGGAATTTTAAGTCATGAATACTACTAATTGTAATACCCTGACTACTGATTATCATTATAGCTAACATGTATTGAGACCTTACTAAATACCAGGCACTGTCATAAGTGCTTTGCATGCATTAACTCATTTAGTCATCAGAAATAACCCCCAAATTGGTGTTATTTTCATTTCTGTTTGACAAACAAGGAACTAAGGCGCACAGATGTTGAGAAACTGACCTGTGGTCACACAGCTACTCTGCAGGCAGCTGGTACTGTGGCTCCTACGTGTAACTGGCCCTAACAGACATAGCTCCTCGCTGTTCTCTTAAACTTAGTACGTGGGGTTGAATATTCCTTTCTTATGGAAAGATTACAGTTTCATTTTTCTCAGTGAGGAAATTATTTTCATAAATTGATTGGATTTATTCTACACACAAGGTATTAGAATCAACATAGTTTTTTTTTTTTTAAGTTTCTATGTTTCCATTTTACTTTTTTTTTTTTTTTTGAGACAGGGTCTGGCTCTGTCACCTAGGCTGGAGTGCAGTGGCATGATCCCAGCTCACTGCAACCACTGCCTCCTGGGTTCAAGTGATTCTCCTGCCTCAGCCTCCTGAGTTGCTAGGATTACAGGCATGCGCCACCATGCTCGTCTAATTTTTGTATTTTTAGTAGAGACGGGGTTTCACCATGTTGGCCAGGCTGGTCTCGAACTCCTGACCTCAAGTGATCTGCCTGCCTCGACCTCCCAAAGTGCTGGGATTACAGGTGTGAGCCATTGTGCTTGGCCCATTTTACTATTTTTATGCTTACTTTGTATCTACAGAAGTGATATAGGTTTTGCATGTAAAGTGAAATTATCACTTTTACTTCTGAAACAAAATGATTTAAGTCAGAAAGTTTGCTTACAGGAAAATTAATGTAGTATGAAGCAGTATTACCAGGTGTCTGTGGGTGTGGTTGTGTACCCTGAGGGTATGGTACCGCGGGGCTGGTATGTGTACCCTGAGGCTTGGTGAGCACCTGGTCAGTGAGCCGGTGTTTGCCTGGACAAGTCTGAGCTGCAGTTGACACAATGGCCATTGGCCAAACTGGTGGAAAGTTTCAATGACAGGTAAACAAAAGACTGAGGACCAGGAGGGGAACAGCCAAAGAGGATGTAGGTATTACAAAGGAGAATTTGGGGAACATTCTACTAACCCGATAAGTAGCCGTGTGTTCAAAAATGTCTTTTGCCCTTCCCTGAGCCAGTCTTCCTTCAAAATGTTAACAATACCACTGTTTCTTTCATTCCAAGAAGCTTGATCTTCACACCTGACATTTCAGAGATCCTGTGTCTTACAATTGATGTGTATGTTTAACAGAGAAACATTTTTCTTCTCCTTTCCCCCTAAAAGCTGTTATTAACTCGCTGCTGTGTCTTAGTCAATGGCTTCTTAGAGTCTAGAAAATACAGTAAGAGTGATGTACGAGAATACGTGGTTTTGAATGTGGTGCTTAAGATACATCTTTGACTTAACAATTGCCTTAAAATCCTACCTTAACAAAAATTTAGCTCTTACTTTCAATTTTGATTTGCTTTTGATTAGACACAAGTAAGGAGTGAAGCCAGACACAAACCCAGCTCTTCTCATTTGAAGTTCAGAATTCTTTCCCCTGCATTCCATAATTTCTCCATATTTATCTCAGAGGACTATGCAGAATATGACAGTGGGTTACCATGGAATATCTGGGCAAGGAGCTCTAAGAGTAAAACTCCAGGCCAAAGACAAAACAAGTATTCAAATCCCAAGGCATCTCTGTGAGATGACAGATGCTCTTGTCTGCTCTTCAGATCCGAGGGGTTTCCGGAGGGCCAGCAACCATGCCCCCAACACGTAGATGGCTTAGCTTGCCTAAGAAGGGCGGGCATTGTAGAAATCTGGACAGTTCTGCTGACCTTCCTCTTTCTGTCTCCCCACTCTTGATTTTTTATGTTAGTCCCCATGGCACACCCTCTTTGTGAAGTCTCTCCAAATGGAAGCACAAGCTCTCCCGAAGGATCCCACACCCCACAGAGTGATCTCTAGGGTTGCCCATAGCAACAGCTGGTACCATGGAAAAAAGCCTTCCTTTCATCCGTCAGAGCTGGGCAGTAGGACCCTCTCCCAGGACCCCAGGAACAAGGTCTTTTTCTAGCTCTGCTATGGAAACTTGGGTGACACACATCACCTCTTGGAGCCTCAGTTTCCTCATTTACCAAATGAGGCTGATGTGAAGTCATTTTAGAGTCCCACTGAGGACCACTACTGTGATTTTCCTTCACCAACATGAGATACATGTGGCTGGTTTCAGGCTCTTTCCTGAAGCAGATCTTAGTACTGGGGAGGATGGACGGTGATGTCGCCACTGAGAGTGATGAGAGAGAGCAGACCCACCACCAGCTGCCCTCCTGATCCTTGGAAGGCCAGTCTCACATCTCAACATTCCCAGCCACCTTGTTACCAACGCTTGTGGAAAATTTGATTTGGACAGAAGGGACTCCAGCCCCTTTTAAGTATACATATGCACATGCTTTAATTATTAACTGCTTAATGTTGTCATTGAAAATATTTATTTTAATACTACTCTAAAAGAGTGAACATTTTTCACGTATTGACCCACAGCTGATTTCTTATCTGCTGTTACCAAGAACAAGAAAGGAGAGAATAAAGCTGAGGAAGGTGGCAGGCTCGATAAATGTTAGATTGAACTGTTCTTTTTCAGTGCATGCCCTGCCCTTATCACTGATATTGCCATTTTCTACTTTCTTTTTTTTTTTTTTAAAGTGTATTTTGAAGGCAAATAAGAAAAGAGAGCTATGGTGTAGTCTGGAAAACCAGGGTGTTTACCGTTTAGAGGAACCAGAAGTTCATAAGGGCCTGGCTGGACTAAGAAATGACAGCTCAGCACAGGGAAGGGGGGAAAAAAACCAACAGCAGCAGCAGCAGCAATGCAAGAACAAAACATTTTAAGAGATCTGGCCAGAACTGGTCTGTACAAATCCCCAGCTTGGCCTTCCTCCTCCACTCCCCCTGGCTCCCAGGCCTGTTTCCCGGAGTAGTAGCAGCCTTGCCTCCCCTTAAGAAACCTGCCCACAACTCACACTCCCTACATGCCAGTCATGCACACTCGTGTGTGTCACACCCTCTGCTCATCCCCCCACCCACTGAAGTCAGACCATGTGTGAGGGAGGATGAGAAGCCGGGGAAGAGGAAGACAGCTCAGCTGGCTGGCCCTGGCCCCTGAAGAAAACAAGCAGAGGCAGGGAGGGAAACATACTGTTCCCTGCAATCTGATCACCTCCGTGCAAGCCTCTGGGCTACACACCCAGGCCCAGGCCCAGAGGCCACGCTAATGAGACCAGGCAGGAAAAGTGAGCTGGTGACTGTTCCTGGGCAGATTAGAAACACATTGTGGAGAAGTGGGGGCACGGTGAGGGTGTGCAGGGCAGTGTGGTTGAGGCTGGGTGTGGGGCTGGGGCATGCGGGCCCAGAAAGGAGCAGAAGAAGGACTGCTGTCTTTCTGAGCTCTGATTCCAGCTCCTGGGGTGGCCCCCTGGCAGCTGCTGAGGCCTCACAGTGAGAAATCTGGAACAACAAAGGCTCTGGGACAAAAGACTCTCTGGCCAGAGGGGCTGCTGCTTTACAGGGGCCAAAAGCTTCACTTCTGAGGGGCACGTGGGTCCACCAGTGTGGGAGGCTGCAGGCTGAGAGGCAAATGGGGTTTATTGAGGAAAGGGAACAGATGTTTATTGGGCATTTGCTGGGTGCCCCCATTAAGCTAGGCTCTTTTTATGTATTTCACTGTGTTTGAGATCACTGTGAAATCCTCACTGCATCGGAAAATGGGAAGCAAATAGCTTTTTTCTTTTTATTAGGTCAGTGACACCTAGAGTTCGCCCAATATCACATCAGTGCCATTTGTTTGAAAAGTTAACCAGAGGCCAGCTGGGATTTTTGTCACTAGGAAAACAATGTAGCATGCGCTTCTTTAGCTTCCAGTCCAGGCAAGGACCTTCGGGGGTGTGAGGATGGAAGTATGTCTTCATGCTTTCTCCTGTGAGCCGCCAACCCACAGAACTGCTGGACCCTCAGCCCTTCAAATCCATCCTCCGGGAAGGTGCCTCTCAAACCTGCAGGGCCACCGCTGAAGTTCTCCCACGGACTCTACTCTAGCGCCCTCTGGTGGCCACCACTGCCAAGCCTGGTTGACTTGACTGGGAATTTCTGGTTAATAGCAGCTACGTTAATATCACTTAGCCCAGCTTTGTGAAGGTTCACTTGTGCTTTTACTTCACCTCTGATTTCTGCGTTATCATTACTCTTTCCATGTTTCCACAGCCTTTGTCAGTTCTCTGCTGCTTCATCTACGTTATTTTCATGGGGACCTGTGTTATTTTCATGGGAACCCCAAAATCAGGGAGATGTTTTCTTACCAAGATCTTTGTTTTGTACTATATTGCCAGTGGACCAACTTCGTTTTATTGGAATTTTTTTTTTTATTTTCTGGAGGATCTTTCTCCCTTCCTCCCCTTAGGAATTCAGGACACATTTCTGAAAGACTGGTTTTACTATGTGAGAAGCACAATGTTGTATACTATTTGAATTTGAGCTTCCCTTGTCCAGGGACGGAGTGTGGGCATGCCACCTCTGTTCAGTTATGGGGTGAGTTTCTTGGCCGCCTGGGACCCCTGCCTCCCGCCCAAGAATGCAGGTGAGAGCGTTTGCCCCTGGTTTTGACCAGGATGCCCAGTCCTGGTGTCTGAATTCCACCCATGAAGCCTGACCAAGCACAGTGGGAAAATCAGCCTATGGCCAATGGACATGGAGGCCAAGTTTGAGGGAGAGGGAGTTTGCCCAGAGTGGCAGCTGCAGATATGATCTGAAGGGTAAATGCTCACTGCAAAACAGGAGGGGAGCCAAGGTCAGAACCAGAGAGGCAGGGTCAGGCAAAGGGCATAGAGAAGAGCAAGAAGCTAGAGAGAGGAGAGGAGGCACACACACAGTTGGGACCAAAGAGGCCAGGTGAGATCTGGGAGGGGATGGTGAAGAAGCACAAGGCAAGGATGCCAGGGCTCTCATCAGGGGCCTGCTGTGTGTGGCATGGGTCTAAGTGGGTAAACCACAAGTCTGCAGATCTGACCTAGTTCACAGAGCCAAATGTACTCTCCAGATGTCAGGTTACTGTTTCTCCAGGGAGGCCCGTCAAGACCACAGGTAAATAGAATCCCCAGTAAGCCAGCCCCATGGCACAATTCCATGGATATAGAGCATGGGTATCTCTGGGGCCTTTGTCACACGAGTGTAGCTGGTGGATTAGCAGGGCCTTTATTTATGTCGGGCTTCATTTACTTGTTAATTTGTTCTTTAATCATTTATTCACTTCTATTTGACCAATGTTTTCAGGTGTCTACTGATGTTCTAAGTAAAATCCTGGGTAATGGAGCAGAAAGACAAATAAGATATGGTTTTGACTATTGTAAAGTCTGGATTTTCTGATTCAAAATTCAGTATCCCAGCCAGGCATGGCGTCTCATGACTGTAATCCCAGCACTTTGGGAGGCTGAGGTGGGCAGATACTTGAGGTCAGGAGTTGGCCAAGACTAGCCTGGCCAACATGGGGAAACCTGGTCTCTTTTAAGAATACAAAAATAGGGGCCGGGTGCTGTGGCTCATGTCTTAATTCCAACATTTTGGGAGGCCGAAGTGGCCAGATCACCTGAGGTCAGGAGTTCAAGACCAGCCTGGCTAACATGGTGAAACCCCCATCTCCACTAAAAAATACCAAAAAATTAGTCAGGCATGGTGGCAGACACTTGTAGTCTCAGCTACTTGGGAGGCTGAGGCAGGAGAATTGCTTGAACCCAGGAGGCAGAGGTTGCAATGAGCCAAGATCACGCCATTGCACTCCAGCCTCAGCGACAGAGCGAGGATCCGTCTCAAAAAAAAGAAAAAAAAGAAAAAAAAAGAAAAAAGGCTGGGTGTGGTGGCACATGCCTATAATCTCAGCTACTCAGGAGGCTGAGGCATGAGAATCACTTGATCCCGGGAGCCGAAGGTTGTAGTGAGCCAAGATCATGCCACTGCACTCTATCCTGGGTGACAGAGCAAGACTCTATCTCAAAAAAAAAAAAAAAAAAAAAAAAAAAAAGAAAGGAATCTCTGTAGTCTCTTTGGCTAATCTCCAAAATCCTGCTTTAGGCTCCCCAAAGCCAAACCTTTGCCAAACCTTTTATTTGAAGCTGAGGTGGCAAAAGGATAACCACACAAATTCCTTGAGCTCTGCAGGTAAACAGCTAGGTCCAGGGAGGCTACAGGGTGACCTCACCCAGCCTCAGGTCATAGGCTTATAGTAAGCCACAGCTGCAGGTATTATCTGCACCTTAGAGAATTTCTCCAGGCTTCACCACCTGAACTCTGCTACAAACCCTTCCCTTCTCTGTGCTGTTTTCCCTGGATCATGATCCTAGAGTCTCCTTGCCTAGGTCCTCTGCTTTGATGATGAATCTCTGGAATGTTGCCCATGAATTTAACTTCCATTTTTCCCTTGGATCCCTCCCTCACCTCCATGCACTACATCCCTCTGCAAGATTCCTGGAGCCCCAGCATCTCCGGTTTCTAAGATACAGCATCCCAGCCTCTGTCTAGCTCCTAGGGTTCCTGCTTGTTTAGAGAAAAGATCAGGGTTGGGTTCTACAGCCTGAGATGAAACTTGGCTGTTTCCACCCATTGCAACACAGGACCCGAGAGCCAAGAAGGATGAGAACAAAGTAAAAGTTAGTTAGGAACAGGTGAAGGAGCTGGGTTTTTGGTAATGGTAGCTAAGGCAAGCTGGGATTTTCAGTTTCTCTCTATGGGCCAGCAATCCTGAGTGCTTCAGATTGATTTAAAGGGTCAGAAATAAGAAAGGCAGATGGTTGTCAGCCTTGGTTGCACCTTAGGATCACCAGGAGAGCTTATAAAGAAAACCATGCAAACTCCAAGTAAACATGCTAGAATGCAATTTATGGTGGTAGATCAGCATTTGATGTCACTTGTTCAGGATTCCAGTGCTGAATCAGAATCTGAGGCTGCATCTGAGATAACATCACTGGAGTATAAGCCAAGGGCAGCAATGATCCCATCTCATGTGCCGATTCTGATTAATCTACAGTGGCTCCCTAGAACACTGTACTAAAAGAAGTTGGGAGGCTTGGTCTGTGCTGAATGAAAAAGAATGCAATGATCGGCTGGGCACAGTGGTTCACGCCTGTAATCCCAGCACTTTGGGAGGCCGAGGAGGGCAGATCACGAGGTCAGGCATTCGAGATCAGCCTGGCCAACATGGTGAAACCCATCTCTACTAAAAATACAAAAATTAGCTGGACGTGGTAGCGCGTGCCTGTAGTCCCAGCTACTTAGGAGGCTGAGGCAGGAGAATCTCTTGAACCCGGGAGGCAGAGGTTGCAGTGAGCCGAGATTGTGCCACTGCACTCCAGCCTGGGTGACAGAATGAGACTCCATCTCAAAAAAAAAAAAAAAAAAAAAGAAAAGAAAAGAAAAAAGAAGGAAGAGAATGCAATTATCAATTAGTGATATCTGGCCCGGGCAGGCTAGCATAGTAGCCCAAGAGCATGACTATTATAGCTAGAAGGACTGAAGTTCCAGCCCTATCTCTGCAACTTACTAGCCAAGTCTTTAAGCAAGTTACCTAACCACTTTCAGGCTTGTTTATTATCTGTAAAATGCAAATAGATTATAGCATCTGCTTCACAGGGTTATTGTAAGGATTGTTGAGATAATTCATGTCAAGTGCTTAGCACTGTATCTAGTAGAGTGCTCAATAAATACAAGTTGTTATTATCATAAATATTATGGGCCCAGATGTGGGGCAAGGCAGCTTGTATTCAGCATATCTGCCATCCCAGGTGCAGACTTATAGGAGTCCTTGAAAAGACTTGTGATTAAGACACCATTTAAGGGCACTTGTAGAGACAGTCAGGACTTCTTCGTTTCTAGGATATTATTACAAGAAGTTTTCAGTTGATGTTGATATTTTGCTTTATTCAGATTCTCTCCAAGAAGTCCTTTGAGCTCCAGCTATACTGAACAACTTGTTTCCCCAATTCATTGTGTTCTCTGCCTTTGTGCCCCTGCACGTACTGTTCCTGCCTGGGATGCGTGTCCCTACATTACCTACCTATGCCCTATGCTCTGGGATAGTTCACATAAGATTGGCATTATCTATTTCTTGAATATTTGATAGAACTTTCCAGTGAAGCAATCTGGGGCTAGAGTTTTCTTTGTAGGAATATATATATTTAAATAAAGGACAGATTCTCACTATGTTGCCCAGGCTGGTCTTGAACTCCTGGCCACAGGCAATCCTCCTGCCTCAGCCTCCCAAAGCACTGGGATTACAGGTGTAATCCCACTGAGTCTGGCCAGATATTTTAAATGATATATTTAAATTCTTTTAGTTAAAAATTGTTCGGGTTTTATATATATTCTTGAATTAGTTTTGATAAATTGTAGGTTTTTTCTTTTTAAAAAATCCATCTTGCTGTTTATCTCATAATCACAATACCATCAAAATATCTGGGGGAAATTTTTCAAGAAAAATTAGAGAACGATAAGTACAATAGAAATTTTTGGTTAATTTGGAAAGATCTAAAAAATGATAATTATTTAGGTTTCTAACTATAAAATTGTAAGTGACTAGGTATTGACAAGTTCAGAAAAGCTCAAGGTTTGTAAAAATGTTCAGCCTAGTAAGATTCCATAGTGTGACAGCCTACTTATTTCCATGGAGCCAAGGGAATTCAACCTGAAGGACAAAACTGGGACTCTCCTATCAGAATCCCTGCCACCTTCTCTGTGCCCTACTCTTCATGACTGGAAGAAATTTTCTCCTTCCTTAGAGATGGGAATGCCAAGTCATATTCTCTCAACACCATGCCTTAGAGTAGAACCCTATGCTCAGACCCCTAAAGTATTATTATTATTATTTTCCACACCAATAGTAGGAATAGAATTTCCACTGGGAAATAGGCCATCTAACTACAGAACACTTGTCTTGTCATTTTAAAAGATGTAATCAAAGTATAAATTACTAGAAAAATTAACAGACATAGACATAAGAGGTACAAGATTTTAATTAAATTCAACAACATAAAATTGCTCTGCCAAATTTCTATAAAAGTTTCCAAATATTCTCAATTCCTATACTTTATTGTTGCAGACAGTAACAAACAGTTCACACACAGAGATCAGAGCCTGGGTAGAACTGGTCCAGAACAAGAGATCATTCCTGAGCTTTCCATTTGAAATTAGACTCTTTGGGTCCATGAAGAGGAATTCACCTTGAAAGCCAGGATTTATTGAGAGAGAAAGGGTTTTGTATGTTTCCAAAGATTCCCTTTATATATCCAGAGCAGACCTGAGGGGTCTGAGCAAAGGGTTCTACTCTGAGGCACGGTATTGAGAGAAGCAGGATATGACTTGGCATTCCCACCCCTAAGGGAAGAGAAAACTTCTTCCAGTCATGAAGAGTAGGGCACAGAGAGGGTGGCAGGGATTCTGAGATGAGAGTTCTTATTTTGCCCTTGAGGTTAAATCCCCCTGGGTCCATGCAAACAGCCAAATATATTTGGGGAACCCCCAAACTGCTTCCCTGGGTCTAGCTTGGGAAGACTGTGGGTCTCTCAGAGTTGTCCTCACTCAGTATAGCATCATGTCAATCTGGCATGGAAGCAAAAGCCTGCCATGGCAGAGGGAAGTGTCTAGAATGATGATCCCAATAGAGCAATCTCAGATTCCATACCTATATGTGGCGTCAGCAGATCCAGTTCTGACTTTGTTCCAGTAGGGGAACATAGAAGTGCAGAGAGGCTTGTTGGATGGGAAGAGGCCTGAGGTCAGAGGGAACAGAGGGTCCTTGTGGGCACAGGCAATGATGAGATCCATAGTCTTTGGCAGTGAGAGCCACTAAAAATGTCTTAAATAACATAACACATCTCTAAGAATCATCAAAACTACAATGCTGAGACAAGCAGCATTGCCTTGTTGATTTCAGTTTTTGGAATGTAAATTTCTGAACAGTAACTGCTGCTGTAACTGAATGGAATGGCTTCAAAATGCTAAAAATTTGTTAAATAACCTAGGCAGGTTCAGCCAGGGCCGTGATAACTCTTCTAATTGAGGGTTGAGAGATACTGAGGACAAAGGCCTTGGAGTTAGACTGATCTGGGTCTAATCTTGGTTCTGCTATTTACTTGCTCTGCAACTTTGGGAACATAATTTCTCTCCTAAGTGAAACAGAGATAGGAATATCTACCTTGCAGCGTTGTGGTGAGGATTAGCAAGTATGCATGTAAATAGCCTTAACCCTGGGTATTCACTGAATACCTAGAAGATACTTGAGAAATGGAAGCTCTTTTTATATTGATTTGGGCTTTGCAAGCTGCTAAGAAACTGACACCCTCCTCTTTCAGTTCTACTTTCTTTAGAGAAAGAAGCAAAAGATTCTCATTAAATGTATTCCACGAAGAACAGACTGACACCAACCTCTTCATATGCCTGAGATTTCTATTTTCAGCAGAGCCCACTCCAACTTCAGAGGGAGAGTGTATTACAGTTTTACTATTAATCAGCATTATCTGATGACAGACTTGTTGACTGTGAAAGTCTGGTTTTACTTATTTCTTTTGTTTTATTTTAGTAGACAGAATGCCGTATTTTTTTTAAACAGCTTTATTGAGTTGTAATTTATGTACCATACCATTTACTAATTTAATGTGTGCAAGTCAATGGCTTTTAGTACATTGATAAAATCATGCATCCATCACCAATCTCAAATTCTAGAACATTTTCATCTCCCCACAAAAGAAACCTTACACCCACTAGCAGTCAAAGCCATTTCCCCACCTTACCCCTCAGCCTCTGATAAGAATGAATCTACTTTCTGTCTCTATAGATTTGCCTATTCTGGACATTTCATATAAATGAAATCATATAATATGTGACCTTCTACAATTTGGTTTCTTTCAATTAGCATAATATTTTCAAGGAAAATCCCTTATTCAATGGTGAAGATATCTTATTATGTCACAGGAGTTCAGTGAGGGCCATTCATTCCTTGGTAGTGTCTTCTTGAGGCCCAGGCACTCTTTGGATCCTTTCTCAAGCCCAAGTTTACTGTCACAGGAACCCCAGGTCCACAACAGCCACTTAAGAGCATCAACTTGCACCCCAGACTTGGATTTAAACACTTTGGATCACTGAATCCATATTGGCAGTGGAGCTGATGTGCTTGAAATTAAGATGCATTCTAATGCTCAGTCTCCGTTCAGGCACTATCATGTAGATCTCCCAAGGGGTCTATAGACCCACACAGGAAGCTGGCATAGTGGTGGCTTTTGAGGCAGACTCTATAATCTTGAGAGGTAGGTGTGTCATTCAAGCTCCTGTGGTTAGATAGCTCTGGGGGCTGCTAACAAAAAAGGAGAAAAAATGTCCTGAATGTCACAAAATCTGCACTGAATTCAAGTCCAGTCATTCAGCTACTCCATTCTCTGTTATTCTCCTTGTGGAACTGAAATCTCATAAAACAAGGTGTGTGCATCATAGTTCGCAGAGGTGCTCTGCAATGTCACTAGAGGAAGGAGGAGAGGTTGCAGCCTAAATTATCCAGGGCACCACGGTGGGGAGTCAGGGGGGTGCAGTTCCCAGAACAGAACAATCCAGGTTCAGCTAAATAAAAGGCTCCAAGAGACTTAAACTGTTCAACAGACAGCTTGGAACAAAAGTCACAAAACAAAATTGGCCTCAACTTCAAGGTTAACCAACTGAAAATAAATAAGCATATGTGTAAGAAAATCTTAAAAGCCAACTGGCAAGTTTTGCAGAGGCTAGGCAGTAGTTTGGCCCCAAGGCCAACGGTGGGGCTAAAGTTGGGTCTCCCCCTGGGTTACCAAGGAAGGAGCTTCTTTAGCCAGATAGGATACCAATAACCGAGAACAGAAGGTCAGCAGCATTCTGAAATAGATAATAGGCCAAGTCATTTTGTAAGATATCCCAATGTTTCCTTCTAACTTAGTGAGAAATTATCCCAGGCATAGCAACAGTCACCAGAATTTTAATGCTAGAACAAACCTCAGAGGTCACTAGTTTGATGTGCTCTGTTTCCAAATTGGGAAGTAGGGTTTAGAGAAATTAACGGACTTGACCAAAGTCATACAGCGATGGAGTTGCAGGTCCAGGAGATCCCAGACTACCTGACTCCAGTTCAGTGTTTTTTATATCACACAGCCTGATTCCTAATGTGTGGCCTCTGGGAATTCTTGTTTCCTAATGGCACTATGTCTCATGTGGGCTTTTATTACAAATCATATTTATAGTTAATAGCAACAGTATTAACAGTCCTCTGGTGGTAAGAACTACCTGCTCACCAGTTTTTGTTTTTCAGGCTGAACACTGACTACAGGAGATTGCAATATACACGTTTTTCATTTCCCTGTTGGCAAAAAGAGATTCCTAATAAATCTTGCTTTCTGAAGCTGCCTCTAGGGATTGTGGGTAAAATTTAGGATATTTATTCAATGTCAACAAGAAAACAGTTTCCTCATACTCAAAGTCAAGGTGTATATTATCTAGCTTAGCAACTAAATCTGGCCCATACAGAGAAGCAGTAACTCTATAAGGGTTGATTTGTGAGCTAAAATAATAAGCTCTGTGAAGTTCCTAGAGGAGTGCAGGTGAGTGAGGGGTGTGGGTGACAAGGGAGGGCTTCATGTGGGAGATGGGAAGGCTTCATGGCTTTTAGTATATTGATAAAAATCATGCATCCATCACCACTGTCAAATCCCAGACCATTTTCATCTCCCCAAAAAAGAAACCCCATACCCATTAGCAGTCATAGCCATTTCCCCACTGTATTAGTCTGTTCTCCCATGGCTATAAGGACATACCCAAGACTGGGTAATTTATAAAGGAAAGAGGTTTAATTAACTCACAATTCCACAGGGCTGGGGAGGCCTCAGGAAACTTACAATCGTGGTGGAAGCGAAAGCAAACATGTCCTTCTTCACATAGCGGCAGGAAGGAGAAGAATGAGTGCCCAGAGAAGGGGGAAGCCCCTTACAAAACCATCAGACCTCATGAGAACTAACTCATTATCATTAGAACAGGATGAGGGAGACTGCCCCCATGATTCAATTATCTCCACTGGACCCCTCCCGAAACACATGGGGATTATGTGAAATACAATTCAGGATGAGATTTGGGTGGGGACACAGCCAAACCATATCACCTGCCTTATGCCTCAGCCTCTGACAACAACTAATCTACTTTTTTCTCTATAGATCAGGGAAGGCTTCAGGTGGGAGGTGGGACATAAGCCAGCCTTTAGATAGAGTAGGATAGAGCTGATGAAGGGGGTCCTTATGCCAAGAGAAAGAAATATGAGGAGTGAGGGCAGAGCCATGGGAATGAGCAGAGCATTTTCATGATGAGATGGCTAAGCTGGAATAGAATTAGGTGTGGAGTACAAAGGAATAAGGCTGGATGATATAGTTCCTGGCAACCCAGAAAGAGGATCATAAATAGAAGCCACAGAGACATTTTAAGCAAAGAAGTGGCATTAATGTAGTTGTTCTGGCATGCAGGACAAATTGAAGGACACATAGACCAGAATCATGGGAACCAGTCATTACATCTCTATTGCAAGACACATCTATAAAGCACCAAGGGTCTGAATTAGGCATCCCAGTACAAGTAGAAAGGGAGTTACAGGCATGGCATACATTTCAAAGGAAATATTGGGCCCATGCCACGTGCTTGTGTTTCCTTAAGGTAGCCTTTGCTCATTCCTCCTATTGCTGAAACAACAAATAGTTTTACTTACAAATATTGTGTTTTCTAGATGTCTATATATTGATATTTGTATGTTTCTCATGATTTACTTGATTTTCCAAATGTCTAATTGCTTTAGATGAGGTTTAAATTTTTGGAAGAATTTTTCAGGGTGGAGTTATCATAATACTTTATAGTCTTCAAATGACACGTCAAATATTTTTGAAATCTTTAAATGCTCTGAAGTTTTCAACATATAGTATATTAGTCAGGCTCTTGCTGTTTCAGGCTACAAGAAAGAGACACGGTCGGGGGCAGTGGCTCATGCCTGTAATACCAGCACTTTGGGAGCCTGAGGGCGGTGGATCACCTGAGGTCAGGAGTTTGAGACCAGCTTGACCAACATGGCAAAACCCCGTCTCTACTAAATACAAAAAGTTAGCCGTGTTTGGTAGTATATGCTTGTAATCCCAGCTACTTGGGAAGCTGAGGCAGAAGAATCGCTTGAACCCAGGAGGCAGAGGTTGCTGTTGGCCGAGATTGTGCCATTGCACTCCAGCCTGGGCAACAAGAGCAAAACTCTGTCTCCAAAAAAAAAAGAAAGAAAAGAAAAGAAAAAAAGAGACACACCCAGCTTATGCTAAGTGTTGGAGCTTTATTGTTGGAATTTACAGGGAAGTAAGGGAATGGGTCAAGTGCTCAGCAGTTTTGCAACCATTCTGTGTTCCACATTCTGGTCCAAGGCTTTCAAAATGGAATGCACATTAGGCCTAGACTGGACTGGGGAGCAATAAAATACTTTGACATGATTCAGGTTACTGCAGAGACTCCTGTGACCCTCCTTTTCTGTAGTATCTTTTACATTTCCCAAGAGAGGATGTGATTGCATTGTTGCTATCCAGTGTGAAGGACCACCACTAGATAGAGTTTTTCCCCAACACAGCACATTGAGTAGTGCTCTGCATCATAGTTAATCCATACTTGATTGCGTTTGACTGAAGGCCAATTCCTATAGTAATTAGCTGTGGCAGGGCTGATATCTCTCATCACAGATGAACTGAACCGTAATTATTCAGGCAGAAAGAAATGCTTGGGGTCGCTTTGCTTGCAGAGGTCTATGGCAGACACTCAGAGCTTCCTGTCTAGTTTATATGGGTCGGATGATAGTAGAAACGAGTGTATGGAGATGGTATAGTGGGAGGAATTATCTTTACCCAAAAGAGGCATATGATAACTTTCTGAGTTTTAAACTTAGGAAGACTGCTGGGTCTCAAATGGACAAGGATTCCTACATATTTTGAGCTTATCCCTAGCTTCTGCTTACATCGAAAAGTAAAATTTTCCCTTTTCCTCCCCTAATGAGTCAGAAAATATGGTCCCATGGCATACGTGGGGATTGTCGTGACTGTATTTTATTGTGGCTGTTATTGGAGATTAGATATCAGAGAAGGTCAACTGATCGACTTCTCTTTTTTTCTTCCTGTAGTCAAAGATTATCTAAATGAACTTGTCTGAGGTTATCAGCAACCAATGAATATTTAGTAACTCCTTTATATAAGTAAGAAATAAATATCAGCTTCAAGAGGTCATCTCATGATTTCATCTCATAAAGTAGCTTTGACCTATTGGAGTGGTTCCTGGAATATTTTGGGTTGAAAAGGATTCTAAGGTTTTGGTCCTTCTCAGAAGGAAAGAATGCCCATAATGATTAGTGACGAATACTTGAAGACAGGAGGGAGGGAAAGCACCATGCATGTGGTACTCATCAACCTTCTTATACCCCTCGCGTGATTGTCAATAGGCACACTCTCCTCCATACCACATCCCAATTCACGAGATCTAAAACTTGGAGATGTTATGGAAGCCTGATTTTTTTTTCTTTTTTTTTTTAAGACAGAGTCTCTCTCCGTCACCAGGTTGGAGTGCAATGGCATGATCTCGACTCATTGCAATCTTCGCCTCCCAGGTTCAAGCAATTCTCCTGCCTCAGCATCCTGAGTAGCTGGGGCTACAGGCGCGGGCCACCACACCTGGCTAATTTTTGTATTTTTAGTAGAAACGGGGTTTCACCATGTTTGCCAGGATGGTCTCGATCTCCTGACCTCATGATCTGCCTGCCTCGGCCTCCCAAAGTGCTTTTTTATTTTTATTTATTTATTTACTTACTTTTTTTGTTTGTTTGTTTGTTTTTTGAGACTGAGTCTTTTTCTGTCATCCAGGCTGGAGTGCAGTGGCACGATCTAGGTTCACTGCAAGCTCCGACTCCCAGGTTCATGCCATTCTCCTGCTTCAGCCTCCCGAGTAGTTGGGACTACAGGTGCCTGCCACCATGCCCGGCTAATTTTTTTGTATTTTTAGTAGAGACGGGGTTTCATCATGTTATGCAGGATGATCTTGATCTCCTGACCTTGTGATCTGCCCACCTCGGCCTCCCTATTTATTTATTTTTTTTTTTGAGACAGAGTCTAGCTCTGTCACCCAGGCTGGAGTGCAGTGACACATTCTCAGCTCACCGCAACCTCCGCCTCCCAGGTTCAAGCGATTCGCATGTCTCAGCCTCCTAAGGAGCTGGTATTGCAAGTGTGCACCAATACACCCAGCTCATTTTTGTATTTTTAGTAGAGACAGGATTTGCCGTGTTGGCCAGGCTGGTCTCAAACTCCTTACCTCAAAGTGAGCTGCCTGCCTTGGCCTCCCAAAGTGCTGGGATTACAGGTATGAGCCACTGCACCTGGCCATGGGTGTCTGACTTCTTTTGCTTTATTCCCACTCAAGTCTGTGTTATTGACAAAGCCTTTTCAAAATCTCTCCTTTTTATTCCTCTAGCTCTAACCTTGGTCCAGACACCAGCTGTATAGACTATCAAAGCTGCTGTCATTTAGAGGGGAATAGTAAGTATAGTCCAGGGGATGTCAATTGGAAGCCCAGAAAAAGTCCCACAGTTAGCAGATCCCTGGGACTCTCACCATATCAAGATTTAGTCCCCCTCAGCCTTCCAGGTCTAAAAACTCAATAATGTCAGTGCCCCAAATTGGACATAAAGGGAAATAAGTTATATGAGTCAAGTCATCGGAGACTGATATATAAAGCATTACAGTAAAATATTTACCAGCCTTGCAGAAAACTGTAAAGTCCCCTGAGCTACACATTTGTCCCTGGTATGGACTCTCCTGGCAAGTCAGTACATGGTCAGAAGAGGTTCTGGTGAGCCTGAAACTGAAGTCGTAAGCTAGTTGTGTGATCCAAAGGGAATCAAGCCATGATGGCCCATCTCCACCCAGACTATCTTATCTCCACTTGCCCTGGGTTGTTCTGGGTGAGCACTGCCATGCTCCAACCTTTGCTGGCCATCATGCTGATGATGCACCCTCGTTAGCATGCTGTTTAATGGCATTGACATCACTTGGCTACTTTGGAGCTACTCCATTCACTTTGATTTGAACAACTGCCTTGTAATATGGAGTGCTGAGTTTTATTAGCTGAACACTTGCAGGTTTGGGGGTCCCCCACTCTCATGCCCACCTTGCCCGTTTGCTGACTGCTTAGCCAGCCTCACCACCTCCAGAAAAGCCCTTCCACAGACAGTGTCTCAGGAAGTCCTCACAATGTGCTTGGGGAGCAGGTAAAGCATGGCTTACCACTCCTATTTTACACAGTAGGGAGCCAAGGCTCAAAAAAAAAACAACAACAACAAAAAAAACAAGTTATCCAAATTGTCATAGTTTTGCTGCAGCTTATGTGTCCCAGGGCCAGGCCTGGGACTGTGTCTCCTGACTTAGGGGCCCATGTTTTTCCTGCTACCTGCCTCCCTGTTCTTTCTCCATTAAAGTTGCCAAGATAAAAGTTCCTACTCGCCGCTCAGAGTGAACTTCCTAACAATGGGTTTTCAGGCTGCCACCTGGCATCTGACTCCCAGCTCCCTATTCCCCTGATTTTCCTTTCTGCTCAGTAGGCAAACCCTGCTCCTGTTCCCGCTTGCCTCTTTGCTTCAGCCCCTGCCTTGGCAGTGCTAAGCACAGAAAAAACAAGTTCAGGGTGTGCTTCTGGGTCCCGTTTGAGTGCCCTTCCCCAAGCTTCACGGGATATCAGTTTGGCAGGTCACCTTCTGCTGGCACAGGGCTCGGGGACCTTGAGATGGCGAGGGGCGGGGGAGGGATGACCAACTGAGAACTGAATATTTTCAATGCATGTTTGACTCTCATTTCCATTCAAGGCTCCTCATTAGGCCACAGATGCACCGCGGACCTGTTCTTCCTTTTGGGTTGGCAGGCGCAAAGCCCCATTAGCAGTAATGTGCACCAGTGGGACTCCAGGGAGAGGAAGAAAGCTGAAAGGGCTGGAGTTCCTGGTCCAATTTTTAAAGAAAACAAGAGAATAAAAGGCCCATAAAACTCAGAAACACTTCTTCCCTTGGCTCATTCACATGGAAATGCAAGTCTGATGATCATGGACAAGGAGGTGATGGCTCCAGGAGCAGGGGTCAGGGTGACCTCCAGCTCCTCAACTCCAGCCCTGTGTGCACCAGCAAGGTTCACCCCCAAGCCACCAGTGCCAAATGGAAAAACTTTATTGTCATGTCTTTGAACACTTGGCAGGAAGTACCACGGGTGTTCCAATTATTAAACTAATAAGCACTCGACCTTGGTCAGCCCACTTTCTGGTGCACGTACTCCTAAGAGTTGGATGCAGGGAAAATTCCCGATCATGCATGAGGTGCCCCTTTGATTGCTATATTCACGATATGGGGCAGAATGAGGATAGCAGTAATGACTTTGGCAGTGGCTCTCCAAGATTCTTCCGAAGGGCTGTGCGTGCAGGTAGGGTGAGCTCAGGCCCGGGAGGTGCCTGGGATAATACTAGGAAAGGAAGCTTTAGATCTTGTTTCTTGAAGCCTAAAGAAACAGATATTGAAACGAGATCCATGTTTTGCAACCTAGCCTCTTAGTGACAGACGTAGAGAGAGTAGTACTGCCTTTGTTGCATCATTCCGCTTGTTACTTAACCTGTGAGGACACCTGCCCTGAGCAGAGCATTACAGATGACGCACAGAAAAATGCCAACCCTGGTTCCACTGGCACAAGCTTCACCTTCATTCACTGGAGCCTCAGCCCATAGCCACCCAGGGAGGCAGGCAGGGTGGTGTTAACCTTCCCATCTCACAAATGAGAAAACTGAATTGGCATATAAATGATTTGTACATGGTTAAGAGTTAAGACTTGAACCCAGGACTTCTGACCAACTCCAGTACTTTTTTTTGCAAGAATTTATGTTCTGAAAAGATCTCAAGCTAACCCACATGGTGAGGATTGGGAAGGGACATCAAATTTGAGACTACGATTAACTCTCAGTTTGAAGACAGCTTTCATGACATCTGGGATTCCCAAAGAACCACCAGTTACCAGGCTTTCTGTAAGAGGCCTAAGCTGAGACTCTCATCTCCAGGGATAGGCTAATACTAACATCATCAAAACAGATATGCTGTGTCCTTCAGTTTAGAAAACTGACTTCCCCTGCACAGTTTCACATTGTGCTCTCTACCTGGAGGCCAGGTTTCTCATCACCCCTGCCACTCACTTGAGCCTCCCTCCATGGCTGCTGACTTCTTTCTTTTCTTTCCCTGGGTTTATTGCCCTTCTTGCTGCCTTCTCCACTTTGCTATTTGAAGATGATTGCTGATGGAGATCAGAAAATTTTACATCAGCACTTTGTATACACTGGAGGAAAGAAAATAGAGAAAGGGAAGATGCAGCCAGCCATTTCTCTGTTTTACCCGCAGGCCTGGACAGCAGCCTTTTCCACTTGCCTCCTCCGACCTGCAGTCTGAATTCCATTACCAGGACAGGGCTTGCCCCAGGGAGGGGACCTCCTTCTAGAGCATTCAATGAAGCTGCAAGTATGTTGGTGTCCACAGTCAGCAGAACCTCTCATGACCATTTATTACATACCTGGGATCCTCTTAGATCTGTCAAATAGGAATGGTACTGTGGAGCTGCACCAGCTGGCGTGTAGCCTCAACAGCCTAGGGTGCTGCCTAGGGAATAGAGGGGCTTAGAAAAAGAGGTGATTCCTCTACAGTGACACACCAGAGGCAAAACCGAGGCTCATTTCTACTTGTATTAATCTCTTTTTTTTTTTCCTGTAATCTGTATGATTGAAGGATTGAGAGGAGTATTCTGCATCTTTTTAAATGGCAAAATAAACTGTTCAGGTATCCACTGTTAAGGTAGAGGGGAATGTGGTGTTGCAAGAAGAAAATTGCCCTGCTAGCACAGATATGAGAAGACAACAACTCCCAGAGCATGCAGTCAGCACCATTACTTTCCCTTAACTCCCCAAGGTGCCCTCCTTGCATTTATCTTTCTCTCCTACATTGATCTTCACTGGAGAATAAAAATTAGAGACAGTGAGGAATTGCATGTGATTTGTACTGGGTTCCTGGATCCACGCCCTCCTTCCTAGCCCTGTTCCTCCAGGCTGGCTCCACTGTGGCCTTAATAAACAGAGGGTGGGGGGCTGATGAAGACATGCAGAGAAGACTTGACTGCAGTCTGTGGTGTGGGCTGGCCTGGGTACAAGTCAGCAGAGGCACATTCCATCAGTTGGCAATGTTATGAGCATAATAACTTCCTTAAGTGATACAGGTTGTAGTCTTGTAGCCTAAGTTCTACAGAGCTTCTTTAAAATGTTTTCTAAGCATGTTCAGCAATGGCAGTTTACTATTAGTAATATAAATCATAGACCAGTCACAATGTTGTTTCTTTTTAATATTCCCAATTTTCTTACACTAAGTCTCTGACCAATATCAAAAAAAAAGATTCTTCAATTCATATCATCCTAATCTAAATGAATAAGTCTATGAAAAATGGCTGTTTCCATATTAGCTTCTTTGGACTACTTTGGAGCAGTTTTGGTTTTCGACTCTAGCCCCTCTCTTCCATAAAGCAGCCCTGTTAAAAGACTCTGTTTTAGATCCCTGATTTTGGCTACTGGTGAGAACCATCAAGGGAAACAGCCAGCCCTCTGTGTCTGTCCCACCTACAGACCTGGACAGTGGCCTTCTCCACTTGCCTTCTCCGACCTGAAATCTGCATTCCATTCCAACACAGGGCCTGCCCCAGGGAGGGGACCTCCTTCTAGAGCATTCTTTCCTACAGTCCCTGATGTCTGTGTTCTGAGATAAAGCAAGGCTTGTACTCCATCCTCTTTGCCAAGTATCTGCTTATCACTAGGCAAGGCAAATATTATTGGATGTTTCAAATTACCACTAATCAAATTCCAGTGCAGTCCAAATCATCTGGTTAATCATTTTGAGCAGTCCTGGTATTGACAAGCCCTTGAAGGAGGTCAACAGCTTCAATGAGGATAAATATCAGCATGCCCTTTTGTACTGAATGTGTGAAATTGACATTCAAAGATATAAGCTCCACCAGGGTAGGAATTTTCATCTGCTTTTTCTCTAATCTATCCCCTAGATACACCTAGAATGCTACCAGAACACTACCCAGATGAGTGCCAGGGACATAGTAGGTATTCAAGAAATGATTCTTACTATTTTTTTTGCAATTTATTTAAATTTTATTGTATATATTTAAGGTGTGCAAGATGACATTTTGATGTACATAGTGAAATGGTTACTGTAGTCAAGCAAATTAACATATCCATCATCTCACATCATTACTCATTTTTGTGTGTGTGTGAGGCAAGAGCAACTAAAATCTCTTTTAGCAAAAATCCCCAATATAATACAATACTATTAGCTGTAGTCTTCATGCTGTACATTAGATCTCTATACTTGTTCATTCTACATATCTGCTGCTTTTTATATTTTGACCTATATCTCCCTATTTCCTTCCTCCCCAGCCCCTGCTCTTGTAATTACTTTTTTATTCTCTACCTCCGTATATTCAACTTAAAAAAATATTTCATATGTAAGTGAGATCATACAGTATTTCTCTTTCTGTGTTTAGTTATTTCACTTAGCATAATGCCCTCCAGGTTCATCCATGTTTTTACAAATGGCAGGATCTCATTCTTTTTTAGGCTGAATAGTATTCCATTGTGTATATGTACTACAGTTTCTTTAGCCATTCGTCTGTCAACAGACACTTTGATTATCCTGGCATTGCGAATAATGCTGCAATGAGTATGGGGGTGGATATATTTTCATCTCTTTCAGGTATATACCAAGAAAAGGGATTGCTGGCTCATCTGGTAGTTCTATTTTTAATTTCTTTCAGAACCTCCATACTGTTTTCCACAGTGGCTACATGAATCTACACTCTCCCCAACAGTGTAATAAAGTTACCTTTTCTCCCCACCCTCACAAACACTTGTTATCTCTTGTCTTTTTGATAATAGCTATTCTAACAGTTGTGAGGTGATACCTCATTGTGGTTTTGATTTGTACTTCCCTAATGATTAGTGATGTTGAACATCTTTTCATATACCTGTAGTCATCTTTATGTCTTTTTTGGAGAAAAGTATATTCAGGTCTATTTTTTGATCAAGTTATTTATTTTTCTGATACTGAGTTGTACAAGTTCTTTATATTTTTGTATATTAACTCCATATCAGATATATGGTTTGCAAATATTTTCTCCCAATCTATAGGCTGACTTTTCATCTTGTTGATTATTTTCTTTGCTTTGCCAAAGCTTTTTAGTTTGATGCAGTCCTATTTATTTTCGCTTTTATAGCCTGAGTTTTTGGTGTGATATCTAAAAAATCCTTGCCAAAGTGAATGTCAAGGAGCTTTTTCCCTATGTTTTCTTCTAGGAGATTTTGGTTTCAGGTCTTACATCTGGGCCTTTTATCCAATTTGAGTTTATTTTTGTGTATGTGTGAGACAAATTCCAATTGGATTCCTCTGCATGTGGAAATTTAGTTTTTCCAGCCCCTTTATTTTCACATGAAATATTCTTTCCTCACTGTATTCTCTTGGAGGCCATGTCAAAAGTTAGTTAACCATATATGCTTGTGTTTATTGCTGGGCTCGCTATTCTGTTCCATTGGTCTATGTGCCTGTTTTTATACCAGTACTTTTTAAAATTACTGTAACTGTATAATATAATTTTAAGTGAAGTAGTGTGGTGCCCCAACTATGTTTTTTCTTTCTTGGAATTGGTTTGGTGATTCAGGGTCTTCTGTGGTTCCATACAAATTTTAGAACTGTTTTTTCTATTTCTATGAAGAATGCCATTGGAATTTTGATAAAGATTACATTTAATCTGTAGATTGCTTTGGGTAGTATGAACATTTAGAATATTAATTCTTCCAGGCCTGGTGCAGTGGCTCATGCCTATAATCCCAGCACTTTGGGAGGCCCAGGTGGGCAGATCACTTGAGGTCAGGAGTTCAAGACCAGCCTGGCCATCATGGTGAAACCCCATTTCTACAAAAATTACAAAAATTAGACAGACATGGTGGTGCATGCCTATAATCCCAGCTATTTGGGAGGCTGAGGCAGGAGAATTGCTTGAACCCAGGAGGTGGAGGTTGCAGTGAGCTGAGATCATGCCACTGCACTCCAGCCTGGGCAACAGATTGAGACTGTCAAAAAAAAAAGGAATATTAATTCTTCCAATCCATGAATGAAGGATATCTTTTCATTTATTTGTGTCTTCCTTCTTTCTTTCTTTTTTCTTTTCTTTCTTTCTTTTCTTTCTCTCTTTCCATAGACAGAGTCTCACTCTGTCACCCAGCTGAAGTGCAGTGGCACAATCTTGGCTCACTGCAACCTGCGCCTCCTGGGTTCAAGCGATTCTCATGTCTCAGCTTCCTGAATAGCTGGGACTACAGGCATGTGCCTCCACACTGGCTAATTGTTGTATTTTTTGTAGAGATGGGGTTTTACCATGTTGGCCAGGCTGGTCTCAAACTCCTGATCTCAAGTTGTCCACCCACTTTGGCATCCCAAAGTGCTGGGGTTACAGACATGAGCCACTGTGCCCAGCCAATTTCTTTCATTAATGTTTTACAGTTTTCTTTGGATAGGTCTTTCACCTCCTTGATTAAATTTATTCCTAAATACTTCACTTTTTTTAAATGATAGGATTGTTTTCTTAATTTCTTTTTTGAAGAGGTCATTATTTGTGTACAGAAATTAAACAGATTTTTATATGTTAATTTTGTATTCTGCAAAGTTACTTATTCATTTATTAGTTCTAAGAGTTTTTCCTGGAGTTTTTGGGATTTTCTACATACAGGGTCATGTATTCTGCATGTATTACTTCTTTCTTTCTGATTTGTGTGCCTTTTATTTCTTTTCCTTGCCCAATTGCTTGGTTGAGTACTTCCAATATTATGTTGAATAGAAATGACTAGAGTGGGCAGCCTTGTCTTGCACTGGAACTTAAAAAAAAAAAGCTTTCAGTTTTTCCCATTGATTGTAATGTTAGCTGTGAGTTTTTCATTAATGGCCTTTTTTTGAGTACCAAAACAGTACCCAGATGAGTTCCAGGGCCATAGTAGGTACTCAATAAAATTTTTAAAATTGTGTTAAACTTTCCTTCCAGTGAAATTCACTGATCATAAATATACTATTCAAAAAATGTTAAACAAATGTACACCCCTATGTTATTAGTGCCCTTGTATATGGAACACTTCCATTATCCCAGAAAGTTCCTGAAGACTATCATCACCCCTGAGGCTGCTAGGCTGGAATGTAAGAAGAATGTTAGTTTTCACTGGAGCATGAATCTCATTGAAATGAATTTGAGAGAAAAGTTCTAAAATCTAAAATCAAAAAAAGGGGGGCAGGGAACCACACAAAACTAAGAACTCCAAGTTGTTCTTGTCCTAATCTTATCTGCCTCCCACCCAGAATCCCACTGAGGTATATCTTAGACTGTTCTGCAGTAAAACCTGGTTGCTTTTCTGAAGCTTTCCAGAATTTCTATCTAGTGAACAGATGGCATTGTTTTCATACAAAGAGCAAAAGAATTTCATGTATTCAAACACAGAAAACTTGAGAAAACACACAGAGCATGGGTAGTTACTATAATAGAGGAAAGAACATGATATGTCAACAGAGAGCTAGACTCTGTCCAAAACAAGAATCCATTTGGATCCTTGGTTGGTTATCTGGACTCTGCAGGGGAGTGTCAAAATTGAGGGTGTGTGTGCACTGATGTGCTAAAACAGGTGCAGGCCTGGCTAGGGTTTCATTCACAAGCATGACTGAATTGTTCTTTCTATATACAAAGTTCCTATTCTATGATTGGCCTTGAAAACACAGAGATAACAAAAAATGTCCAGTTCCTGCCTCCAGGGCTTGCAGCATGGTGGTGGAGACAGACTTGTAAAAGAGCCACACCGCAAATGAGAGCAAAGAGTAGAAGCTCCTAACTCAGCCTGGAGGAATCAGAGGAGGCTCCTGGGAAGAAGATGTCTGAGTGAGGGTTATGAGGTGGCTGGGAGCTGGCCAGGGAAGGGGTGGTAATGAGGCAAAGGACAAAATGAAGGCTTTCCAGACTAAGGGGAGAGGGTGAGCAAGGGCGTGGAGGCCCCAGGAGCAGAGTGAGTTCAGGGAGGTCATACAAGCAGTTCCTCATGGCTGATAGGGCAGGGAGTAGCAAAACATGAGGCCAGAGATGCAAGCTGGGGGTTAGAAAATATCTGAATGTAAGGAAATATCTGAGCACAACATTATACAAGTTCATGCAAATCACTTGCAAAACAAGATGTATCCTGTCAATAAACCTATTCATAAGGTTGAGAGGGTGGACACATTGGTAACAGAACCTCACTGCCAAGATCAACAGTTTGCATGCTGGAAGAATTATTTATGTATTCATTTAATCTAATCACATGTATACGGCATGTGCTAAGTGCCAGGCACTAAAGGCCCCCATGATAAATTCTATATTCCTAACACAATGACTAGCACTTAGCACTCTGTCCAAAGTGGGCATGCCGTAGATAATTGTTGAATGAATAAATGAATGACCAATTTGTGCTTCTGTCAAAAGAGTTTACAGTCTAGTGGGAGAATCAGAGAGGTAAGCAAATTATATTCTATCAAATCATTATACTTAGGATAGGGCAGGGAATTCATCTTACAAATGTCTGCAAGGGCCAGGCAAGCAGGGTAACTAAATGAAAAGATCTCCTGGTGTAAGACAATAGGGAATAGTGCAGACCGCAGCAAGTGGTGAGTATGAGCCCATTCTAAAGGGGAACAGCTGCTACTCAATTCCAAACCGATTAGGATCAAAAGGAGCTAGAAATTTGTATTTTAGTCAAAGGAAATGTTATTTTCTAAATTGGTTGCTCCCAGATGCTCAGGATTCCAGCAGAATTAGCCTGGTATGGAGGCAGTGATTAGTAGGAAAGAGACCTGACAAGCTGCCTTTCTGGATGGACGTAGTATGGGATTCAGTAACCTCTGTAATCAGAAGGGGACACCACAGCCCTCAGTGCCAAGAGGGTAAACCATGTTAGGTGCTGCCAGCATCCAAGACCCCTGCTCCTCGGTAGCCCTTTGGGCTCCTGTGCACCTAGCGAGACCGTAACTTTAAGTCAATCTCTGACCTTCTTAGGCCTGACCCAGGCTCCAGGGCAGCTCCTCCCCTAGACTGCCACGGGACTTCTGTGGCAGTGGCTAATTCCCTGGCCATGGGGATCTGTTTGGGGCTGTTTGTTTTGCAGAAGAAAACAGAAGGCCGCAGTGTATCGGAATTCTGCCCCTCCTCCTGCACTACTGCCTCCCCCACCACATGAAAGCTGCTGAGCAAACAGAGAAATCAAAGATGATTATACGCTGCTGGAAACCCGCGTGCTTCCGCCTGGCTGCATCTCCCTGCCAAACTGTTATGTAAGCCGCAGCCCCACTCAGGCCTGGAATCAAACAGAGATGCCATTTAGAGCCCTCCCGTGACCCGCTCCTCACCTGTAGCCTGGCTCAAACCGTGTCTCACCTGGAGTAGACCTGCCCAGGGAGGGCCATGCATGCTCTGTGGCTGGCAAAGTGGCTTTTCCATTTGTTTTGGGATTTCCCTCTCTCCTTTCCCATCCAGCACAGAGGTATGGATGGGTCAGGACCAGGCGTTTACTTTGGTTAGATTCCAAATGACTAAGATATTTTATGATGGAAAACTCCATTTGACAATCCCAGGGAGTTGAGTGTTTTTCACCCTCCTAAGTGAATAATTCACTTTGGCTGTTTAGATATCAGAGCTGAACAAGTGGCTCTGGAGCCCAAGATGACCTCCTGGCCAGAAAGGGCCTAACCGCACTGCTCTGATGACCAGTACTTATTTCTATTTAGGGATTCTGGGCATCTTCCGCAGCCCTAAACCACCTAAATGGACTTATAAGAGCTGTTCCTTAAATGCGTCAGTGACTTGGGTAAATGAGCTGAATTCTCAGGGCTTTATTTTTTTTTCTTTCTGCATCACTCAATGACTCCACAATAAGTGTGCTACAAGTTTTAAATGCTAATATTGGATTTTGGACACTGTTACAGTTATATCTGAAGTAAGATGTCAGGCTGTTTGGCGTTAACAGTGCCCAAGAGTTTATATTCGTATCTATTCAACGCTGACCTCCATTACTCTCTCCCTTTTGCAGCCTTAACTGACCATGCTCCAGTGTGAGGGACTCAGATCTCAAGTAGAAGAGGCCTGAACTTTGGAGTCAGATAACGCCTGTATTGGAGCTATAGCTTAGTCTTTCAGAGCCTATGGGACCTTGTGCTGTGGCCCGAACCATGCTAAATCCCTGGAGCCTCCCGATTTCCCTTAATTTTCCTACATTCCATCAGAAATGCACAAAGATTCCAAGAGGGCCAATTCTGGCTTTGGAAAATGATTCACCATCCTCCACCTCTCACTTGTTCCAGTATGGAAAGGGTGAACAGGAAACCCTTTGCTATTTGGTGAGATCGACCCAGGAGTGAGGCATTAGACTGGAATCTCTGGACCCTCATCTTTTTTTTTTTTTTTTTTTTGACAGAGTCTTGTTCAGTCACCCAGGCTGCAGTGCAGTGGCACGATCTCCGCTCACTGCAACCTCCTCCTCCCAGGTTGAAGCGATTCTTCTGCCTCAGCCCACCGAGTAGCTGGGATTACAGGCGCATGCCACCACATCGGCTATTTTTTTGTATTTTTAGAAGAGGCAAGGTTTCACCCTGTTGGCCAGGCTGGTCTCGAACTCCTGACCTTGTGATCCCCCTGCCTCAGCCTCCCAAAGTGCTGGGATTACAGGCATCAGCCAACACACCCAGCCCTGGCCCTCATCTCTTTTCCCATTAATGCTGGAGGGGGCGCCTCACAAACCAAGACACCTGCTAGTCGTTGGACTCACTCTTGATGACCAAGGTGCCGTATCTAGTAATTGATACAGTTATCTTTTCCTGGGAATATGAATAGCAGGTTCTTAGTCCTTGCACAGGCATTTTAAAAATGCACAAACCAAAGAAAAAAATTGCTTTTTCCAGATCCCAATCCCTAGCAGGACTAGTCAATAGGTCCCTGTATCCAGATAAGAGAAGGGATTTATGGGAGCATCCCATAAGCACATGGCAGGGAAAGAGAACAAATTCTAAATGTCCTGAGAACTGTTTTTTACCAAGCATTGCATTGTCACCATGCTGTAAAAGTAATAAACTTCCCTCCCATTGTCTGAATCTAAATAGGGGAACCAACCTCCAAGTCCAACCCCCTTCCTCAGGGAAACTGCTTCTCACTGTGCTTCAACATGACCTTTGGCTGGGAACTAAAATGTGAGTCTGAATTTGGTAAAGCTTGGATCCTTTCATTTTTCCCAACTCTCCCAGTCCAGAGGGATAAAAATCCCTGCTCCTAAAACCCAGTGGTCTCTGTGAATGAGCTCATCCAACTCCTGCTGGCTTTCTGGATAATAATGAAACTCACGTTGACCAGTCTTTCTACATTGTTTTATATATATATAGTTATATATATAGTTATATATATAGTTATATATATAGTTATATATATAGTTATATATATAGTTATAGTTATATATAGTTATATATATGACTTTATATATAATATAAAGCTATATATTTTTTAAATTTATGAAGATAATACTGATGTTGTTGGGACAGAAGCCTGAGAATTGAGCCTTTTTGCGTCCCCTTTCTCTCTCTGTCTCCTCCTCAGACCCTCAGATTTCCACCTGGAGAAAGGGGATGAGAGTAGAATGAAGTTGAATCATCTTGACTAAGGGAGGTGGTTTCTTCATCAGACATGCCCTCTTAACCTGGGTGGTAGTTGGAAGCTGAGGCAGGCAGGTAATAGGTAATAGCAGCCTAGTTAAAGCATGGAGACTGCATCAATGCCACCCTCAACCCCTCAACAAATGGGGCACAACTAGAACAGGATGTTTAGGACCAGAGAACGCTTTCACATGCCTGAGAACAAACAGAGTAACTGGTCAGCCTATCCGCTGATTTGTGAGATCAGCCCCTTGGAAGCCTTTTCTTCCATCCCAGGCATTATGACTTCAATTCAACAACTCTTAAGAGATGCACAGAGGAGCTTGAATCAGGAACATGGGGTTCAATGGTTACAATTCCCAAAGATGTCGAAAACAAAGTTTAAAAAGTATGTGACCATTTTGTCAATTATGTTTTCTCTATAAAATAAAAAAAAAAAGAAGCTTCGGGTATCACTGACATGTATCTTAAGATTTAGAGTTACACAAACACTCTAGTATATAATTTTTGAGCTTCCGCACTAACGTTAAGCATTAATAATTACTGATCAGTTTAATCTAGGCCATAATGTTATATACAGTAAATGAATTGTTTCTGGAAGTTTCTAAGAACAATTCTGAAATATGGATGTGGCTGTGGAGAATGAGGGTTTTTCTTTTCAATAAAAAATAAACGTTTTTTCTTTTTGCTCCTCCCCTGACTTTATTTTTTACAACAGTTTTAGATTTACAGAAAAATTGCAAGGATAGTACAGAGCTCCATGCACCTCTCCTTCAATTTTTCCTGTTGATAACATCTCACAGGAGTATGGTACATTTGTTATGATTAACAAATATTGATACATGATTGTTAATTAAAGCCATACATTAGAGAATGGGGATTTTACAGAAGGTTGGCATTAAAACTTCCCTGAAGTATCTAAACTCAGGCCTTTCACATGGCGGAGAGAAGCCTTTGCTGCCTTTGGATCTTCCCATTGCCATTCCAGACTGCCTGCTGCTTTCCCGAGTTCTTTCTGCAAGGGGCAAAATGTTTTCTGGTCAAAAAACTTGGTTGTCCATCATGCAGCAACAGCCACATGTCTTTCTTTTAAGTTGTTCTCAAAAACAATTTATAATAGCAGTGGAGTGAATTGGCTAAGAGTGGTGATTTTGGAATCAAATAGATTAAAATCCAGTTCTGTCACGTATAAGCTGTTATTTTATCAAGCTTTATTTTTCTCATCTGTAAGGGGAAATGATCATAGTGTCTTCCTCATTAATTTGCTATGCGTATTGAATGAAAATGTTTCAGAAGCACCCAGCATCATGCCAGGCATATAATACTAGTTCAATACTGGTACCTATTGTTAAGCTTAACAGGTGAGCTTTTTTTGAGAAGCAACTATGGTCAACAAGCTAGTCAATGAGTAATCTAGATCAATTTGATGAAAAATAATTTTTCCAACAAAGATCAGCTTCAAAGAGCAGTGGGGAGAAGAGACATCGTTGTGGAAGCATAAAATTAATTGCCTGAAGAATTCTCTTCAATTGGAAAGAACAAGGCAAGTATAGGGACTACTTATGTGAAAACATGTGAGGAATCCCAGCCTGGGCAACATGGTAAGACCCCATCTCCACAAAAAATACAAAAATTAGCTGGGTGTGGTGGTGCATGCCTGTAGTCCCAGCTACTCAGGAGGCTGAGGTAGGAGGATTGCTTGAGTTCAGGAGGTCAAGGCTGCAGTGAGCCGTGATGGTGCCACTGCACTCCAGCCTGGGTGACAGAGTTAGACCTTGTCTCACAATAAACAAACAACACATGCGAGGAGGTACCCACAGGCTTTTTCTTCTTTACCATTCTGCTTGAAAGATTAAGGCATCAGTAAATGTTTAGAGCAGCAGATATCTCTATTAGAGGCATTGTTGAGGGACAGATGATGTCCCAGAGGGAATTAGGAGCGTTATGGAGACCTGGCTCCTGCCTTCCTATTCTCCCCCTCCTCCCTCACCACCTCTTCCAATTCTGCAGCTCTGTGGATCTACTGCAACACATCAGACAGGCAGGCTCTCTGGGCTGGCCAAGTCCTTTCTTGCTGTACTCCTTCTGCCTGGGTGCACCACCACACCTGCACCTGGCTATTCATCAAGACTCAGCTTGGCTATCTCTTCCTCTGGAAAGCCTTCTCTGGTCACCACCACCCTGGTTAGCACATGCTCCCATAGGTTTCCAGTCTCCATTCTTAGGCTCTAACCCACTGCATCACCTCTCTGCCTCACTCTGTTGGGAGTACCATAGGTACACAAGTCTAGCATGGTACCCGGGATGTGGTGAGAGCTCAGAAAATATTGCCTCGTGCCTATTCTCTGAGCATCTCCAAGCCCAAGGGCTTTTGATTCTTCCCTCAAATGCTGAAGTGGAAACAGTTAGGGGAGGCACGTAGATGTAGCGAACGTTGCCTAGCTACACCTGATGCATAAAGGAGAAAACTTTAAAGGTGTCTCTATAAATAATATAACTAAAGCCAGTATAGGATTAAACAGTAACAGATAAATTATTTCATGCAGTGGTTTCCAAGCCCCAATGCAGGAAATGATGTTGGTCTGTTGTGAAGTTTTCCCAGGTTAATGGGGATTCTCCTCAAAAAATGGCCACTGGTCTCATGAGGGTATTCAGTGCTGTGGGCAGGGACTCTTGGCTAAGAATGGCCCCAGAGAGGGGGTCGCCCTGGTGTCCACTTCCTTCAGCACTCCCAGGAGAGATGCTTGGTCTGTCCTAGCCCACCTTCCTAAATATTGTGACCACTATGACAATACAGTGGAGGCAGCAAAAGTGAAGCAACTCCTTTGAGGTCACACAGCTACTAAGTTTTGAAATTAGGATCCAGGCCCATCTGTCTGACCCAGAGCATTTAACCTCTGTATTCCTAAGCAACCGGCATTTACTCATGTTGTAGGCTTGGTGCTCAGAAGGATAGAGTCTTCCTGTATGAGGCTGAGCTGGCAAACCCAGGTCCATTTTACATGTACATGTATTTCCAGGCTGGATGGCATTGGCGTCCATTTATCATTTAGGAAACATTTTATACCACCTAATTCCCTTCCCTCATTATCCTGTGGGTCTCTCTAGGACTGGGGAGGAAGGCAAGATTCCAGGGTGGATAGAGAGGTATCTTAATACCTTATAATACTTACCGCACAGTAGTCTCTACTCTGCACTTGAGGATTACAGTAGTATTCTCAGAGGGAGGATTACTGCCGTGGGTTGAGTAGCTCTGTAATGGACTCCAGAAGTCCCTAAATAGGTAAGTTGGATAAGAGCTTGGTATTTCTTTAAATAGGTAAGTAGGTCATTGCTGGGATTTGGTAATTGTTTTTAACATATAAGATTATTTGTAATAACCTTGGTATTTTCTTGACATAAAATTTAGTCTTATATAAAACACCCACTATAAGACACTCAATAACTTTTTGGTTAAATTTTTAGCACCTTATGGTCTATAGGACAGCACTATACCTGCAGCTGCAGCATAGATTCCCACCCAAAGAGGCCCTGGGCCCCACAGCAAAGTATTCTCCAGGTGTGACTCCACACACAGCCCTAAGCAGTGTGGGCTGAAGAGCCCCTAAGATCAGGCGAGCCAGCCGGCTGTGTTAGAGGAAGGTGCTCCCCGACCCTGCTGAGCAGCTGCGATAGGGGGAGCCGTTATTATTTATCTCAGGATGATCATCTCGACTGAAAACATTCCTTCCCTCTAAGGTGGTGACCTAGATCAGAGGTCAAATGTGAGCTGATCAGAAATGAAAACCCATCAAGCAGCCATGGAAACAGAAGCCGAAGGCAGACCCACATCTTTTCTCTGGCTTCTGTCGTTTGAGACCCAGAGCGAGTATAGCCTTGCTGTTCCCTCCCTGGGAGTTTATTCTGTGGTTTTGGCACAAGACGGCAATCTGGGGGAGAAAGCAAAGTCTATGGATATGGTTGCCTTTTCTCCTCTAAGCCAACTAGTGCCTTGTTTTTCTGTGAGCCTGCCACTGTGGGAAAATTGCTAGAGTGTAAAGTTTCCCTCTTTGTCCCCAGCGCACTTCATTTACCAGTGAGCCAAGCTGGGAACAGAGCCGCCTCTCACACAGCTCATGAATGACTCCATTTTCTCAGGGCAGCCTGTGCCTGCCCATTGTCTAACTGTCATGGCCTCTTGTATAGGTGTTCCCTGCAGTCCAGGCTGTTATGTAATGCCTGGGCAGGGAACACTGCGTGAGGGCAAGAGAGATCAGAGAGAGGAAAAACCCAGAGGGAAACCAAGACCAAAACGTCTTCCTGGAGAAGAAAGCGGGGGAAATGCTAGCCATTTGTCAGCTCTTTTCCTCTGGCTTGTTTGCCTGAGTGATAAACTTTGATTGCTGGCATACAAAGCCCCACGCTGGCTCCAGGAGCACTTCTCTTTATATCTATAAGACAGGATATGCAGTTCCCCTACGCCAGGGCAGCTGCCACCTAGGTCCTCCCACAGGACTGTGACAGAAAATCCTCCCCCTCTCTTATGGCCTAGGAGCAAAGGACTTTCCCTCTCCCAAGGCTCCACTTTCTGTTTCTCCTTCTCCTGCTATATCTTTGGCCCAGTGAGCTTCTCAATCCTGTTCAGAGAAGCACACACCTTCCGTGGGCTCACCTGTGGCGATTTCCAGGTAGTCTTGACTCTTCATCAGGCTCAGTGTTGAGAGGCAGCCATCACTTGGCATCCATGAATGGCACCCTTACCCCCATAGTTGTGTCACCTGGCTGCCATGTTCTGGGCTTATGTGTTCCCCATCATTCCTTTTGGCCACACTACCAGTATTGTGGTAAAATGAAGGGAGGTGAAGGGGTGTGTATCATTCTCTGTCTGCCCTAGCATCCCCTGCAAGCTTGTTCTGTAGAATACTAGCCCTGGGCTGGGCGCAGTGGCTCATGTCTGTAATCCCAGCACTCTGGGAGGCCGAGGCAGGATCACCTGAGGTCAGGAGTTCGAGACCAGCCTGACCAACATGGTGAAACCCCGTCTCTACTAAAAATAAAAAAATTTGCCAGGCGTGGTGGTGGGTGCATGTAATTCCAGCTATTAGGGAGACTGAGGCTGGAGGATTGCTTGAACCCAAGAGGCAGAGGTTGCAGTGAGCTGAGATTGCACCATTGCACTCCACTGGGTGACAAGAGCAAAACTCCATCTCAAAAAAAAAAAAAAGAAAGAAAAAAGAACACTAGCCTGGGAGCCACAAGAAGAGACTTTACAACAAGTAAAATAGGATTCCATGGATAGATATCATGGGGGAACGCTATATACTCTACCCCACTCTTATAAAGTCACAATGATTATTAGCATAATAAGACCCTGAAATGTTTGCAGTAAAGAAACCGATATCACTGTGGCGTAACATTTTCCAAACTTACTGAACATCTGGTCTACAAGCTCCATGAAAACAGAGACTTCACCTATTGTTCATGGTCGAATACACACTTCATAGCTCTGTTTGTGGGTATTCACTAAGTGTGTTAAACTGAAGTGAATTTAACTGAATCTTCATTCCAAGTTGTATCTATTAACCCTGCAGAACTAAGGTCCCACAGAACAAACATTGGCAAATGCTGGTTGATACCATGCACTAATGCTATCAATTACAATGACGAGATGGGAACACGAGCACAGGGAGACCCACGCGGAAACTTTTCTGGTCCTCACATGAGAACAGGCTGCAGAAGATTGCTCTGTTCCCAGCTCTTTAAAAGTGCCTGGCCCACCCATGAGCCACTCCACAGGGAAGAGGGTATGTGCATGTTTCTGGTGCTCGCACAGACCCCTTTCTGACTTGTCCCCCTACCCTCTCTTGTTTTGCTCACCCTGTTCTTTGATCCCTTGGCTTTGGAGTCTGCCTCACATTAGGTTCTTCTGATCTGATGCTTCTCTTTGTTATTAAAAAAAAAAAAAAATCGGCCGAGCACAATGGCTCACACCTGTAATCCCAGCACTTTGGGAGGCCAAGGAGGGTGAATCACCTGAGGTCAGGAGTTTGAGACCAGCGTGGCCAACATAGTGAAAACCCGTCTCTACTAAAAATACAAAAATTAGTTGAACATGGTGGTGGGCACCTGTAATCCCAGGTACTTGGGAGACTGAGGCAGGAGAATCGCTTGAACCCAGGAGGTGGAGGTTGCAGTGAGCTGAGATTGTGCCATTGCACTCCAGCCTGGGTGACAAGAGTGAAACTCTGTCTTGAAAAGAAATCATGAAAAAAACCCAAACAAAACCCAAAAATCTTATCTCAAGCTTGCTAACTTTGGCTTAGTTAGGTGTAAGAAAACCCTAGATTTGGACTGGGCGCAGTGGCTCATGCCTATAATCCCAGCACATTGGGAGGCTGAGGCGGGTGGATCACCTGAGGTCAGGAGTCGGAGACCAGCCTGATCAACAGGGCAAAACCCCAACTCTACTAAAAATAAAAAAATTAATTGGGCATGGTGGCAGGCACCCATAATTCCAACTACTTGGGAGGCTGAGGCAAAAGAATTGCTTGAACCTGGGAGGTGGAGGTTGCAGTGACCCGAGATCACGCCATTGCACTCCAGCCTGGGTGACAGAACATGACTCCATCTCAAGATAAATAAATAAATAAATAGAAAACCCTAGATTTGAATCCAGATTTTGCCATTTCCTGGCCGTGAGATTTTTAGAAATTTCTTGGGCCTATCAGAACCTCATTCTCCACTGTGTAAAATGAGGATAGTAACACGTGCCTCAGAGTTGTTGTGAGAATTAAATGAGCATGTAAGCCTTGCACAGTGGCTGGCATTTGGCCAGGGCTTGGCACATGGCTGCTATTATTACAATTGTTCCTCCCTTTCAGCTCTGAGCCTTGCCTGCCGCCTTCTTTTGGGCATCCGCCCAACTCCAGGTGAGCCTCTTTCTCTCTCTGCTAGGTTAGCTCCATGAGACCCAGCTGGCTAGGACTCTGGTCCAGATTTCCTCTGCCTCTGGGGACTTCTCCCTCCTCATCGGTCCCATCATTGCTGCAGCCTTCAGTAGTTCCTTGGACTCATCCTTTTACCACTTTTTAATCTCTTTTTGGGGCCCCCATAGAAGGAAGTAACCCTTCATTAGCCGAATGTTTTGTAGTTTACAAGATTCTAATACAGCACCCCACTTAATCCTCATCACATTGCTCTGCCTGAGTTGTCTGTCTACAGATGAGAAAAAATGTGACTCAGTGACTGCTTCACTCACACAGCAATCAAACATCAGAGGCTGGATTGGTATGCAGGTCTGGCTTCAGATGGAGCATCTCTGTCAGCCCTCACCACAGCTGCCACCTGGATAACTGTGAAGCATAGTCCTATCCTCTGGACCCTCAGGACCCTGCCACTGCCATCCACTTTCTACCTCCACTTAACGATCTGGCACAGCAATAAAAGAGGCCTGTAGGGAGAGGGCATGGGGTGAAGGAAAGAGATAGAGGAGGAAAGGTAAGGTACTGGAGTAAAGAAAAGAACAAAGGGTGGTCTTCCCTTTTAGACGTTCTTTATATCCCATCTGCAACAAATGTACAAGACCTAGTGACACATTCTAGATCATGTAGGCATCTAGGATGCCTTTGTCTTTGTAAGTCACAGAGCCTGTGGATGTGGGTTCCTGTGAAGGAACAAAACATGGTCTGGTGCAGTAAGCAGAGGGCAGCACCATGGACAGTCATCCACCTGTCTTCTAATCATGGAGGCACGAGCGCTAGAAATATAGTAAGTAGCAAGGAGAGGAGAGGAAGGGAGGGGGGAATCTTCTTTCTCTGTGGAAAGAATCATGCACTCTGAAAAGCAGGACTTTCGCGTTCTTCTCTGGGGGTGGTGAATACCGTTTTTGGAAAATCAGGAATGTGATACACATGTACAAGAAAGGAATGGTCATCCCTTACCCTCTGGTCTGGAGGTACCAGGCATAGCCTGTCACATGCTTCTCTTCCTTCTGGACCACTTTAATTATTCTTTCTTTCTCTAGCTTCCCAGAGGCCCTGAATAAATATCTCCTGTGTTATATTCACCCAGTAGCCTGGAAACAAAGAGTTTAAAACACTCTGACTTGTCATTTCTGTCTGCCATAAAGAGCACATCAAGAACCTAAATTTCTACTTTTTTACAGAAAAGGGATTAAATAATACTTCTGGTTTGAGCTCAGGTCATTAGGGGTGTTCTCATTACATATTCCTGCATAAGAACCCCTCCAAAAATGTAGTGGCTTAAAACAGCATTTGTTTCACACACAAATCTGCAGTTTTGGCAGGGTATAGAGAAAATAGCTCATCTTTGCTCACCTGGCATCAGCTGGAGCTGCCCTGAAGCTTCATGACAGACATGCAAGTGAATGAGCCTTCAGAAGTTTCCAGCTCCCAGCCTTTGTCTGTCAGTTCACTGGGAAGATGCAAAAATGAGAGCTAAAATAGCTGGGGTTCATTGGGCCTCTCTCTCCCTCTACATGATATCTCCACATGACCTTTCCAACATGCAGCTTCAGGGTAATTGGATATCATCATAAAGAGCAGCTCAGTGTTCCCAAGGTGTGGGTTGCCTCCCCGCCCCCGCTCCCCGCCACACATTTTCACTCTATTATCCAGGCTGGAGTGCAGTGGCACAATCTTGGCTCAATGTAACCTCTGCCTCCTGGGCTCAAGCAATCCTCCCACCTCAGCCTCCCAAGTGGCTGGGACTACAGGCATGTGCCACCAAGCCCAGCTAATTTTTTTTTTTTTTTTTTTTTTTGAGACGGAGTCTTGCTCTGTCACCTAGGCTAGAGTGCAGTGGCGCGATCTCGGCACACTGCAAGCTCCGCCTCCCGGGTTCACACTATTTTCCTGCCTCAGCCTCCCGAGTAGCTGGGACTACAGGCGCCTGCCACTGCGCCCAGCTAATTTTTTGTATTTTTAGTAGAGACGGGGTTTCATCATGTTAGCCAGGATGGTCTCGATCTCCCGACCTTGTGATCCGCCCGCCTCGGCCTCCCAAAGTGCTGGGATTACAGGCGTGAGTCACCACGCCTGGCTACGCCCAGCTAATTTTTGTATGTTTAGTAGAGACAGGGTTTTGCCATGTTGCCCAGGCTGGTTTCCATCTCCTGAGCTCAAGTGATCCACCCGCCTTGGCCTCCCAAAGTGCTGGGATTACAGGCATGAGCCACCATGCCTGGCCAGGTTGCCTTTCATAACCTAACTTTAGAAGTTATTCAGTATCATTTCCATGACACTATACCCATTGAAGCAGTCACAAAGCGAAGGGGAGATGGACTTCATTTCTTATTGCAGATGGAGGTGGCAAGGTTCCAGAACAATATGTGAGACTAGAAATATAGCTGTGGACATTATTTGAAAATTCAACTTACGACAAGGGTTAAATCAATGGAGGGGACACAAATGTGTTGGGTTACTCGTTTCTGAGCTGTCAGACACTGAACTAATGAACTTTTCTTTTGCCTTTTGGGGGTTATAAGTTGTAAGAGAATAAGCAATAAAACCAAATGGAGAACCAGTCATTTGTAAAAAGCATTCACTCCCTTCTTCCCTGGGTCGCTTCTTCAAATCACTGGCAATAGGCATCACCATTATTGTTATAAAGCTAAGGGAAGCTGGGGTTTTTAGAGCAAAGGTGAGAAAGTTGATAGCGATCGTCTGGATTAATCGCAGGGGGCAGAGACCCTCACTAGCTACTGCTCCAGCAACTGAAATAACCAACTAGGGAACTTATCATTTCTGCTGAGAGAAGAGTTTTACTCTGAGGTACCAGGGAGATGGTTCCATGACATAAATATAAGGAATTGGTTAGGATGAGGAATGAATAAAGGCATAAAACAATGTACGTTCCAATCCCACTAGGAAGGAAGGTAACATATTAATAACGATAATATATTAACAAATGGAGCACCATCCTACAGAACACTGAGTCTCTTTTGATGGAGAAGATGAAAAAAATGTCAAAATATGTGAGGGCCCCAAAATGAGCAAACGAGAGCTCAGTATCAACGTGCCTATCTTGCTGTGTTTAAAAAAAAAAAAAGCTTTGAAAATAATATGATAATCACCCATTTATAAGCTAGAAAATATAATGGATCTTTAAAATATAATATTCATAGTTATAGATATTATTTAAAATTAAGAGAAAAATACACTCAAGGAACAACAAAATAAACCCCACCCATCGAAATGACTAAGACACCTAGACAATATAAATTCTAATTTTGATTAATCTTAATGATTATTATTCAATTTAGTTTTTCAAACTGTTACTAAGGGCCTATTAAATGCCACCATTAAGCTGGAGTGCTTCAAGTTTCTTACAGATAGGTGAGGGTGACAGTCATAAAAAACTGATTATGTGGGGTGGTCTTGTTTTGTTTGTTTGTTTGTTTTAGACGGAGCCTTGCTCTGTCATCCAGGCTGGAGTGCAGTGGCAAGATCTTGGCTCACTGCAACCTCCACCTCCCGGGTTCAAGCTATTCTCCTGCTTCAGCCTCCCAAGTAGCTGGGATTGTGGGCATGCACCACCACATCTGGCTAATTTTTGTATTTTTTGTAGAGATAGGGTCTTACCATGTTGATCAGGCTGGTCTTGAACTCCTGACCTCAAGTGATCTGCCTGCCTTGGCATCCCAAAGTGCTGAGATTACAGGCTAATTATGTGTTTTGATGACACTTTGCCATAGGAGCATGTGGAAGGGCCACTTGGACTAGACTCAAGAGGCAGAAGGTGATTCTTGAAGAATAAGTAAAGTTTTAAATAGGGGGAGAAGTAAGGGAAGAGAAATTCATGCAGAAGGAACAGCAGGAATACTTGGAAGTGTACGTAATATGTTTGGCAGTTTTAGACCACGGACCTCACAAAGGTGAACAGTGGAAAAGGAGGTTTGAGAGATAGGTAAGGGCCAGATTATGGAGAGTTTACCAACTGTGGCAAGGAGCTTAGACTGTCTGTGGACAGTAGGAAAGCACCAAAGGGCTTTAGGCAATGTTGTGTCAGTGTTTGATCTCTCTGTGGGGATGGTCCAGAGAGGATAAAGGTGAGACCAGTTAAAAGGCCAATGCTGACCTCCAGGTGAATAGTGATGAGAACTCACATTAGAGCAGTCACAGTAGAGATATTCGGGGTGGGGCAAATGTGAGAAATATGTAGACACTGACTCACCAAGCTTGGTGATTTGGATAGGATGCAATAAGAGATAACCCCTAGGATTCTGGTACAGGCAACTGGGAGGATGATGCAGTGACACCAGATACGGTAGTAAACACAGAGAAGGAGAATAAATTAGTAAGGGAAAAGGAGATGATGCTGAGTCCAGTTTGAGGCATGTTGAAGCTGGATTGACAGGAATAGGTCCTTCTAGTATTTGGCACTGGACCACCATCCGATAGTCTTCCCCAGTCCTAGGGACTCCTAGAAAGAAACTAGGCTAGTCTTGATCTTGATAATCTCTTGTAATATTTGGGATAGGGGAGCAGAGAATGGAAGCCTGGAATTTATAGACGTGTTCCACTTATACCATTTAAAAATTTTATCTTGAAAAGGAAAATTGAACAAGGAAGACACCTGATATACTAGATGAGGATTAATTTAGGTTGAGAAATATAATCCATATAGAAACTATCTTCATTTGAATTTTATGTATTTCATCCTTTTACTTATTCTTTCTTTTACTTACAAATACTGTCTGAATACATACTATGCTAAGTGCTAAGGATATAAAAGCAAATGAGATATGGAGAACATCCTTAAGAGACTCACATTTGCATATTAAATTATTTTGACTTTTGTAGCTAGCAGTGCAAAATTCGGGTTCAATTTTAAACAATCAGTTTTTTCAGTTGAGGCTAAAGATGGTTTAGTGTTAAACAAAAGAGTACAGGATTTATGGCTAGGCTTATCTGAGCTATTCTAGATGCATCACCCTAGATAAATTAGTTAGACTAGCCAAGTTTGAAGAAGGAAAATTAATTCAGAGCAATTTTCCTGTTGAAGATAACCAGAAACTTTTTTTTTTTTAAAAAAAATGAGAACCAACAAGAGAGAGAATATAATTACTGAACCAATTTGGAGGCTTAAAAAGGTAAATTGGAAGATAAGGCTGCTCTATCCTGGGAGCATTTGGCAATTCATGAGGGGTTGGAGAAAGGGTAAGAGGCTAAATTAAGGGAATGGATTATATTCTAGGGCCTGCCAAGATGAGGAGAGTTGCTGGTAAATCTCCCCATTTCAAGTTGAGATACTGAAGAAGAATGAACTTGAACTACATAAGGCTTCCTAGACACTTCAGTTTACAATAATCTCAACTGCCTGGCAAAAGCAAATGTAAGTCCTTTCTCAATGAAGAATACATTTCTATAAGCAATTCTGCACGTACAATTATTAGCACATAATTTAAATATAGCCACATGAGGGCAGGTACGGTGGCTCATGCCTGTAATCCCAGCACTTTGGGAGGCCAAGGTGGGTGAATCACTTGAGGTTAGGAGTTTGAGACCAGCCTGGGCAACATAGCAACACCCCATCTCCACCAAAAATACAAAAATTAGCCATTCTCAACCCCATCTCAAAAAAAGTAAATACATAAAAATTAAAAAAATAAAAAAATAGCCACATGAAACAGGAAAATATGACTAATAAAATAGCAGAAACAAGGACAGTAGAAATAGATCCACATGAAGTCTTACAGATCCACATAGAGTCTGATTATTTAAATAACCAAAAACATTTTATAATATAAACATGTTGTGTCAGTCAGATTTCCAACCAGACACAGATGGAACCATCAAACTATGATAATATGAGGGATAATATTATTCCTTAATAAAGGAATAATTTTCAAAAGTATGGGTTGTGATGGGGAGAGATGGGGTCCAATACTCTGGGGCTATGAACAATGAGGAGGCTTTACCACCTGTAGGCTTGAAGAGTTACAGGGAGGGAGGAACTATCAGAATCTAGAGACAGAGAGTCTATGGTCAGGGAATGTGGCCAGCCCACAGTGACCCCACAGGAAGAGATCAGGTAAATCAGTACCGAATCTCACTCTCCTCCTTCCCTGTGGTCCTACTGGTACTTTACTTTAGCCAAACACAGCTAGAAGCCAGAGGACAAGAAAGTTAATTGATACAGTCCATGCAGATCAGGTTCCTGGAGAGGCAGCAGAGTGGAGAGAGTGAAGATATATCCATAGAGGTGAACAGAAGTATATAACATGTGCTGTTATTTTTTCAAGAAAATAAATGATTAAGGACTTAGCAAACTAGAAACTATATAAAAGAAACAAAAAGAAGTTCTAGAATTAAAAAATATAGTAGTCAAAATTAAGAACTCAATGAATAACTTTAGCAATTGTTGAGACCCAACTGAAGAGAAAATTTGTGAAGTGGAAGATAGGTCAGAAGACAATCATAGAATAAAGCATGAAGAGGAAAAGGATGGAAAGTCTACAAGAGATGGTAAGAGGTGTAGAAGATATAGTGGGAAGATCTAGTATATGTGTAGTTAGAGTATCAGCAGGCAAATAAAAGGAGGAAATAATGGAAGCAATATCTGAAGAAGTAGTGGCTGAGAAATTTTCAAACTCAAATACAACTAGAGAAAAAGGGACAGATTACTCTCAAAAGAGCAACAGTAAGACTTAGAGCTGACTTCTCAACAGTGGAAGCCAAGAGGCAGTGAAATTACATCTTTAAAAGGCTGAAATAAAATAGCTGCCCATCTAAAATGTTATGATAAGAATTTAAAAATCTATCAAGAATGAAGATTTTTTTAAGTTATTTGATTTCATTTTGTTTTCAGACAGGGTGTCTCTCTGTTGCCCAGGCTGGAAGGCAGTGGCACAATCTCGGCTCACTGCAACCTCTGACTCCTGGGTCACCTCAGCCTCCCAAGTGTCTGAGACTATAGGTGCACACCAACACACCTGGCTAATTTTTGTATTTTTGTATTGGATGGGGTCACACTATATTGCTCAGGCTGGTCTCAAACTCCTGGGCTCAAGCAATCCTCCTGCCTCAGCCTCCCAAAGTGTAGGATTACAGGCGTAAGCCACAGGACCCAGCCAAGAATTTGTAAGAAAAACTGCATTAAAACAAAAACCAAGGAAATTGTCACCAGCAGACTCATAACTGAAGAAAACATTAAAAAGTTCTTCAGACAAAACAAAAAAGTATTTCAGTTAGCAAGTTGGAGATCAAGGGAAGAATGAAAAGCAAGTCAAGAATAAATATGTGGTTGAGTCTAAATAAATATCAACCATACAAAACGGTAGTACAAAGTATGGGGAGTTTAAAATGTACAGAGAATCAAAATTCACAATAACAATGATTGGGAGAGGAAATCAATGAATTAACATCTAAAAGAATTAGTAAAAACTAGTAATTAGTAAAATTAGTAAAAACAGGTAACTTCCAAGTTAATAAATGGGAAAAGTGAAATAATCAAAATTCATCTGTATATAAACATACATATATGTGTGTATATGTATGTGTACATATACACACATGTATATGCATATACATGTGTAATCAGTATTCATCTGTATATATCAAACTTCATCTGTATATAAACATACATATATGTGTGTGTAATATATGTGTGTGCATGTATATGTATATATGTATACATATATGTATATATACACATATATGTATATACATATACAGTGATAGATTAATTTGCTTAACTATAAGTAATCATTTCACTATGTATATGTATATCAAAACAGCATGGTATAAACCTTAAACATGTACCATAAAAAGGCACTGTTGGGGATAAGAAAGACCTACTTCATTATGATAAAGTTGAATTCACCAGGAAAATATAATTCTAATTTTCTACATACTGCTAACATAGCCTCAAAATATACAAAAGAAAACAGAAAAACAAATTCACTATCACAAATGGTAGACTTTTAACATACTTCTCACAGCAAATGGTATAACTAGCAGACAAACATTATTAATCATATAGATTTGAACAACACAATCAAATACACTTGACCTAAAGAATACTTACAAGACATGCACACTATAATTGCAGGGTACAATTTTTTTCCAAGCACACAAGGAAAATTCACAGAAATTTACTATATGGTAGGTCATAATGTAAGTCTCAATAAATTGCAAAATATTGAAGTAATTCCAAGTATTTCTCCGGGGAAAAAGTGACAAAGAGATAACTAAAAAATCCTCATATGCTTGAAACTTCAAAGAAATCATGATGGAAATTAGAATAAAAAAATGTGAAAACATCATTTTCCCCAAAACTGATCTACAGATTCAATGCAATCTCCCTGCCACAACCAAAAAAAAGAAAGAAAGAAAATAACAGTTTTTCTTTTGTGGAAATTGACAAGCTGATTCTAAAGTTTTTATGGAAATGCAAAGGGATAAACACAACCAAGACATTCTGGAATAAAAACAAACTGGCAGTGGTGGCTCACGCCTGTAATCTCAGCACTTTGGGAGGCCAAGGCGGGCAGATCACGAGGTCAGGAGATCGAGACCATCCTGGCTAACACGGTGAAACCCCGTCTCTACTAAAAATACAAAAAATTAGCTGGGCATGGTGGTGGGCGCCTGTAGTCCCAGCTACTTGGGAGGATGAGGCAGGAGAATGGCGTGAACCTGGGAGGCAGAGCTTGCAGTGAGTCGAGATAGAGCCACTGCACTCCAGCCTGGGCAATAGAGTGAGACTCCATCTCAAAAAAAAAAAAAAAAAAAAAAAAAACAAAACCTGGGAGGACTTGCTCTACTGGATATTAAACCAATTAGTCTGGGAGTGGTGGCTCACTGCAACCTCTGTAATCCCAGAACTTTGAGAGGCTAAGGCAGGAGGATCACCTGAGGTCAGAAGTTTGAGACCAGCCTGACCAACATGGTGAAACCCCGTCTCTACTGAAAATACAAAAATTAGTCGGGCGTAGTGGCACATGCCTGTAATCTCGGCTACTTGGAAGGCTGAGGCATGAGAATTGCTTGAGCCCAGGAGGCGGAGGTTGCAGTGAGCTGAGATCACGCCATTGCACTCCAGCCTGGGTGACAGAATGAGATTCCATCTCAAAAAAAAGACGAATTATAATGATTAAACTATAGTGTTTAGGATTAATGCATAGGTGGTAAAACTACAATGAAAAGCAAACAAGTGATTTCCACAAAAGTCAGGGTAGTTTTTTCCTTTGAAGGGAAAGGAGGAGGTAATAATTGAAAGGCATCAAAAGGGCCACTTCTGGGATTCCGGCAATGTCTAGTTCTTGATTTTACCTGGGTGTTTGCTTTGTGATAAATCACTGAGCTGGACATTTTTTGTTTTGTGTACTCTTTGGTAGATAAGTTATATAGTTCACAATAAAAAAAGTTTTATACACACACACACATTTAACGCCATATATATGTTAAACACCTAGCTTCGTGCCTGGCACATAATAAATACTCAAGAACATAAAATCACTTCTCTTCTTTCTTTCTAGCATTCCACCTTTCCTTCTTTCTTTCTAGCAAAGAAAAAAGAAAAAAAGAAACATGTGAATTTTCATAAACATTTTCCTAGTACACGCACAATCTTTCTCGCTTTCTTGCAACAATCTCACTGTCATGGAAACTGCAATTAAAAGTGGAGCCTGTGGAGAGAAGGAGAGATAGGAGCACAACAGCCTGAACTCGATTACCTCTTTGCAAGAGGAAATTCTCACTGATAACTGAATTCTGGAACTCAAAACCTAAAGTACCCATTAACACATAATATGCTTGTTGGCTTTATATTTTTAATTTTCCCTTCCAAAGCAACAAAGCAAAACCTTTGTTTAAAAGCTTCCCTTTGCTACAGGTTGCAGTTAATCCTATAATCACTGGGTGAATGTTTATCGAGCCAGACATTCTTTGTGGGTCAGAGAAGCAAGAGGCCAGCAGTGAAGGTATTGTCTTGCAGGCGACTGCGATGCAGAAAGAATGTGGTTAGGTGAGGTTGGGTGACAGGCACAGCGGGCTGTGGGCTGCAGGGATCCCTGGGACAGGCATGCTCCAGCCTGTGTCCACTAGGCAGGATGTCTGCGCCTGCCCTCATGCCTCAGCTCCTTCCCACAGCCACTTGACATGTTGGGAGCTGGGGTAAAGCCTAATGATACTTGGGGAGAAGACTTCAATTCTATCAGCTGAGAAATCAAAGACATTTGAAAATCAAGGAAGTGCCAAAGACTACTTTAAAATGATCTCTGCCCAGGTTTCCCCCATTCCCTGAAACATACAACCAATTCACCTGAAAATTACCAACTTGGAAAGAGATGAAATAATAGATTTCTGTGCCTAAAAATGATCAACAAGTCCAAAAGGCCAAAAATTGAAAGCACAAAGGACATTGGGGGCTTATTTTCAGCTGATATTGAAATTTTTCCTTGTGACCTCAAAGGAAATTCCACCTTTAGCAGAGATTTGCTCTGGAAGGGGGATTAGACTAGAATTCCTTATGGACTGGGAAGGAGGTAGAAGACAGGGGAAGGGATTCAGGAGAGGACATCTGCACCCCATGTTTTTAGACCTGTGGAATTAGGCAAGAGACATTCTGCTGGTTTGGTAGAAGTGGGACTCTCTGAAGACTAGATTACGTATTAATTAATTCAGCATATAGTTATTGAAGACCTACAGTATGCCTGTGCTGTGCCAGCTGCAGGAGTTGGACCGGAAAACCAGAGAGGCTGTGTCCCTCACCACATGGAGTCTATAAACAGAAGGGCAACAGGGCATATTGGTAGACTCCAACTGGGCCAGAGAATTTACTGGCCAAGATAACCTCCAGTTCCTCCATTTCTGTTGCAGAAGTCTGGTGAAGGGAAGCAAGGTGTGGAAAAACATGAGAAGAAAGCTCTTGTAGAAGGCCTGTCTCCACAAGGACCTCACCTGTACATAGGAAAGATGGACAAGGTAGGAAGTCCTAGCCAGAGCAATCAGGCAAGAGAAAAAAAGGCCGAGGCAGGGCGTGGGGTAGCATCTGAATTGGGAAAAAGGAAGTCAAACTATCTCTGTTTGCCAATGATATGGTCTTATACCTAGAAAACTCTGAAGACTCTTTCAAAAGACTCCTCAATTTGATAGATGAATTCAGCAAAGTCTCAGGTTACAAAATCAAAGTATGCAAATCAGTGGCACTCATATACACCATTAAAGACCACGTTGAGAATAAAATTAAGAACTCAATCCCACTTACAATAGTTACCAAAAAAAACAAAAACACCTTAGGAACATACTTAACCAAGGAGGTGAAAGACCTCTACAAGGATAACTACCAAATACTGATGAAAGAAATCATAAATGGCCAGGCATGGTGGCTCATGCCTGTAATCCCAGCACTTTGGGAGGCCAAGGCAGTCGAATCACTTGAAGTCAGGAGTTCAAGACCAGCCTGGCCAACATGGCAAAACTCTGTCTCTACTAATAATACAAAAATTAGCCAGGTGTGGTGGTGCATGCCTATAATCCCAGCTACTTGGGAGGCTGAGGCACAAGAATCGCTTGAACCCTAGAGGCAGAGCTTGCAGTCAGCCGAGATCGCATCACTGCATTCTAGCCTGGGTGACAGAGTGAAACTATGTCCAAAAAAAAAAAAAAAAGAAAGTAAAAGAAAGGAAAGAAAAGAAAGGAAGGAAGGAAATCATAAATGACACAAACAAATGGAAAAACATCTCATGCCCATGAATTGAAACAATCAATATTATGAAAATGACCATACTGCCCAAAGCAATCTACAAATTTAATGTAATTCCTATCAAACTACCAATATCATTTTTCACATAATTAGAAAAAGCAATCCTAAAATGTATATGGAATCAAAAAAGAGCTGGAATTGCCAAAGCAATCCTAGATAAAAAGAACCAATCTGAAGGCATCACATAACCCAACTTCAAATTATATTACAAAGATATAGTAACCAAAACAGCATGGTACTGCGATAAAAGTAGACACATAGACCAGTGGAATGGAATAGAGAACCTAGAAATAAAGCCAAATACTTACAACCAACTGATATTTGACAAAGATCAACAAGGCAGACAAAAACACACACTGTTCAATAAATGGTGCTGGGAAAACTGGATTACCATATACAGAAGAAGGAAACTGGATCCCTATCTCTAACCATATATAAAAATTAACTCAAGCTGAATTAAAAGACTTAAATTAAATTTAAGACCTGAAACCATAAAAATTCTAGAAGGATATCTAGGAAAACCTCTCTGGACGTTGGCCTATGCAAAGAATTTATGACTAAGACCCCAAAAGCAAATGCAACAAAATAAACACAAAAATAAATAAATGGAACATAATTAAACTAAAAAGCTTTTGCACACCAAAATAAATAATCAACAGAGTAAATAGATAACCTATAGGATGGGAGAGAATATTGGCAAACTCTACATCTGACAAAGGACTAATATCCAGAATCCACAAGGAACTCAAACAAATCAGCAAAGGAAAAAAAAATCCCATTGAAAAGTGGGCAAATGACATGAACAAACATTTTTCAAAAGAAGATATACAAATGGCCAAATAACATGAAAAAATGCTTGATATTCCTAATCATCAGGGAAATGCAAATTAAACCATGATGAAATACCACCTTATCCCAATCAGAATAACTATTACTAAAAAGTCACAAAAGCAATAGATGTCAGTACGGATGTGGTGAAAAGGGAACGCTTATACACCATTGATGGCAATGTAAATTACTACAACCTCTATAGGAAACAGTACAGAGATTTCTCAAAGAACTAAAAGTAGATCTGCCATTCAATCCGGCAATCCCGCTGCTGGGTATCTACCTAAAGGAAGAGAAGTCATTATACCAAAAAGACACCTGCACATGTATGTTTATAACAGCACAATTCACACTTGCAAAGATATGGAATCAACCTAAGTATATACCAACTGGTGAGTGGATGAAGAAAATGTGTGTGTGTGTTTGTGTGTGTGTGTGTGTGTGTGTGACCTTTGGAAGCTTCATTCCTTACTGATTTCTTCATTAGCAAAGCAGCAAAAACCCTCATCACAGCGATTCCAATCCCATTACCATCATCATGTTCATTGCCAAAGTTATGAGCATTACATGACGAGCATTACTAACGTGTCCTCTATAATCCTTCTATGTGACACCAACTTCAATACTTACGAAATGCTTTTAACCAAATTAGAGCAAGGAGAACTTTAACATTTAGAGGGATAGATGTGTGGCCATCTCCTTTCACAAGGCAAAGTCATCACTCCTACATAGGTTCTCACAGATGGTCCACAGGCACGTTGGGTAGGACCCTAGTCAGTGTGAAAAGCTGAGCAAAGCAGAGCTTTTCTAAGCCCTCAAGTCTGGCAGGACTGCAGTACACAGGTATGCCTGATCATAGACTGCCACATGGTGGGATTTTACTCTTCCAATGTGTAAGTCTTTTCACCATTGAATTGTAGAATCATTGAAGACAGGACTTGCCACTCTTCCTTTTTATTTCTCCCTGGATACCTAGAACTAATTCTGGGTGTTCATTAAATTCTTGTCGATAGAACAATTCAACAGATATCCACGAAATGTTTATTGAATGGCTCCTGTGTGACAGGCACTGTGCTAAATAAACAGATGTTGTTTTAAAGGTCCAAGGAACTCCCCAGGTAGGTGTTTTCTATGACAACACTGTTATCAACTGCTTTCCAAAACACAGCCCATCAGATCTGGGTTTATCCCTAGAATAGCTGCATCCTTGAAGTGACGGGAGGGTGGCATTCTCTGCCTTCACAAATGCCAGCTCCAGCCCAGTGTCTACTGTGGGTTGGGCCAGTCCTTGTCCGAGTGAATCATGGTCTGCTGCTGAGCTCAACAGGCTAGAAGCAAGTTACTGCCACAAGTTGTATGGACCAGTAGGGCACCAAAGTCACTCAGAGACAAAGCTTAAGGCTGTTACTGGTTTACTGTGCATTGAATTGCTTTCTGAAATTCTGGTAGTGAGATTGAGGAGAAAGTGCAGTGGGAGGGATAGGGTGTTAGAAAAACAGGTAGGGAGAATCAAGCAAGGGGAGCATTTCAGAGTGACATCAAAACTGTGTCAAGTGTCTTCTTCAATGGTTGTAAAGGTCAGAGCAGCACTTACAAACTTTGTCCCCTTGATAAGGGGAATGAAACAGAAAACTTGAATGTGGTTATTTTATCATGCCTGTTCTTAGAAAACAATCCTAGAAATGCCTCCTGTTGGCCAGCCTGGTTCTTGACCCGCTTTCAGAGTTTCAACCTGTAGATACCTGAGCACACCCAAGCAGGTTCTATGCAGACAGAGCCATCTTCTGCATGTACTTTCTAGGAAACCAGGTATTCAGGGACAAGGTACAGCATCCTCTGAACCTGCACCAACATCCTGAAAGCTGATGCCAGGTCAGGATCTTGCTATGGTGACCACAGATTTCCTGGAAAGCTGTTGTCTTGCCTGCAGAATGCTGGCATAGTTGTTCTTCAGATAGCTCCTCTCTGGTCTCCTACTCCTCTCTTTATCCATGTCCCAGGGCAAAATGGCCATGCAGCTGAAGGCTGTAGGGACATTCAGTCTTTCCTATGACCATTTTCTGCCCACACTGATGACCTCCTTCTAGATCTCTGCAAGAATTCAGACCTTCCCTGAACCAGAAGTAATTGTGGCATTGGCAGAAAGCTGAATCTCTATACTCCAAATGCAATGGGAAAAAGGTCTTGTGGTACAGCAGCCACGGCTCCCTGAATCAGATTGGCTTTGGAGAGAGCCAGGGCCAAGAGCCTTCTGGGACAGGGTGTGAGGAGTACCTCTCCTAGTCCCAATGGGATGCCATGGTCAGGAATACCTTCCCTCCATAAAGTATGGAGAGATTAGAAAATTCACCCTTGACCTCTCTGCTGCCTCAGAGGGTGACCATCTTCCTTATCCTCTGCCACAATCCACCTGCAGCAAAGGGGGCCACACTTCCTCCCTACCTTTCTCTGGGGCTATTTAGCCTGGAAACAAGACTATCAGTGAAATAACACAGCAAATTAAATTCCAGAGCCGGGAACCACAAAATCTCAGAGTTGGAGAGCCTGTCAAGTCTGTCCATTGCTATCTCTCACAGATGCGAGCCGGCACTGCACCACCAGGCTGAAGGACCATCTTTTTTCCTTTCTAATTAAAGAATCGTGTTTCCTTTTCTCTGGGCTATAGACTCTCCGTGGCCTTAGGCATTCCTCATAAGATATGACACCAGGTACATGGCCAGCCATGGTCTGGGGCATACAAAGATGAATGAGACAGAAAAACCAGGTAGGCAAATAAGTACAATGCCCCAGGGGCTCTATGGAGCCACATGCCAAGTGCTGTGGGAAGTTCAGGGAAAGGTGCAGTATGCGGCAGCAGGAAGGATTCTGAATGCCTGATGTCTGAGCTGGGTGCCTGGAAGGATGAATGGGATATAGCAGATGAGCCAACAGGAAGAGGAACTAGCACTGATTCATTTATTTATGTCTTCCTTCATTCCTTCCTTCATTAATTCAACCAGTCTTTACTGAGTACATGTTTTGTGGCAAGATCTGTCCAAACAGAAAAAAAAAAAAAAAAAGAGAGAGACAGAAGTATTATTGTCCCTGCCTTCAAGTAGCTTGCAGCCTAGTTGTGATATAGGTAAGAAAAAAGGCCAGAATACATGGTGAGGTAAGGCAACAAAAGGTAAGGGAAAAATCAGGTGCTTTGAGAGCCCACAGAAGGTACTAACTCCACAGATGAAAGCATGGTGTGAGAACAAGTGTAGTAACCTGGGGAACAGGGTGGCCAGAGCATAGAACCCAACAGGAGAGTAGAGGGAAATGAGGCTGAAAAAGATAGAACATGAAGAGTCTTCCTTAGGCAGTGAAGAAAAAAGCACTGAAGACTTTAAACAAGTGAGTGATATGATCCTATTTATGTCCAAGGAAGAAAACTGGGAGCAGTGTGGGGAACTGGTAGGAGAGGCAAGAGGTGGAAGCAGGAGGACCAGAAGGTTGCAGCAGTTTTCACAGGTCCCGATTTTTCTCCTGTGTATGCACCCCAGTATGTCAGTTTCCCTTTTTAAGCATGATGCCAGAATGGAATAAAATATTCTAGGTGTGGACTGACCAGCACAGAGGTGCCGTAAGATAGTTAGTTATTATAGATGACACTCCTGTGTTTTTGTTGCTGGGGAAGGCTATATATTTTGGTAACATATCACAGTTCTGCTTCATATGGAGCTTATTATCAACATAAATTCCTGGGCCACATTCTCATTTACTGTGGCCAAACACTGGTTCCCTCATCTGACATTTAGATATTCAGTTATTGGTACCAAAATGCAGGAATTCCCAATCATTCTTGTTAAGTGTCATTTTGTTAGCTCTGACTATTCATCTAATCCACCAGAATTATTTGGGATCCTGCATGTTTTGACAATGTATCTCTATCTTGCCTAGCTTTGCAGCATCTGCAAATTGGAGTATCATTCCCAAGATGCTCTTATTTGATCCAATTTTTGTCCAGGCCTTGGAGAGAGAGGATGGAATAGGCCATTTATAAATCCAGTAAAGCTGCTTCATAAGACACCATATTGTCGTCATGTTCAAAGATGTCAGAAGAATCTTTTTTTTTTTTTCAAATACCATTTTGAAATCTGGACAAACTATGGCATTGTTTGGGACAATTTCTAAATAAAAGAATGAGCTTCATCTGGCAAAACCTGTTCTTGGTGACCCAATCTCGAATCCTGGTCGTCACCACTTTCTAGGTACTCATTCCTCCTCCTCTTCTCAATGTCTTAACATTGGAATACCTGGGAGCTCCGTCTTTGGACTTCCTCTTTTTTTTTTTTTTTTTTTGAGACAGAGTTTCACTCTGTCACCAGGCTGGAGTGCAGTGGCATGATTTTGGCTCACTGCAACCTCCACCTCCTGAGTTCAAGTGATTCTCCTGCCTCAGCCTCCCAGGTAGTTGGGACTACAGGCATGCGCCACCACCCCCAGCTAATTTTTGTATTTTTAGTAGAGACAGGGTTTCACCATGTTGGCCAGGATGGTCTCAATCTCTTGACCTCGTGATCCGCCCGCCTCGGCCTCCCAAAGTGCTGAGATTACAGGCGTGAGCCACCGTGCCCGGCCTGGACTTCCTCTTTTTGTAAGTTACTTTAGTCCCTTGTAGCATTCTCATGGATGTACCTCTCCAACCTTGGCCTCTTCCTTGATCTCCAGACACATGAATCCAACCACCTGCCAGATTTCTCTTCTTGAATATCAAATAGAAATCTCAACTACAACACATCCAAAAACAAGCTCCTCATTTCTTCCTGTCACCTAAACCTGTGTCTGCACTCCTGTAGCCATCCCATTTCAGTTAATGTCCATACCATCACTCCAGCTGATCAGGCCAAAATCCTTGGAATTAGCCTTGACTCCTCTCTTTTTCTCATATCCTCATTCAATCTATTAGCAAAATTCAATTGCTTCTATCCAGAATCTGACTGCTTGTTAGACCATGTCTCTGCATGCCCATAGCTACCAGCCTGGTTCCAACCATCATCACTGCACAGTTTATTAAAACAGGCCTGTTTGCTTCCACCGTAGCCTCCCTTCAGTCTATTTGCAACACAGAGGGAATGTGTTAAAATGTAAATCAGAGCATGCCACTCTTCTGGTCAATGGCTGCCATCTCTCTCTGGGTAACATTGCTGGTCCTTACAAGGGCTTTCAAATCCCTGCCTGATCTGGCCTCCTGCTATCTCTCTGACCCCATCTTCCACCCTTCTCCCTGCTAGTTTCTCCACATGAGGCACACTGGCCGCCTTGCTGTGCTGGGAACACACTGGGTATACTTCCCTCTTGGGCTCTTTGCACTTGTGGTTCCTTCTCCAGAGAGTCCCTCATCTTCAGATTTTACTAAAAGGTCTTCTTGTCACAAAGACTTTACCTGACTTCTCTCTTTAAAATGGTCACCCTCTCACTCTAACATTATGCATCCTCCCGGCCTGCATCGTTTTTCTCTGTACCACCTATTAGCAATAAACATGTTATATATTTACTTATTTTTAAAAAGTATATGTCTCCCTTTACTAGACCTACTACATGAGGAAGGCATGAATTTCTGTTTATTTTGCTCAGTGCTTGATTCTCAGGGCCCAGCATAGAGCCCGACACACAGTAGGTACATAACAATATGTTAAATAATCATAGAGTCAGAAATTTTGCCTGGCATTGATGGCATTGAGAAAAATTCACTTCTTGTATTTGAAAATTGGAATGCATTTGTTCATCTCTGTTTTCTAGACTTTCTTGTGGTTGCCATGATGTTTTACAGATCACTCACAGAAGATCAGCCATGTCATGGTAGCTGCAGCAACAAGAACTAAGTTATTGAACAATGAATAGGTGTCAGGCCTGGTGCTTAGACAGCATCCTATTTAAATCCTTAAACAACCCTGTGAAGTAGGTAATATTATTTTATCCACTTACCAGATAGAAAAACTAAGGCACAGATTGATTAGGTAATTTTCCCAAGGTCACACAGCTAGCAAGTGTCTGAGCCAAGACTCAAACTCAGGTAGTCTAGCTCCAGGGCTTATGCTCTTAAATTCCTGCATCTACACTACTCTCTTCTTAAAAATTATTTTAGAACTCTGGAATGTAATTCATTTGGGCTAGAATATTTCAGTTAATTTAAGGAATAAGTTTTGGTCTTGTACACTCCTCATTCTTTGGAGATTTCAATGCCTTCTATTCAAAACTCCTGCTCTTTTTGGTCTTAAAATCATTCACTTTGACGAAAATGTTGGGAGGAAAATAAAAATGGGTAGGAATGTTTCTTCTGTCGCTCAGGAACATCCCACCATCCATCCACAGGGACAGACCTAAGACTCCTTTGTTCTTCTGACTCAAACAAAGCTTTAAAAAGGCTCCTGTGTTAACATTTTTCTGATATCTTGGTTCAACATTCTTAACATGACTCTTCAGCTCTACGTCAGTCTTTTCTATTTTTATGTTGTTTTTGGTCAGTGGCCACTCTTTCCACCTTTCGTACATGTTTTCTTTAAGACTGAGCTCATCTGAGTTTCCTTTGTAGCCACTTGGTCCATTTATTTGCTTCTGTTTATTAAGATGGCCTTTTCAGATTTCTTGCACTCTTCTTTCATTTCAGGAGCAGCTGAGATCACGCTGCTAAAACCTCCTCCTTGAATGCCCTTCAGTGGGCACTCCTATTTGGTTGATTCTACCACAGTCACGTTCCCTGTCCAATGTGGAGGTGGTGTTGGGAGGGGCTTTCCAGCAAGGGTGACATTTCCCAGTCCCATTTATGATGGGGGAGGCTGGTGGTGGAGTTCTGGCCAGTGGGATGTAGGTGGGAGTGATATGTACTGCTCCCAGGACTAACCCAAAAAGCCTTCCAACTCTCCACACCCTCTCTGCCTCATCTGCTGGCTGGATGTCTACACTCCAGCTGATTTTGGAAGCTGCATGTTGCATATGGCAGTGCCTCCATCAGCCTGGGTACCTGAGTAATTCCTTTCCAGATTGTATTTTGCAGAAGTAAGAAGTAAATTTCTATGGGTGAAGCCACCAGGATTTGAGAATTTGCATAGTACAATAGCTAGGATACCTTAACTAATATAAATTCTGTGTCAATTTTTCCATAAGCCTATTCAAATCTCCTCTCTAGAGAAGTCTACTGAGAGCAGGCTTCTCTTCCCACCACTGCTAGCTGTGTGGGAAAGTGGGTGCGTGCCCCCAAGAGCCTCATGGTCTTCCCTTCACAAGTGATCCTTCCCCATCACACGAAGTCCACCTCATAATGTCCCTCGTTGGACTTTCTGCTTCTGGGAGAGAACACTGTCCATGAAGCAAACAAAAAAAAATGAAAGGTAGAGGCAGCTCGCTAAGCAGCTGGGTGGAGTAAGGGACTACCTGGACCCTATCAAGAAGGAGAGGAGAACAAGCAGCGAGAGTGTTGAGGGAGGGGTCTGTGTTTGGTTCTTCCTGTGAGGGAGCCTGGAACACACGCCAAGCTGTGCCAGAGACTTCATTCCACCCTTGGGCCAGGCCAAGAACCAGGCACTTGTCCCTTCTGCATCTGAGGCAGCAAGAAGCTGCTGGCAGCCCAGTCACTGAGTGCTTGATCTGTGCTTTGTGCCGCCTTTGTGCTGTGATGACAGTCCCAGCGTTCCCAGGACAGTTGGTGAATAAGAGCAGAGTCCAGAGGGAGGAGAAAGTGGAACCAGGCTGGCTGGACCCTCAGCCATAGAAGCTGCTTCCTAGAAGGCCCAGTTCAGGTGCATAAGAACCTCACAGTGGAGCTTTCTGGGACAGTGGGTGTGGCCAGGGGCCCTGGAGATGTGGCAACTAGTTTGTCCTATTTGGAAGTAATATTAAACAACAATAAACACTTACTTATAAAGCATGTACTAAGTGCCAATCCCTGTTCTGAGTGCTTCACACAAATTAACTCAGTGAATCCATAAACAAACTCTGTGAGGTGGATGGCATTCTAATCCCATTTTACGGGTGAGGAAATTGAGGTCTATGGAGGTGAAATATCTTGTCTGGGATGCCATAAGTAGCCTGAGGTGGAGTTCTGGCCCCTGAGTCCATGCGTTAGGACCCCAAAGAGCAGGGCTGATTAACACTCACCAACAGAAGGCAGGAAAAGGCTTGCTTCAAGCCTGACACACAGTGAATGCTAATTGCACCTTGCCTCTCCTCTTCCAGCCGGTTGCCATGCTGGGATTCTGTAGGGCAACTAGCACCGTTCCAGGTTTCAAAGAAGGAGGTGGCCTTTGTGTGGTGTCAAAACACTGAATTAGAAATCAAAAGACCTGTGTCTCCGTTACCTTTGTGGTCTTGGGCAAGTCACTTAAGCAATCTGACTTCTAATTTCTGCATCTATAAAAGGAACATATGCCCCTTATAGGTAATAGGGAAAGCCTATTACCACTGTCAGCCCTTGGTAGCACTTAAATGAGTTGGTTGAGTATGGATCTGACCCAGGATTCAATTCTAGGTGGATGAGATATTGTGGGACAGGTAGGGGCCTCTCAAGTGGGAGGGACTGTAGTGCATTAGTGTTTATTTTGAGCATTGATGCCCACAGAACTCATTGCACTTGGGCCATCACCTGCTCCAGTCCTCAAGAACAAAAATCTTACCGTCCCTGAGCAGCCTAGAGCAAGGTCATACAGATGACGTGCGGGACAAAGCCTCACTTGGGCAGAGGTGGCTCTTGCCCGCTCAACTGTGAGATGCAGGACAAGCCCTGAATCCCACAGGGTTTACCTCGAATGCATGCCCTGGGTTAGTGAGTAGTCATCGCTGCATGAGGAGTCCCTGCCCACAGCTGCTTCCACCGTCTGATCATTCCCCAGAGACCACATTCAAACCCCAAAATTGGAGCTGACAAGTTCTTATTTTTCTTTATTTTGTAATTGCTGTTACTTCTGGGGCTTGCAATGAGAGGAAGGATTGGATAATAGGCTTCTGGCCTGGAGAGATGAGATGGGAATCTAGTTAGTCTTTTGGCCTCCACATGAGGTTTTCATGGATTTCATATTCACACCTCATTTGGGGTCTGAGACTGTGGGTGATTTTGTCCCCATTCCTGCCCACATCTGTCCAATGGGCTGTTACAGTTCTTGGGGTCCCCACTCTCTGGACATGGTCATGCTCAGCAGGCCCCTACTCCCTGACTCCTTGAGCCAAGAAGGCCATTCATGTGGTTTCTCTGTGCTGCAGGGCACTGTGTATGTACAGGGAGCACAGGCCTTAAAGGAGGGGCTGTGTCTTTGTTGAGGGTGAATGTGTGATGGATGCATGAGGTTTCAGTCATGTCAGCCAGTGCCCATTTAAGCAAACACCCAGGACTAGATGGAGCAGGAAACCATGAGCCTCTGTGGCTGACTTGGGAGATACCTTCTTTCTTTACAAGTCTGTTCTGGAGTCAGTGGTGCTCCTGCCACTTCAGCTGGGCTCAGGACACCGAGTGCAAGATGCAGTTTCAGGATCTGGAATCCACAGCGCTAGTGGGCTGCTCAGGGGAGGCTGGGAGAGGTGTTTCTCTCGCAGATGCCCTGGATGGCATGGGTTCTGCTAGGTGGCTTGGTGAAGGAAAGGGCAGGATCCGTCTCACACATTCCAGGCACTGTGGGGGTCAAATATGAAGAGCAAGCTTACTTTTTCCCTCTGATATTTCTCTTGCCTTCTATAAAACAGAATGTATATTCCCTTCCTGCCACTCATCAGAGCATCTTACAAATATTGACTCTGTGTGCTAAAGGCCTACCAGGGCTGCAAGGGCCCAGGGAAGCTCAGCCGAGCTCTAGGGCAGATGTTAAGGAAAGGGAGGAAGAGGACCTCTCTCAGGGCTCCTGTCACAGAGATGCTAGGGAAGCGGCCATCAAGAACTGCCAGAACAGCTTCCTTACAGCCAACGATGCTAGCCATGGCACCCAGACCCAGGTTATGGAGCCCACTGGCTCTGCGGATTCCAGATCCTGAAACCGCATCTTGTATTCGGTGTCCTGAGCCCAGGTGAAGCAGCAGGAGCACCACCGACTCCGGAACAGACTTGTAAACACACTTCATCTAATGGATGGGCCCAGCTCTGTGCTAGAATTCAAAGCTTAAATGAGACTCGGGCTTGCTATTGAGGAGGCACAAGTCAAGGGGAGGAAACAGGCCCCCAAGCAGAGATAAAGATATACACGGTGCTTCACCCAACCCACAGGCAGGAGCACCCTGTGCTTCTCTGCAAGGTCAGCAACTCAGGGGATGCGACCTCTGCCACAGCTCCACAGGGTCACTTCCCTTACTTTCGGAGGAGCACCCATTGGGCACTCAAATCAACACCCTGGGTTTAGCAGCCACTCTGTGATCCCAGCAGCACGGGGTGCTGCTGGAAACCTAAACATTTATTCTTTCACTCAAAACGCTGAGCGCCTACCAGGCGGCACACATTGCACTGAATGTCAGAGCCAGAGATCCTAAGGCTCTGAGGTGGGGAGGACAGAGCTGGAGGCAGATTACACACCTTAAAATGTGGGTGCAGAGGTGGGCAGGGAACACCACTGGGATGTGCCCATGAGGATGAGCCAAGACGGAAGAGCTGCGACTTGTTTACCAAAAGGCATTGACGACTCGATGCTCCGTCTTCCGTGGGAATTCACCCAGCTTTGTTCAGATGTTACTACCTCTGCCCTTCCCAGTTCCTACCCCATGAAAGGGCATCTGAAGGTGCTGACATCAGAAATGGCAAGTCAGGACACACGCAAGTTCCACAGGGCTTCCTGCTGCCCCGCCCAGCCTCTTTGCAGCCGCCTCCTGCAGCCCCAGGCACAGGCCTGACTTTGGTACAGTTGAAGTAATGCCCCAGTTTTGCCCTGGGCTGGGACTGCCACCTGGGGCAATAAGGGTGGTTGTTTTCCCCTGTGGTTGCCCTCCTGGTTACCTTAGTGACTCATGGAGGCAGTGGGCCAGCCTGGGACAGAGGAGCAGGGGTCTGGTCCAGGGCCAGCCTGGGGCTCTGATCCGCGGCTGCCCCAGATGTCCAGATCTGACCAGGAGCTATGAGGGAGGAGCCTGCTCCCATATAGCCATAACTTTTCTGTTCTGAGCTCATCAGTGTGGCCTGATAAAGTCTACAGAGAGGCCCTCAAGGAGGAAGAAAGAAAAGGCAGGGAAATATACTTTTTTTAGCTAGAGCTCCATCAGCGAGTACAGAAAGAGAACATTCTCCTAGGAGAAAGCAAGGCATACTCTGTCCTCAAGGTGCCATTTTCCCCAAGCAATAGAGGCAAGGCCAGATGAGCTGTGGAGGGGTGGAAGATGAGCTTGTGGCTCCCCACCCTGTCCCTTGCATGCACACCCACCCTCAGGGGCTGCAGCTGGGGTGGCTGAGAGGGGAATCCCTGGTTCAGGCTTTCCTTGTCTTACACAAACTGAGAAGGAAGCCTTGAGAATGCTGGTAGTGCATGCAGGGTGGAGCTGAGAGGGCGGAGAATGAGGTTTTTCACCCACCCTGTGGGCCCTCCTGTTTCCTCCACCCTCCCTGTAATCTCAAAACATCCTGACTTCACTGAGCAAAGGCCCCAAGCTTTTCATGGAAGAGCAGCAGCTTGCAATAGCCCCAGAGTCTGAAGATAACATCTCCCTTGCGGTGGCAAGAAAAGGCAAGGGTGCTCAGGAGAGTGCAAAAGTCCTCAGGCCCCAACCAGAAGTTCTGCCTCTGAGGTCCTCAAAGACACGGGCTCCATCTCCTGCTGTTCCCGCTTTGATTTTAGGGTGTTGCTTTGCTGTACTGGTGCCAGTAGCGGCCACACTGCAACTCTGCTTCAGGCACAAGGATTGGGGTGGGACCCTGTGTCCGCTCTGAGAGCACTTCTGCCTCCAGCCCTCTCTTGGTCCTTGTCCTTCATGTCCTTTTTTGGTGTGAACTGGGTTCAGGAGAGAAGCCCAGGCCCTGACATCTGTGGTCAATGCACACACTCCAGGAAGTTGTCTTAGGGATCAACCAGGGGCACCCACAAAATGGACTGGGGATCATGACTGGCCTTTCCAACCCACAGACCACCTTCATTCCACTCAAAATAGCGCAGCTCTGACTCTACTTAAGAAGGACGCTCTGATAACATGCTGGTGACTTTCACCTAGAAATGGAATCCATCCTTCAGGGCCCGGCCCCCTTCCTGCCTCCATGATGAAACCTTCCTGTCCCTTCCTGTCAACCCTGAGGCGCCACCACCTTCTCCTTCCCGTCATGTACTCACAATAGTTAACATCCACGGCTCTCTTCCCCTGCACTAGGGGCTGGGATGGGGATGGAACGGGGTGCCCTCTATCCCTGAGTTCCTTCCCATGCAGAGATGTAGAAACAGTCATCATGCATGGTTCCATGAGAGATTCCAAGAAAATGCACAGCAGCTGCAGGAGTCCCCAGGTAGCATCTGAAAAATGATTTCCTGAAACACATAGGGTTTGGATGGCGGGGTCAGGAGAGGAAGGACTTTCTGGCAGAGTGTAGATGGGAAACAGTGGATGGATGTGCAGGGAACCACCAGGAGCTGGCCCCGCCAGAGTGGGTCCCAACCAGGCCAGCCATCCAGTGGGCGCCATGGGCACCCGAGCTTTCCTCCCCCGGGCTTCACTCTCTTTGACCACTTTCTGCCCAGGGCCATCTGTGGGCAGTGACTTGGGGAGGCTGCAGGAAGAAGGGACAACAATTGAGTCACTTGTTGTTAAAACCAAAAGCCCGCCACCCCAGCCAAGATTTTCCACATGGGGGTAGCCCTGCCAACGTGTGCCCCCAGTCAACATCAAGATGTCCCCCACAGGCCTCAATGTCACGAAGGACTCCTGAAAATACTGCCTGTTTGAGAGGGGACAGAGACTAACTGTGAAATACTCCTCAGTTTCCCTGCTGCTTACCCAAGAGTTGGGTTGAAGCTCAGCCTGGGGCGCCACTGCTGGGGTGAGGTGGGCTGTGTCAGGCCAGCCACTCATGCCAAAGCTGAAGATAGGATGAGAAGGAGAGAGGGAGTGCCCACTGGGGGGCATAGGGCTGTGCCCAGGAGGGCACTGCTTGTCTTTGCAACCTAGCAGCCATCTCTGGCGGGATGCCTAAAATACCTCGGTCAGCCTCCCAGCTGAGGGAGAGCAGGAGGCGTGCGCTGGGGTCTGCATTAGGTTTTCACAATGGATAAAATCAGTTCTGTGATTGAAAGGCGAGGCCTTGGGAAATTAGTCACACAAGGGAGAATTGTGCCTGCCTCCATCAGAATCACCTGAGGATTCCCAGGAACCATCCAAGAGACTCTGATGCAGGGGTTCTAGGTTAAGGCCTGAGTCCCTTCTCTCCCTCCCTCCCTCTCTCCCACTCTTCCTTCCTTCCTTTCCCATGCAAAGCCCCTAGCAAAGCTTAGAATAAGAACATGTGGGGCTGGGTGTGGTGGCTCACGCCTATGATCCCAGCACTTTGGGAGGCAGAGGCAGGAGGATCACTTGAGGTCAGGAGTTCGAGACTAGCCTGGCCAACATGGTGAAACCCTGTCTCTACTAAAAACACAAAAATTAGCCGGATGTGGTGGCGGGCATCTGTAGTCCTAGCTACTCAGGAGGCTGAGGCACAAGAATCACTTGAACCCAGGAGGCGGAGGTTGCAGAGAGCCATGATCGCACCACTACACTCCAGCCTGGGCAACAAGAGCAAAACTCTGTCTCAAAAACAAACAAACAAAACCACGTTGGATCCACACATGGCTATAGATCCCTACTGTGTGCAAGGCAGCTGGCATCCTGGCCCTCTGAGACTGGCCTAGGGGAGGCCTCCTGGTGACTTCCTCCCAGAGCTAGAGAGGCGGTGTCCTTTGCCTCTGTCCTGCTGAAGGGAGTCCCTCATCCAAGGGGCAACGCTGCCACCTCCTGGTCAGTCTTAGAACTGTCCCCCACTCTGAATGCCTGGTGTAAATAGAGGCAGGGAGCCGGGAGAGGCCTCCCTGTCCTCCTTCTCTGGCTCTGCGTTTGAATATCTTATTCTAGGAAGTGGAATGTCCCCCAAACACGCGCCTCTTTTGGTGCCTCTTGTTTAAGTCTATCTTCCCTGGGAAGCCACTAGTCAACAAGTGGATCTCACTTACCCACCACTTTGCCTTGAATTCAGTGCAAGTCAGCATGTGTTTGTGGAGCACTTGATATGAGGGGGCTGGCAATACAGAGGACAATAAAGCAAAGCCCCACTTTTGCAGAAGGGAGTGAGAAGTGGGGGTGATTCATGAATATGAGTCACTTCTATCTGCGGTGATGTCTGAGCTGAGTCCTGAAGGATAAGCCAGCATTAACCAGTTGAAAAATGGAGAAGATTCCAGGTAAAAGGATGAGCAAGATGTGAATTGCTGGCCTTTTAAATAGAAACTTAATTGCTACATTTTTAATGCACCTCTTTGCTGCCCCCAAGAGGACAGACTACAAACCTTTTTTTCCCTCAATTTCTGGGCAGGTTTAAAAGGTTAAGAGAAAGGAAAAACAAGTTTTTCAGTTGCTAATCATTAGGGTTTAGGGGCCCTCCAGATCTATGGTGAAAAACAAGAGGGAGGCCTGGGTTTGAGAGACAAAGCAATGCAACCCAAGGAAGCAGGAGGCAGGGAAGATGCCTCCCCTAGTAGACAGTTCTCTGGGTCAGTGTGGGGAGAGGACTCCAGGCCACTGCCCCACCCTGGTCCCCGCAGAGCCCCAGAGAAGTATCAAGCCCCAGAGGGAAGTGTCTGCATAGTGCCAGGAAGCTCTGGATGTCAGCCTTACAATGAATTCCCAGGTCCTCAGAATGGCAGAGATGCATCCTGAAGCCAGAGACCTGTGATACAGGCTGAAAGAGCCCCAGATGTCACCCTTGTAACCCACTTGGACAAATGCCCAAGGATCAGCCTCCTTGACTCTGTGAGGGACTCGCGAACCTTGACATTGTCCCAGAAGTAGAGAAATACCAGTTCAAACCACAATGAGGAAATAAAGGAACTCAATGTTCTTGTACCAGGGTTTATAGCAGATTCATATAGGTCATGGGTGCAAAGGAGATCAAGACAGGGCCCCTGTTATTGAAACAATTAGAGAGAGAGCAGTACACTTCTCAGTGATTTGGAGCAAAAAACTTGTCCTCTTGACCTTGGTTTAATTTTCAGTGACAGGATGAGGAGGATGAGCATAGACTCTCGAAGCCCTTTCCTGCTGTAAGAGTCTATGGGAATGCAGATCACATGTACTGTGAGAGATGGGGGGAGACACAGGGTGGGTCAGAATGACCAGAAGAGTCTTCGTGAATGTGATTTTGAAAACTGGAAAGAGGTAAAAGAATTTTGGGTGGTGGGAGTGGCCTGTGCAGATGACAGACCAGGCCTGGCCAGTTGGAGAGGGAGGTTCTATGGAGGAACAGCCCGGAGACAGCAGGAGGGCGGTGGGTGGGTGTCAGCACTCTCCCTCCCTTTAGTAGAAAGGGAAAAGACAGAGTTCACAGTGGAGAAAATAGGAAACATGGACCTGAGAATCCCTACTATATATATATGCGTGTGTGTATATATATATATTTTGAGACAAAGCCTCCCTCTGTCATTCAGGCTGGAGTGCAGTGGTGTGATCTTGGCTCACTGCAACCACCTCCCCCTGGGTTCAAGTGATTCGTGTGCCTCAGCCTGTAGAATAGCTGAGATGACAGGCTTGTGCCACCATGTGTCTATTTTTTTTGTATTTTTAGTAGAGACGAGGTTTCACTATGTTGGCCTGACCTCAGGTGATCCGCCCGCCTCGGCCTCCCAAAGTGCTGAGATTACAGGTGTGAGCCACCATGCCTGGCCCCCAACTATATTTCTAGCAACTTTCATGTTGAGCAGATGCTCCCCAAAGCCCTTCCTAAACAAGCCCTCAGACATTTGTGCTTCTGCCCTTGACTGGTAGAGACATGTAACATGTGATGACTGTGTTTCCATTGACACTGTGTGTACGCTCAGGGAGAAAGCACAGGAAGGCTGTGGGCTGTACGGACACCACCATGCTCCAGAGCTCCCTGCTGAGCCAGCCAGTGGGAGCTGAGGGCAGGCAGTCCATGCTCTGCTACCTCCTTTCCCTAGAGCTTTTCTTTAGATGCCCCCAGTCTGGTCAAAAACAAGCATTCTGAGCTGTGAAATGTTCTGGTCAGTGATCCCAGAGAAGTTTTATAAAGTCTTGAACACAGCCAGATATGCCTCAGTCCCACACTGTTTGAACCTGATTTAATCTTACTCTGACTACTTAGAAGACACCAACTTTAGAGGTGGTATGGGTGTTGGTATAGACCATGGGCTCTGGAATCAGACTCCAAGGGTCTGAATCTTTGCTCTGTCACTTATTAGCTATGTGACAAAGGGTAATTTACTTAACCTCTCTGTGCCTGTTTCCTCTTGTACAAAATGGCGATGAAAGCATCTGCCTGTGTTGCTGTGACACGGGCCTGGCACCTGCTAAGCACACAATAAATTTAAGTCACGGTCATCTCGCAAGGCATCGGTATTACTCTGTAGTCTCAAGTTAGAGAAAGGAAGTCTGAAAGCTTATAGTTTGGAAGGGGCCTGGGAACATTTTATAGTGATTCCATTCAATTGTTCTCTTGCTTTTTATCTTCTTGTCATTAGGATAACATGGAGAAGGTGTCCCAACTACAAAGCTGGTGAATGAAACTGTCTGGGTGGTGGGTGGGAGGCCACTAGTCCAGGACGTTCTGCAGCTCTGGCAGTTCTACGATCCTAGCCAATTTTCGCCCAGATAGCACTAGGCCTTGTCTTGTGCCCCAGAAGGCTGTGGTCACTGCGCTCCCAGATGGCAGCTCTATACTTGTTCTAGGGCTAAACACAGAAGGGGCCAAACTTGATAATACTCTGCTTCTGGTCATAATTCTTCTGCAAAATTGTTATATATACCTCTTTATATATAAAGACAAAAACTCATCCTTTAGTGGCCTCCAGAGACCCCGGGAAAGAGCCCAACTCCATAGCATGTCCCGCAGGTCTGCTGTGGGACACTCACCCCTATAGCATCATCCCCATATCCTGCTACATTCCAGCCATCCTGACCAGCTCATGGCTCCCCACACTCTCTCAGTAGCCCCCACCCTCTCCTCATTAACTCCTGATCATCCTCAGGCCTCTGTTTAGCCATTTTCTGAAACTCTCCCACTGCCCACCGCCCACCTCCACTACCACCCCCACCCCCACCCCCACCCCCCCCCACCACCCCCACTATGGTTCATTTAATAGTTTCTCCTGTGTGCTCCCATGTGCTCTGGGTTTACCCCATTGAAGCCCTTAGGGCACTTTCAAACCATCTGCTCCCCTCTTTGCTTCATCTGACTGTAAACTAACTTGAAGATAGAAACTGTGTGTGGATTCCTATTGCTTCAGTGGCACCAAGCACAGCACCTGATTTAAAGAGGGTGTTCAGCAAGATTTCTTAAGGAAATGACACTCAACATGAGACTTAAGGGTTTGGGGTGGGGAAGAGGTACAATTTCAAGAAAGGAAAGAACATGGCAGCAAGTGCAAAGCCCCCAGGGTTGGAAAGAACTTGATATATCCAAGGAACATGCTAAGGACAGTGTGGCTGGAATGTAGAGAGGTAGCGGGCAGGTGGCAAAGGATTTGGTCTGGAAGGTTCAAAGCATGGTGGGAAGTAATTGAAACAGGTTACACTGGATAGAAACAATATCCTATATCCTCAACATCTTCTCTTCCCCTTTTTGCTCTCATGAAACATGGCTCTCTTCTGAGAATAGCTCCTTCTCAAGTGGAGGATTAATTTTCTCTTCCACATCCCTCCTACCACTAGGTGGGGCAAGTGTCTTCCTCACTCCTTTGCTATTTCAGACCATTCTTTCTCTCTTAAAGCTCCCCAGCTTTGAATAAGCAGCCTGTGGCATCCACCACTCCTCCATGAAGTCTCCCACAAACCCCAGAGGGCTTCCTCTCATTCCTTATATGGATCTCAGCACCTGGTTCACCATCATTTTCACCAACCCCACTTGTCATCATTCTAAGAACTACAACTCTGTGGAGCTGGCTTTTTGCTTCCCTGAGTCTGTGAGCTCCTCTTCTCCAAGGATCTTGTCCTTTACTGTATCAAATATGCAAATGGCCCAAATCTAAAGCTTGTCCTCAATAACAACTGCACTCCCTCTGCAGTCTCAATTTGGTGCAACTCCCTCTCTGGCCAGCACCTCCTTAAACTTCCCAGCTCGCTGCCCCTGAAATCCCACCACCACCCATCCTTCCACCCAGGGGAAGTCTGGCCCTTCCACCTTTTAACTCGTCCTGCTCCCCTCAGGCTCTCTCTCCGCATCTGACTTGGCTTCAATTCCATGCTTCATCACATTAGTCACTTCTTTTTCATAACCCCTCATCTTTATACCTTTCTTTAGTTTCGTTGTATTTGTCTGGCAAAACTCTAACAATGGTGAACTCCAAGCTTCTGCCCACACAGCCAACATGTTGGGGGAAAGCACACCATCTTCCTGGCTGGCCTAACTTCAATTCATGACCACTAACCTTGCATGGGCCTTTATTGCTACCTGGCAATTATGAACCCATTCACTCTGCAAATGAATATTTTATGCCTTTTTTCTTTTTAGACTTCCCACACTTCCTCCACTATCATCCATCTCAGCCAACGACCTTGCTTCTTATTTTGCTGAGAAAAAGCAACCCTAGCAAGAGTACTTCCTCAAGCTGCCACCTCCACATCTAGCCACACCCTGTGCCTGTGTCCATGACTTCCGCTCTCCTTTTGCTGTGGACCAGCTGCCTGTGCCGAAGCCACTCCTGTACAGGCCCTGAGTCCCATCCTCTCTTACTTTCCCAAGGACACAATCCTATTTCTCTATTCCCACATAATCACTCCTTGAATAATCTGTTTAGACTCACAGACTACAATTCCTCTCCTCCCTTAAATCTACTCCAATCAGGTTTGATCCCCATGTAGCTTAATTGGATGGCCAATTCTTAGTTCTCATTAATAGGAACTCTCAGTAGTGTTTGACATCATGTGGCACTCCCTTCTCCTTGAACCATTTTCTTCCCTTGATCTCCAGAATATCACAGACATCTGACTTCTCTTCAAACCTTTTGTCCACATCTTTTCACCTCTTTTGCTGGGCATTTCTCATCTCCCCTACTTATGAACATTGGACTGGTCCAGGGCTCAGTCCTCGAATCTCTTCACTGTATACGCTCCCTCGGTGACTCATAGAATCCGATGGCTTTAAGTGTAATCCACACGTTGATAATTCAAATTGTATTTTCTACCAAGATCCTCATCTTGAAATCCAGATGCCTCTCCAACTGTCGCATCAATGTTTCCAAGTGGAAACCTCATCCAAACTGAAGCTCCTGGACTTTCTCTCCTAAACTCTGTTTCTCCCACAGTCTTCCCCTGCTCACTTAATGGCAGCTCCATCCTTCTGGTTGTTCAGGCCAAAAACCTTAGAGTTGTCCTTGACTCCTCTCTTTCTCTCACACCCCATAGCCAATATATAACAAAATCATGTTAGCTCTAACTTTAAAACGTATCTAGAAATTGACCATTTCTCACCATTTGTGACAACTCTGGTCCAAGCCACCATCATCCCTCACCCAGATTACTGCAAAGACTCCTAACTGATCCTCCTGAGTCCACCATTGCTCCCATCAGCTGTCTTAAAATAGTAGCCAGAGTGATCTGGTTAAAATATTACTCAGAGAAAATGCCAAACTCCTTTCAATGACCTGCAAGACCCTATGTGATCTGGCCAGGACTTTACCTCCTCCTTCTCTTCCCACTGCCCATTCCATTCACCTAGGTGTCCTTGACCCGCACATTTCAGGCCTCTGTACTGGTTCTTTCCTTTCTGGCTTCTCCCAGATATTTGCACATCTTACTCCCTTGCCTCATTTAAGATTTTGCAAGAAAGTCAGGTAAAATACACAAAATATAAAATTAACCACCTTAACTGTTTTTAAGTGTACAGCTCAATGATATTAAGTACAATGATCCTCTATTTACAATGGCTCAACTTAAAATTTTCGACTTTACAATGGTGTGAGAATGTACCACATTCACTAGAAACTGTACTTCAAATTTTGAATTTTGACCTTTTCCCAGGCTAGCAATATGCAGTGTGATACTCTCACAATCTGGGCAGCTGCATCAAGCTGCGGCTGTCAATCAGCCACGCCATCACAAGAGTAAACCGTGATACTCTCCCGTGGACTGTGATGCAGATGATTCTGTTCAACTAGAGGCCAATGTAAGTGTTCTGGACACGTTTCAGGTGGGCTGGGCTCAGCTGTGATGCTCAATAGGTTAGGTGTACTAACTGCAATTTCCACTTAGAATTTTTTTCACTTATGATGGGTTTATCAAGATATAACCCCATCATAAGTTGAGAAGCATCTGCACATTCATATTGTTGTGAACCCCCATCTCCACCATCCATTTCCAGAGCTATTCTCATCTTATAAAACTGAAACTCTATACCCATTTAAATAGCAATTCCCCATGCCTCTCTCCTTCAGCTCCTGGCAACCACCGTTCTACTTTTTGTCTTTATAATTTTAACTACTCCAGGCACCTCATGTAAGTGAAATCATACAGTATTTGTCTTCAGTGTTATTGGCTTATTTCACTTGGGATAATGTCCCCAAGGTTAATCCATGTTGCAGCTTATGTAAGAATTTACTTCCTTTATTTATTTATGTATTTATTTTTATTTTTATTTTTTTTGAGATGGAGTTTCGCTCTGTCACCCAGGCTGGAGTGCAATCGTGCAATCTCGGCTCACTGCAACCTCCGCCTCCTGGGTTCAAGCAATTCTCTGCCTCAGCCTCCTAAGTAGCTGGGATTACAGGCACCCACCACCATGCCCACCTAATTTTTTTGTATTTTTAGTAGAGATGGGGTTTCGCCATGTTGGCCAGGCTGGTCTCAAACTCCTGACCTCAGGTGATCCACCAGCCTCGGCCTCCCAAAGTACTAGGATTTCAGGCGTGAGCCACCGCATCTGGCTTTACTTCCTTTTTAAGGCTGAATAATATTCCATTGTATGTGTATACCACATTTTGCTTATCTGTTCTTCTGTTGAAAGATATTTGGGCTGCTTCCAGATTTTAGCTATTGTGAATAATGCTGCTATGAACATGGGTGTACGAATATCTCTCCAAGACCCTGCTTTCAATTCTTTTGGGTATCTACCTAGAAGTGGAATTGCTTGACAATGATACTTTTAACTTTTCAAGGAACCACTATACTATTTTCCACTGTGGTTGTACATTTTCACGTTTCCACCAACAATGGACAAGGGTTCCAGTTTCTCTGCATGCTTGCCAACACTTGTTATTTTCTAGGGTTTTTCTAATGGTAGTAGTCATTCTAATGGATGTGAGGTAGTATCTCATTGTGGTTTTGATTTGTATTTCCTGAATAATTAGTGACGTTGAGCATCTTTTCATGTGCTTATTGGCCATTTGTATATCTTCTTTGGAGAAATGTCTATTCAAGTCCTTTGCCAATTTTGTAATAAGGTTGTTTGGTTTTTTGTTGTCGAGTTTCTGGAGTTCTCTATGTATTCTGAATGTTATTCTCTTATCAGATATATCATTTGGAAGTATTTTCTCCCATTCCGTAGGTTGCTTTTTCATTCTGTTGATAGTGTTCTTTGATGCACAGAAGTTTTTAATTTTGTGAAGTCCAGTTTGTCTATGTTTTCTTGTGTTCCCCAAGTCTTTGGTGTCCTATTCAAGAATGTATTGACAAATTCCATGTTGTAAAGCTTTTGTCCTATGTCTTCTTCTGAGTTTTACAGTTTTAGCTCTTATATTTATATCTTTGATCCATTTTGAGTTGATTTTTGTATATGGCATTAAGTAAGGGTCCAACTACAATATTTTGTAGGTGCAGGCCCAGTTTTCCTAGCACCATTATTTGAAAAGGCTATCCTATCCTATTGAATGGTCTTGGCATCCTTCTCAAAAATAATTTGACCATATATGCAAGGGTTTACTTTTAGGCTCTCTATTCTATTCCATTGTCTATGTCTGTCTTTATGCCAGTATCACAGTTTTGATTACTGTAGCTTTGTAATAAGTTTTGAAATTAGGAAGTGTGAGTCCTCCAACTATGTTTTTTCTTTTTCAAAATTGTTTTGGCTATTTTGAGTCCCTTGAGATTCCATAAAAATTTTAAGATTTTTTCATTTCTACAAAAATGGTTATTGGGATTTTGATAGGAATTATATTAAATTGGTAGATTGCTTTGGGTAGTATTTACATCTTAATAATATGTCTTCCAATCCATAAACATGAGTTGTGTTTCCATTTACTAAGTCTCCTTTAATTTCTTTCAAAGATGCTTTGTAGCTTTCATTGTACAAGTCTTTCAGCTCTTTAGTTAATTCCAAAGTATGTTCTTCTTTCTGATGCCATTGTAAATGAATTTGTTCTCTTACTTTCTTTTTAATGTTGCTTACTGTTAGTGGATAGAAATATTGTTAGTGGTTAGAAATGTGTGTTGACTTTCTATCTAGCTTCTTTGCTGAATTTGTTTATTAATTCTAATGGCATTTCAGGGGACACCTGCATTTTGACCTCGCTGGTTTTTTTGTTTTGTTTTGTTTTGTTTTTTGAGATGGAGTCTCACTCGGTAGCCCAAGCTGAAGTGCGGTGGCGCCATCTTGGCTCACTGCAACCTCAGCCTCAGGGGCTCAAGCGATTCTCGCTCCTCAGCTTCCCGAGTAGCTAGGATTATAGGTGCATGTCACCACGCCCAGCTAATTTTTTGTATTTTAGTAGAGACGGGGTTTCACCATGTTGCCCAAGATGGTCTCAAACTCCTGAGCTCAGGCGATCTGCCTGCCTTGGCCTCCCAAAGTGCTGGGATTACAGGCATGAGCCACCACGCCCAGCCATTGACCTCACTTTTTGCTGGATAAAATCTATTATTTTGGCAACAGGCCCTTTCTCGGTATAATGCTTTTATTTTATGGCCAGTCACAGGGGACTGGCTAGGAAAAAGATTTGGTCCCTGCTCTGAAGGAACTTCCAGCCTGTGGTAGGGACGTAGACGGTTATAGAGAACTTCAACAAATATGGACAAATATGGAGAACAAGGAAGTGTTTTAGGGATATGCAAGTTAACTATGCTTTTTTTTTTTTTTTTGAGACAGAATCTTGTTCTGTTGCCCAGGCTGGAGTGCAGTGGCGCTATCTCGGCTCACTGCAAGCTCCGCCTCCCGGGTTCACGCCATTCTCCTGCCTCAGCCTTCCGAGTAGCTGGGACTACAGGCGCCCACCACCACGCCCAGCTAATTTTTTGTATTTTTAGTAGAGACGGGGTTTCACCATGTTAGCCAGGATTGTCTCGATCTCCTGACCTCGTGATCCGCCCGCCTTGGTCTCCCAAAGTGCTGGGATTACAGGCGTGAGCCACAGCGCCCAGCCGCAAGTGAACTATTCTAAGTTATAAAATGTGTAGGGACAAAGTTGTTTATAACATTTCCTTATTATCCTTTTAATATCTGTAGCATCTATAGCGATGTCATATCTTCTGTTCCTGATGGTTAAATTTAGGATGTGTTTTCTCTCCTTTTTACCTAATCAGTCAGATCAGAGATTTTTCAATTTTATTGATTTTCTCAAGAATCAGCTTTTGGCTCCATTGTTATTGTTTCTCTGTCTCTCTCTCTCTCTCTTTTTTTTTTTTTTTTTCTGGGATGGAGTCTCGCTCTGTCGCCTAGGCTGGAGTGCAGTGGCATGATCTCAGCTCACTGCATCTCCTCCTCTCAGGTTCAAGCAATTCTCCTGCCTCAGCCTCCAGAGTAGTTAGGATTACAGGCGCATGCCACCACGCCCGGCTAATTTTTGTATTTTTAGTAGAGATGGGGTTTCACCATGTTGGCCAGGCTGGTCTCAAACTCCTGACCTCAAGTGATTCACCCACCTTGGCCTCCCAAAGTGCTGGGATTACAGGTGTGAACCACCATGCCCAACCAATATTGTTGTTTTTCTGTTGTATTTGTTTTCTATTTTTTCCTTTTGACTATAATCTTTATCATTTCCTTTATTCTAATAACTTTAGATTTATTTGATCTTCTTTTTCCTAGTTTCTTAAAATGGAAACTAAGGTCATTATCTGAGACCTTTCTCCTTTTATATAGTATAGGCTTTTAGTTCTATAAGCTCCTGATGGGTACAATTTGTGTTTGTTTTGTTCACTGATAAGACCCTGAAGCTTACATTGGTGCCTAGTAAGTACTAAACAAATATTTGTCAGGTGAATGAATTGATGCCTCCCTCTACCCAAAACTCTTTGAACGGTTCCCATCTGACTCTAGATAAAGCCAGTTCCTTACATAATCTTCATGGCCGTACACAATCAGGCCCTTGCTACTCTGTCCTCTTTTCTTGTTGTCTTTCCCTTAGCCTCACTGGCTGTCCATCAAACATGCCAGGCAGGATCTGAACTCGTGGCCTTTACATTTACTGTTCTGCCTAGAACACTCTCTCTCTTCCCTTCCCTGCATCCCCCAAACAAGAGAGTGACGTGGCTTACTCCTTCACTTCTTTCAGGTACTTGCTGAAAGTCACATCAGAGTCTTTCCAGATAACCCTCTACTCACTTCCCATCCTCTTGCCCTATTACCACCCACTTCCCACTTTATTTGTCTCCATAGCACTTCATAGTTTTCATCACCTTCTAAAGCACTCTTTCGCCTATTTTTTTTGTGTCCTGGCAAGAATGTGAACTCCTTGGAAGTACAAAGGTAGTACCTTTTTTCTTTTCCTCTTCCCCTCTTCTCTTTCCTCTTTCTTCTGCTCCCCACCCTCCTCCTCCTTCTTCTTTTTTCTCTCTCTCTCTCTTTCTCTCTCTCTCTCTCTCCCCTCTCTCTTTTCCTGCTATATCCCCAGGCCTTGAGCAGCATCCAGCTCATAGCAGGTGCTCAATATATATTTAACAAATTCATAACTTACAAAAAGATTGCTGTGGTTGTCATGTGGAGAATGGATTGCAGGGGAGCAAAAATGCTCACATGAAGACCAATAACAAGGCAACTTCAGTATTCCAGGAAGTAGATGATAATGGCTTGTGCTAGAGAAGTGGCAATGGTGGTGAAGAGAAGTAAATTACTTCAGTATACAGTTTGGAGATTAAATCAATAGGACAAGCTGATCCAAAAGACAAGGTGGTGAAAAAAATCAGGGTAAAAGAGTAACTCCCAGGATTTTGGCTTAACCAAGCCAATTGTTGATGGTGTCATTTATTGAGATGGTAACATCTCAGAGAGGAGTAGATTGGGGGATTCAGTTTTGAATGGTTATGTTTATGATGTTAATGAGTAAAACTAGGCAGTTGAATTATAGAGATCTGGAATTCAGAGATATATTTTTGGTGGGTTTTAGAACATAGGTGAGATTTCAAGCCAAGAGCATGAATAAAATCACTTAGAGAGAACATATGGAGAAAACAGAAGAGAAGAAGAGAGGAGAGAAAGGAATAGGATCAGAGAAGAGAGGGAAAAAGGGGAGATAAAGGGAAGGGGAAGAAAATATTAAAGAAGAGAAGAGAGAAGAGGAAAAGAGAGGTAACAGAAGAGATAGAAGAGGAGTGGAGAGGAATGGAGCACTTAGGGCCAAATTCTGAAGAATGCCGACATTTAAAGACAGAAAGAGGTGGAAAAGAGACATATGAGGAAGCCAGGAAAGGAAAGTGGGGAAGGAGGGTGAGGCCAACCATGTTTACTGAGGCTGAGAGTTTCAGTAAGGGACAAAAAATGTGTATTTTGGCTTTTCCTAAATGGAGGTCAACGACCTTGACTAGAGCAATTTCAATTAGATGGAGGGTAGCAGCTAGAGTGTAACAGGCTTGAAGAGTAAATGGAATGAGAAAAAGTGGAGAGAGCATGTGTAGATAAGGGTTTCTAGAAGCTGGCCTGTATGGGAAAGAAGCAGTAAGAGAGAAAAGGCCTCTCTTACCTAGGACAGCACTGGCCTCTGCAGCTGGGCTGAAGTGGGAATTGTAGGTGCTACACCTGGGTACAGAGGTACACACATGAAGATGTGCTGCCCAGATCTTCCTCCAGAGAAGCACTTGCTGTGCAGCTGTGGGGAATGTAGTCAGCAGACAACCTTTAGCTGTCAGCTCCTTCAGAGTCTGCCTCAACTGCAGAGAGCTGCCTTGTCCGAGATCATAGCCTTTCCACTGCCTCCTGTATCTGGTGACCTGGATATTGAAAGAGCTGGCCTCTTCAGCCCAATGCTGGGCACTCTGCCCAAGGAAACTTGCTCCAAAGCTTTCTGCCAGGTTGGCTGAGGCTTTGTTGGGCCTCATCTTCCGCTACCCAATTCTGTTGATCCCCCTTCCCTTCAGAGATGTTGGTCCCTAATATAACATCTTGTACCCCCAAATCAAAATTCAACTCACAAGAGAAGTCCAGCTACCCAAAAATAGCATAGAAGAGATGTGACATCACCATTGCTTATGTACAAAATGCTTTGGGATGTTTCTTAACACTGAAGGGGTTAGGTGGTTGTGCCCACCAGAAAGGCCAAAGTTTTTGGGATACCAAGGGAGAACCAGAAATAAGGAAGAGCCAAGTCTTCTTTGCTCCATAATGGTCAGACCAGCTGCACCCAAAACATCATGTTCAGTTTGGAAGCCATGTTTGAAGAGACCCGTAAACATCATCAAATGCTGAGTCCTGAACAGAGAAACTAGGACTACAAAAGGACTGCAGTTCTTTTCTCATTTTTTTCCTCAGCTACCAGTCTCTCCATGTTTTCTACTTTTTGAGAACAACACAGCTGTTATGCACTGAGCTCTTGCACTGTGCACGGTGATGATGAAATGTTTGTCTGCATAACACATACAGAAGTTCCATAAGAGAGGCGCTGTTAACCCCATTGCCCCTCCTACACAAACAGGCCTGAGACAAGCCAGAGAACTTCATCAAGGTCATACAACTAGCAAGTGGCAGAGCAGGGATTTGAACGCAAGCCCTTCTGACTCCAAAGTTGTACTCCATACTCCTGCCTTTTCTCATTATATAAGTTGAGTATCCCTTATCCAAAATACTTGGAATCAGCAATGTTATGGATTTCATATTTTGGAATATATGCATATACATAATGAGATATCTTGGGGATGAGACCCAAGTCTAAACACAAAATTCATTTATGTTTCATATACACCTTATATACATATTCCAAGGTTAATTTTATATGATATTTTAAATAATTTTGTGTATGAAATAAAGTTTGCATACATTGAGCCATTAGAAAGCACAGGTGTCACTATCTCAGTCACCCATGTGGACAAACCAAACATGGTTGTTTGGCATCATCATCATTCCTGACTCTAACTGTGGATGCTACCAATAAGCAATCATTTTCCTATACTTATTTACACATAAGTACTTAAACAGTAAAAAAAGATACATTATTAATACAATGAAAAAATAATGTGTCTGGGTAAATAAGCAGCACAGGAGCATCACCAGAATACCTGTATCAGCTGTCAGACAACAGCAGCAACAAACAACAGGCTTTCAGCTACAATGCTGTGTTTTGATTAAAAGGTCATTGAACGCTGTATTTTTTTTTTTTTAGGTGAGGAGAAACATCCAAAGCAGTGGGGGACCAGGAGGTGGGTCCCTTAGGATGAGGAGGCATTCTGAATAAACTGTGTGTTGTGCACCTGCATTTTGGCTATGACCTGTCACATGAGGTCAGGTGTAGAATTTTTCACTTTTGGCATCATGTCAGTGTTCTGAAAGTTTTGGATTTTGGAGCATTTCAGACTTTGGATTTTGAGGTTAGTGGTGCTCAACCTATACTAAGCAGATGGCTACAGTAAGGCTGTTCTGAAGCTTGGGGATGTCTTCACCTCTTAAGAGGAAGAATCCTAATGGGTGAGGGTAAACCACCCAAGGAGCCGATGTGGGTGTGTAGCCCAGAAACACAGAGCTGAACAGGCTCAGGAAGCCCCCAGGTCCACTGAAGGTGCTGAAACAGTGTCACTGGGACTGGGATGAAACTATAGCTGGGTGCTAACTAACTAAGGGGCAACCTTTACAGTTGAAGATGTGTCAACAGGAGAATGGCCTGCCAGGGTCCAGGAAAAGGGACTTGGCAAAGCGAGAACTTAGGTCTATCCCCAGTACTGCCCATATAGGTTGTGTGAGAGCAAACCTGCAGCTGGAGCCACAGGTAACAGGGCCCTGTGCAGTTATAACCAGGAACCTCTGTTTTAAAAATCACCCATTTCCTTTTCTTCCTTCCCTTCCCTCTTACCCCTTCATTCCTTCCCTCTCTAGACAATCCCCTCACCAGTGCATGCTTATCTAATTATGCTCTTACCTAAGAAATCCCAGAGGCTAATATTGAAACAATCCAGGTGCCCCACTCCTCCCACTTAGGGGGAGTTGTGAACAATTGAGCCAAAATCAAGCTAATACCAACCAGACCTCCTGATGAGCAATTAACCAAGAGAGCCAACGGAACAAGACACACAAGTCCAGTACCCTGTACCACTCCCACATGTCCCCTATACCACATATCCCTTTAAAAACTCTATGGTAAGTTATAAAATGTAAGATGATACTTTAGAATGCTAGCTTGCCATCTTCTGGGTTTGCTGGCTCTGCTTTTCCTCCCAGAACCCCTTGCCTCTGGCTTTGCAGCAGCAAGCAGCTGAACCTGGGTCCGGTTACACAGCCGTGTCCTTGGGGTGCAGAAGAGGCACCAGGCTCCTGATACCAGCCCCAGCTCTGATTCAGTGCTCTTGGTGCTGTAGTTCAACTTGTCTACACTGTCCTATGCATAGAGCCAGGCTGGTGAGCCTTCAGGAATGTCCTGGGATCCTCGGCAGTCCCGTTTTTCCTGGTAAAGAAGGACTGCACATCACTGTGCAAAGGGCCTCTGCCATATCTCATCCTCCCTCCCCTCCTAAGTGAGAAAACCTGGCTGAAGAGCAGAAGCTTGCTCTCCAGAGTAGCCATGCCTGGAGCCCTCACACCTCTGCCCTTCCCTAACTAGCCTGGGCACCTGGGGTGGAGGTGGTGACAGGTGGGTGGGGGAAGCGTGTCAAAATAGAGTTTTTGTCTCTGCAAGGCCAAGGACTGGGTCTGGCCCAGGCACTTTCATCTGATGAGGCCCAGCTATTAGCAGATTGTTGATACTTTTTATTCCAAATGTAAGATTTCAATTCTACATATGTACAAGAATGTAATTTGCTTCATTGATGTTTTCAAACATGATGACATAAAATTGCTCAAAGTATGCCTTTATATTTTTATACCTTACTTATATTTTATTTCTTTTTAACTCACCCAGCCCCCACTCCCCATTAGATTTGCCAGAGGTTTTCATGGTCTTTTCAAAGAATAGACATGCTTACTGTTCAATATAGGCAAAACCAGGCCACAGCTCATCCTGCCAGGAGAATCCACACCTACAGAGGGATGCCGCACTCCAGCAGCCCTATAGGAAATTTCTTTCAAGAAACTTGCTTCACACCCGTGGCCAGAGTGCTATGAAGAGAGGTCCTCTCTGGTTACGTTCAGTGCAGCAGTTGAAAGAGGAAAAGGGAGTATGTTTTTATGGAAACCTCAAATGCCCTTCCACATCTCCTGTGAATTACCTCTGTGTTCAGGCAGCCGAGCTAGACAGCTGCGAGGAGAGGCGTGTGGTTTTGATGGGGGCCTTGGAAAGAAAAGGCCCCTTGTACCCTGGCCAGCGCATGTAGGTGGTGTGACCTGGGAGGACAGCGGAGCCAGGAGCTCCGCAGCTGTGTCAGAAGCCAGGCTCCCAGCGGCAATGTTCCAGGGAGCCAAAGGGGGAGCCAGAGAGCCGGGAGGCTCCAGCCTGGTCCAGAGAGAAAGAGACAGCACCTGCCCAAGGCGGTAAGCAAGGATCAGGGAATATGGGGGAGAATTCTGGACGGTGGCGAGCCCCCTGCCTTTCCCTTCCTCTCTCCTTCCTTCCTTCCTTTGTTCCTCCCTTCTTTCTTTCTTTCTTCTAAGAACAGAGAGGAAAATTTTCTTTTCTTTTTCCTTTGAGACTCGGTCTCACTCTGTTGCCCAGCCTGGAGTGCAGTGGTTTGATCATGGCTCACTGTAGCCTGAGCTTAACTGATCCTCCTGCCTCAGCCTCCTGAGTAGCTGGGACCACAGGTGTGTGCCACCACATCCAGCTAATTTTTAAAAATTCTTTGTGAAGGTGAGGTCTCCCTATGTTGCCGAGGCTGGTCTCGAACTCCTGGGCTCAAGGGATCCTCCCGCCCCAGCCTCCCAAAGTGCTGGGACTACAGGTTACAGGCATGAGCCACTGCACCTGGCCCCAGATTATTCTTATGTACAGCAGGGTTGATGCAATGTACAATGTTTTTCAACTGTGTTTGACCAAGAATCAGAGCAAACCAGACTATGAGATACAGTCTTCATTATATACCCCCAGACTATGTTTATAAACCTAAAACAAAAATTACATGAAACTATACTTTTATGTGTGAGACACTTTGATATATTCTACTGTCTTCTGTTCTATTCTAAAAAAGAATGTTGGTTGTGGCTCACTAAAGTGATTCCCTGTCATATTCACAGATTGTGTCCTGCAGTCTGAAAAACACTGACATAGTAAAGCTCAACAAATGTTTGGTGAGTAAATGAATGATCGAACAAATAAATGAATACTTCAATCTCAACACCAGTAAAACAGAGGGGCTGCACTAGATAATTTCTTAGATCTCTTCATTAAAAATACTGAGGTCGATGCCTTTGTTTTTAAATTTCCAACAGCTTCATCATGCCCCTGGGCTCTGGTAAGCCTCAGTTCAAGGGATTCCCACTGATACAAGAGATCAGAGGGTTCTTTTTCAATGTGTTTATTACGTAAAGATAAGCAGTATCTTCCCTTCTAACCTCCCCAGACCTTCTATCCCTGAGCCCAGAAGGACCAGTAAAGTCAGAACGTAAACCTAAGGTATAGAAGATTCCCAGAAGTCTCATTTGTGGTGTTCTTCCTCAGTTTTCTACAAGGTCCCAAGGCTGAGGTGGAATGTGGAGGAGTGGAGGCCTGAAGTCTCTGTGGCCTTGAAAGATGTGGTAGTCAGTGTGGGCCAAGATAATATGCTGCTATGTCAGTAGACAATTTGAATCTTCAGCCTCTTGTACCCTGAGGGTTCCATGAACCCATCCAACTGCTTGCAGTGAAGCCCAACCCACTGCTTGCAGCTTATGCTCCCTCGGCCTGGGCCAGAGGCTTCCAGGGTCATCTGGCAGGGTCACTATAGTGCAATGTAGGTCTTGAGAAGCTTGGAAAGGGCTGGTCTTCTGGTGAGCTCCAGAAGTGGCTCCAGAGACCACTGCCTCAGTAGGACCTGGTTATACTGAGTAAGGGCTTCAGAAAGTTTGAGGAAAAGGTTCCAGTGGAGACCAGAGGTGGGTTCTCTGGGTTCTCTGCTGTTTAGACAGGAGGTAGAGGTGCCTTCCTACCCCATATTATATTGTTAGCTAATACTGATTGGGCACTTGTCCATCCCTTGTACTCTGCAAAGCACATCATCTCATTTAAACCCCACAACAACTCTGTAAGCTAGATATTAAATATTATTATTAGCCATAATTTACAGACAAAGAAACTGGGGCACAGAAAGGTTAAGCAACTTGCTCACAGTCATGCAGGGTGTAGAAATAGGATTTACCCAAGTAGCCTGATGTCAGAGCCTGTATGCTCCATCACTACACTGTGCAGTCTTCACTGGGGCAGGTGGTGTTGAGTTAGTGAAGAGAAGGCATTCTACCTGGCACTGTTCTGCAGGGGGTGCCAGGAAGTACTGACATGTGATGTCATTGCCTTATAATGTCATCCCATCCAGAGCACAAACCTTCCACTCTGTCACTGATTGCCACGTGTGCCAAGTGTAGCACGCGATGACAGACCCAGGTTTATGACATCACTGCTCTAGGAACGTTATTGGCCTCAAAAAAGGCTGCTTGGTCAGTCTCTCAGTGGGAATGTTTGGGGCTAGGAGACCAGAATCAGAGAATGGCACCCTTCTGGAAGCAGAGTAATTAAGGGCTAGCATTCTGGAAGAACAGGGATGGAGCAAAGGTATCAGCAAGCTCCCAATAGCTCTAGGATAAAAATAATAAGGCTTATAATTTATTGAAAAATGACTATACAGCTAACACTAGACCAAATGCTTTTAAAATGTGGTTTCAGATTATTTTACAACCCTATCATGAAATTATTCTTATTCCCATTTTATGGGTGAGGAGCATGAGGCTCAAAGAAGTTAAGTAAATGGACCAAGATCATCAAACAAACAGAAATGGGATTAAAGCCAGGCCTTTCTGACTCAAGGTTGTGTACTGAGTTCCTGTCCAATTCTGCTTTCTGCATGTGTATTCATACTCAGCAAAGTTTGATGCCTGCATGAAAAACAATATTTAAAGTCTCCACCATGTATTGGCCACTTAACTGCCTCTATCACTCCTCCTCAAGGATGATGAAGGGCTGGGGCAAGAAGAAGATTAGATAGTATACCTCACCAACCATTCACACTGTTTGGAAGCAGCTCAGGCAGATTGCTGTGATGACAGCTGGCAGCAGAGCATGGGGAAGAACATAGGCCAGTGTGGCTCATGTTCCACCACGTCACTCCACTCCACCCATCCAGTCCATGTCATTGATAGGCACAAATGAGCTCCTGCACCATGCCCATCAAATGCCCTTCTCTCTCCCAGATGCCTTGTGTTACTCCTTCAGTCTCTGCTTTTTCCTCTTCCCAGACAGGCGGGCAGACCCTTGTTTTCACTACTGCCAGTCAGCAGCTCAGAGGAATTGCCAGATTTTAGAGGCAGACTTGCAAATAATAACCAATACATAAAAGAACACCTACTTTGTTTCCATGCTTAAGGAACTGGGCAGAATGACACAGATTTCAGAAGTTCCTAAAAGCAGGAAAAGGATGTGGCCTTAGGGAAAGGGCCTTCCGCTCTCCATTTCTAGTGGTCCTTACAGTGAGTGTTGGAAAGATTAAATGAGACAGTAAATGTGCTTGTGCTGTCAAAAGGGAAACACACCCAGGAAACAAAAGGGATTCCTGTCCCTTGGAGTCTGAGCAATAGGTTGACCAGTGGGATAGGCAAGACCTGGGATTCAGATCTGAGGCCTGATCTGCACCCACTATGTGCCACTCATTAGGATAGTGAAGTCTCACATAGATAAAGGCACATGGCACTTCCAAACAGCGTTCTTAAGATGGCTTGGAGGATGTATCAGGGTAGGTGACTCAGGGAGATAAGGGGCTTGTGTACACCTTGTCTCTTGATGTAGCCTCCAGGCCAGTCCTGGTCCCATTCACCACTAGGTGGACTATCCCATACCAGTGAGATGGCAACACCAGTGTGTCTTGAAAACCAAGGAGGACTCACGTGGACAATTTAACGTGGAAGTCCCAAGGTGTCTGCTAATTACTCGGTTGTTACGGTTTCTAGAAATAAAGCATGATGGAAAACAGGCTGTCCAGGCTGAATGAGGAATAGGTGATGAGACTGTGCAGGCACTTAGTGGGAACCATCTCTCTGGGCAGCAAGGCTGAGGGAGAAGAATGCCTTCTGGGGGAATGACTATAGTGACCACAGATACACAGGTCACATAGCCTTGGGGAGGAGGGACTAAGACTTTCCAGGAGGAAATAAGGGTAGAGTCAAGCAAAGGCCAAGCATGCAGGCTCTGAGGGACAGTGTTTGGGAATCTAATGTGGTAGTGGTTAAGAGTGCAGACTCTGATACCTTGGCTCAAATTGCAGCTCCACTATGTAGGAACTGTGTGGCTGTGGCCCTTAAGCTGCCTATGGCTCTGTATCCTCCATCTGTAAATGCAGGTAACACTAGTAGTAGCTGCTTCGTTAGGATGTGATGAAGATTAATTGGGGCATTGTGTGTGGCATGCTAGCATAGTGTTAGCACTAGTAACTGCTCAATAAATGTACCATTGCTGTGAGGCTGGGAATGGGAGGGACATACACACACACACTCATCCCAGCTCCAACTTTCATCTCCACAGGCTCCTTCACAATCAGTGAAGAATTAGGTACTTTCTTGCCAAAGATAGCTGAAGCTCAAAGCCCGTACCATATGGACACTTGGGATATTTTGAGCAACCATGTTGGGATGCGGGCTAGTGGCAGCACCAACTGATAACGTGGCTATGGGAGCTATTTTAAGTGTTCACCTACTCTCCCCATCCCATGCTCTCCCCAAATGCCAATGGTTCTCAACATTTTTTGGATCATGGCCCCTTCAAGAAATGGATGGCTACCAAGGATCCTCTTGTCAGAACAGCACATGTCCCCATATCTGCCACATTCTGCACTTTATTTCAGAGGCTCTATGGACTTCAGAATTTGAACCCTATTCCAGATATTCAGACTCAGAGACCTAGAGGTATGTCTCTGCTGCCTGCCTCTTTCCTCTGAAACCATGCCTTAAAAACACCAAGGGGACATTGAAACCTGCTTTTCTGGATCACATTCTGAAAACTGCTGTTCAGAAGAGTTGCAGCTTCAACAGGGCCACAGGGATATAAAAGCAGCCCTGGAATGATGTCTTCCCTAAAAACAACAAAATCATCAATAATGAATAGGAAGAACCAATATTGTGAAAATGGCCATACTGCCCAAAGCAATTTATAGATTCAGTGCTATTCCCATTAAACTACCACTGACATTCTTCACAGAATTAGAAAAAACTATTTTAAAATTCATATAGAACCAAACAAGAGCTTGTAGAGCCAAGACAATCCTAAGCAAAAATAACAAAGCTAGAGGCATCATGCTACCCAACTTCAAACTATACTACAAGGCTACAGTAACCAAAACAGCATGGTATGCTACAAAAACAGGCACATAGACCAATGAAACAGAAAGAGAACTTAGAAATAAAACCACACATCTACAACCATCTGATCTTCCGAAAACCTGACAAAAACAAGCAATGGGGAAGGGATTCCCTATTTAATAAATGGTGCCAGGAGAACTGGCTAGCCATATGCACAAAATTGAAACTGGCCCCTTCCTTACACCTTACACAAAAATTAACACTAGATGAATTAAAGACTTAAACGTAAAACCAAAAACTATAAAAACCCTAGAAGAAAATCTAGGCAATAACATTCAGGACATAGGCATAGGAAAAGATTTTATGAAATTGCCAAAAGCAATTGCAACAAAAGCAAAAATTGACAAATGGGATCGAATTAAACTAATGAGCTTCTGCACAGCAAAAGAAACTATCATCAGAGTGAACAGACAACCTATAGAATGGGAGAAAATGTTTTCAATCTATCCATCTGACAAAGGTCTAATATCCAGAATCTACAAGGAACTTAAGCAAATTTACGAAACCCCCCACAAACAACCCCATTAAAAAGTGGGCAAAGAATGTGAATAGACACTTCTCAAAAGAAGACATACATGCAGCCAACAAATACATGAAAAAAGAGCTCAACATTACTGATCATTAGAGAAATGCAAATTAAAACCACAATGAGATACCATCTCATGCCAGTCAGAATGGCGATTATCAAAAAGTCAAGAAACAACAGATGCTGGCGAGGTTGCGAAGAAATAGCAACGTTTTTACGCTGTTGGTGGGAATGTAAATTAGTTCAACCATTGTGGAAGACAGTATAGCGATTCCTCAAAGATTTAGAACCAGAAATACCATTTGATCCACAATCCCATTACTGGGAATATACCCAAAGGAATATAAATAATTCTATTATAAAGATACATGCATGCATATGTTCAATGCCGCACTATTCACAATAGCAGACTTGGAATCAACCCAAATGCCCATCAATGATAGACTGGATAAAGAAAATGTGGTATATATACACCATGGAATACCATGCAGCCATAAAAAGGAACAGGATCATATCCTTTGCAGGGACAGGGATGGAGCTGGAGGCATTATCCTCAGCAAACTGGCAAAGGAACAGAAAACCAAACACCGCATGTTCTCACTTATAAATGGGAGCTGAACAGTGAGAACACATGGACACAGGGAGGGGAACAACACATATTGGGGCCAGTTGGGGGAGTGCGGGGTGGAGAGAGCATCAGGAAAAATAGCTAATGCATGCCGGGCTTAATACCTAGGTGAAGGAAGGGTTGATAGGTGCAGCAAACCAGCATGGCACATGTTTACCTATGTAACAAACCTGCATATCCTGCACATGTATCCCGGAACTTAAAATTTTTAAAAATCGTCAATAATAACAATGAAAGCAGCTAACGTTTTTGGGTACTTGCTATGTTCCAAACACCGAACTAAGCTCCTTACATGCATTATCTCATTTAATACTCCCCAAACTTCCATGATGGCAATAGTATCCTGGTCCCTGTTTTGCAGATGAGACACTAAGGCACACAGAGGTTAAATAACTTGCCCAAGATCACACAGCTAGTAAGTAGTAAGATTCAAACCCAGACCCAGACCGTGCTGTCAATCAGTATACTTTGTGACCACCTAGTGACATCACAGGAACCACACTTCCATCACCTATTTTAATGCCCTGAATGTTCATCCTAATAAATGCACATTAGACTTGAGTGGGTAAAAATTCTGAATGTACTGAGTCTTCTACCTTGGGCCAATCCTTCTCTTCAAAATGAACCTGCATGGGAATCAATGCTGAAAGTGGAAAGAGACCCCAGACAGGCCTGGCATCTGTATGCATAAGACAGAAAACCATCTCCCTGCACCCCTACTCCCAGTTAAAAGGCTGTGGGCATCTTTGAGCCAATGAATGGGCTGCTACAAAGAATTCTGGGAATCCCAACCCCTCACAGTTCTGCAACTCACAGTCCTGCAAAAGGTGGGTACTAGAATAGGGAGGTGGGCATATAGGCCAAATACTCTGTTCTGCCTTCCAGGAGGGAAAAAGCATGCTACCCAGGAAGCTCACAAGTGACATGTGGCCCATGGGCATACCAGGGCTAAAGTGAAGGATGGACTGCTCTGTGGAAGGAAGGAGTGAAAGTGAACAAGAGGCATAGGGCCACCTGCAGGAAGACTGAGAGGAGGGAAGGAGGAAGGCTGGCTTTGGCAGGGAGGGGAGGCAGGAGCAGAGGGAGCCAGAGGATCGGTTCAGGCAGTGAGAGAGGGCAGCCCCACTCTATTTCCCAGGCTGCTCTCTGGATGCAGGCAGGAAGGTTGAGTGTATTACACTGGCCCCACCTCCAGAGGCTCTCTCTGCAGCCGCTGGACTGGACACAAAGCGTGAGAGACAGAGACACCATCTCTGCTGATTTGTACCTAACTGGTTCCTGTTGCTGAGAGCCCACGTGTCACAGAAGCCAGGGCAGAGGCCCCACACTGCTGTCTGCATTTCCCAGGTAAGCAACCGTCTGTGTGTGAGCCAGGAGTGGAGAGCAAGGCCTGAAGGCGGTGAGCAGAGAAGAAAGTAGGAGGCGGCTGCCTAGGATGGACTTCAGTACAATCTGGAAAGAATGAAGGAAAGAAGAGGGGTATGGGCTGGGGTTGCAACAAGCCCTTAGGGTAGGCTTCTGCAGAGTGTTGATGGATGTATGAGGTTGGGGAGTCAAAGGCTGCATTTGGTCCACTCTTGGCTGGCAAGTGCAGAGGAAGTTCCAGCAAAGGACTGCTCTGACAGCCTCTGGGGACTAGCACATCTGGGGAGCAGAGAGGCCCGCCATACCATGGCATCAGTGTTCCTCTTTCAGACCAGGTATATTTGTGCAGACTTTGCCAGAAAATCCCTCCCTGTGCCCCTGCCTGCCTCCAGGTCTTCCTGGTGGTCGAGAGCATGCGTGTGGCAGCGACAGGAGGAAGAAAGCAGGACATATTCACTGGGGATATGGCTTCAGATGGAGGAGGGATACCTCATCTGAAAAGAGAGTCTCCTGACGGGCTCTGGAGAGGAGATTGGTTAGCTAGTGGAGGGCTGTGTGCCACCCTAAGGAGGCTCCCCTGTGGCCCAGAGGAAAAGAATGACACACAGACTGTGGAAAATGGGGTATTTGTGCTGGAGGTGGGGTGGGGAGCGGGTAAAGTCAGTGATCTGTGAACAGTGCCACAGAAACAGGCAGTATGTTGTCGTAAAGAGGGAAAGAGACCTAAGACATGTGTTTCATACAAATCCAGCATCCCTTTGCTGTCCCTGCTGGGGGACCTACAGCCCCGGATCAAGCCTGCTGGTCTGAGCAAGTTCTATGAGGTTGGCTAGTGGTATGTCCCCTCTATGAACTACACATTCACTCCCTAAGATCCACTATGCTGAAAATATGTCAGATCTGGGCTCCTGTCAAAAGGCATGCCAGCTACCCTCTGCCATGTGATGGGTGAGGGAAGCAGTGAGAGAAGAGGAGTGGTCCCTGGGCTTTAGGGCACAAAGAGACGTGAGATGCTGAATTCCAGTCACAACTGCAATGTGTCCTCCCTCCATCCATGGCTTCTGTATCCAGAGCAGAAAGTGAGGATTCCTCCATACTGCTCCCTCTTCATACACACAGGGTAACTGGGCTCATGATCAGGCAGAAACCAGGGAAGAACAGTTTAATGAGATGGGGATAGGGTTAACTGTACCAGCCAAATACAAAGATCACTCCTTTTATCCAGTCTGAGATGGCAGTGAAAGGTGGGCAGAGGTAGAGAGAAGGAGCTTTCAGAAGGTAAATACTCAGTGACTAATACTCTTGAGCACCACAGGCAGTGGCCTCTGCAACATGGGTCCTGGCTCTGATGGGCAGCCACTGGCCTCTCTCTTTGGCGGAGGGCAATCTGGGTCAATGAAAGCAGGGAGGAGCCCAGCAGTGAGGCCCTGTAGCCAAGGTTCCTTGGCCCAGAAAACACAAGGGGCTTTGATGCCTGCAGAAAGCCACGGCTTTTCACCCCAGGATGCTGCAGCTGCTCTTGGGCAGAGCCCAGCCCCAGAGCAGGCTTCAGTCTGAAGGCCACAGCTGGGAGGCAGGACCATTTGGGGCTTAATGGCCTTAAAATTAGAGAGAAACCCCACTGCTGCTGTCTATGAGCTGTGTGGCCTTGGGCAGGTAAGTAACCTCAATAAAGCTCAGTTTCCTGGTCTGTAAAATTGAAAGAATAATATAGTAATAATAGCATCTATCTTTTTTTTTTTTTTTGAGATGTAGTCTCGCTCTGTCACCCAGGCTGGAGTGCAGTGGCGCGATCTCAGCTCACTGCAAGCTCCGCCACCATGCCCAGCTAATTTTTTTGTATTTTTAGTAGAGACGGGGTTTCACCGTGTTAGCCAGAATGGTCTCAATCTCTTGACCTCATCATCCGTCTGCCTCGGCCTCCCAATAGCATCTATCTTAAAGTTTGCTGAGAGGAATAAATGAAATTATGTTTGTGAAGCACTCAGCATAGTGGCTGGCTCATAACGTGTGCCCAGAAAAATGAGAGTTTTAATACCCCCTCTGGGATTCTCAGAAGTTTCTCTCCAGACTAAAGCAGATTTAGCCCTCTGGTCAACAGTTGTCCCCCTGGAGAGGCCCTCAGTACCCTGCCTCTCTAGTAACTCCTTTAAAATCTGTCACTCATCCAATCCTTGTTAACCAATCCTCCAGCAGGCTTTCTCCATGTCTTCAAGCTAAAATAAAATAAGTTTGAAAATAAAACCCAAATGGCTCTCATGTCTCATGCATTATGTTTGAAATCCTACATCTGGCTTCTTGAGTCAGGAGATGTGTACCCCAGTGGACATCTGTGGTATGCCAGGGGATCAATATGGCACACTTGGGGGAAGATTAAACATTTAAACCCAGGTAACTTTAATACTATTTTCTATAAAACAAATGCGACTGGCAGGGCACAGTGGCTCATGCCTGTAATCCCAGCACTTCGGGAGGCCGAGGCAGGTGGATCACAAGGTCAGGAGTTCAAGACCAGCCTGGCCAAGATGGTGAAACCCTGTATCTACTAAAAATACAAAAATTAGCCGGGCATGGTGGTGGGCACCTGTAATCCCAGCTACTCAAGAGGCTGAGGCAGAGAATCACTTGAACCGGGAGGCAGAGGTTGCAGTGAGCCAAGATCGCGCCACTGCACTCCAGCCTGGGTGACAGAGCGAGACTCCGACTCAATTAAAAACAAAAACAAAAATGAGACATAAAATGTAAACTCTCCTGAATGTTTATGATGAAGCAAAATTTCAAAGACAGGTCAAGCTCTCAGTGGGCATCCTCTGCCCCCGGGTGCTTATGGGTAGCCTTCCTGGCAGTTAGGAGTTCCTCAGAAGTTACAAGGGCCTGAGAAGCCCCGCTTAATCAGTGAGGGGCAACTGGTGCCTTCCTGACTCACCCTCATTCTCCCAAGGGCTGCTCCTTATCTTTGGAAGAGGTGGCCTACACAGCCCAGGGCCTGAGAGGTAACCCTAGCTGACACCATCATGGGATGGCAGACTTCCATTCCTGGCAGGGACAGCAAAAGCCAGCCTGGTTTCCAGCTTCCTGAGTGGGGGACACTGTAAGAGTGTCTTAGGAGGACCACAGCTTGGTTCCTACCCTCTCATCGAGTTGTCCCCCATGCTGACAAAGGACACATTTGGTTAGTGGTTGGGGATGAGCACCCTAGACAGGACAAGGCACAGCTGGCACCCAGCAAATGCCCCACCCTGGCTATTCCTGACAGCATGGTCTCCTGGGGCTTATAGCAAGTGGGATCTCCAGAGGGAATAGGATGACTGGAATTTTCAGCAGAGCCAGGCCTCTGTCCTCAGTGAGGCTCAACAATATGCCTGACATGGAGACCAGTTGGAAACAGAGCTATAGTGGGAACCTCAGTCCCTCTGCTCATGAAAGTGATTAAGTACATTCTTTGTGATTTTCTCTTCGTACTTTTCTTTTTGCAGGTATCCTGAGCCAAGCAGGATACTCCTCCTCAGAGGAGTAGGCAATAGAAGCGCCTGAACATCATGGCACAAGTGGACTCCCAGGACAGGTGGGGAGAGGCGTCTCCTCTCAGCAGCTTGACTGAGGAAGCTCATGACACCCAGATGCTGAGCATGAACTTAGAGAGTGACGATGAAGATGGTGGGGAGGCCGAAAAAGAGGGCACCGCTGACCCGGTGGCCTGTCCAAGGGGCAGCTCCCCAGTAACACACGAAAATCCTGACTTGCCATGGCCCCATCCACTGGGCAAAGAGGAAGAGAAATTCTCTGACTCCTCCAGTGCTGGGGGCATGGGGCAGAAACCAGTGGAAATGTCTGGGAAAGCCAGTTGGAGCAGAGATGTGACAAAGATCAACGAGACCCAGGGTTCCCCGGGAGCAAGCAGAGCTCTGGGTTCCCTTCCCAGTGGTCTCGCACACAAATTGTTAGGTCAGATGCAACCTCTTGGGGACCGACTACCTGCGGGTGATGATGGATACTCGGGGGCAAACCAGGACGCAGTCTTGGATGTCCCACCCAGCTTCCCCAGCAATGGAAAGTATCTCTGTGCGCACAAAAGTGTAGACACGTCCGCAGGGAACTCTTCTCTGTTGTGTTTCCCCAGGCCGGGGAGCAACTGGGACCTTCCCACGCAAGAGACACATACACCAGCCCAGGCGTCGGCCACCCCAGCCAGCCTGGCTGCCGCGGTCCTGGCAAAAGCGCGGAACAGCAGGAAAGTACAGAACCAGGCGGGCCGGCGCGAGGGCGGAGAGGCTGAGGCGCGTCCCTACAGGTGCCTGCGGGGCGGGCGGGCCTTTCAGAAGCCCAGCAAGCCGCTGAGCCCCGCGGAGACGCGCGGCGGCGCCGCCAAGCGCTACGCGTGCGAGCTATGCGGGAAGGCCTACTCCCACCGCGGCACACTCCAGCAGCACAGGCGCCTGCACACGGGCGAGCGGCCCTACCAGTGCTCCTTCTGCGACAAGGCCTACACCTGGTCCTCCGACCACCGGAAGCACATCCGCACCCACACAGGCGAGAAACCCTACCCGTGTCCAGACTGCGGGAAGGCCTTCGTGCGCTCTTCGGACCTGCGCAAACACCAGCGCAACATGCACAGCAACAATAAGCCCTTCCCGTGCTCCGAGTGCGGCCTGACCTTCAACAAGCCGCTGTCGCTGCTGCGCCACCAGCGCACGCACCTGGGCGCCAAGCCCTTCCGCTGCCCCGCCTGCGACCGGGAGTTCGCTGTGGCCAGCCGCATGGTGGAGCACCAGCGCGTGCACTCGGGCGAGCGGCCCTTCCCCTGCCCCACCTGCGGCAAGTGCTTCACCAAGTCCTCCAATCTGTCCGAGCACCAGACGCTGCACACCGGCCAGAGGCCTTTCAAGTGCGCTGACTGCGGCGTGGCCTTCGCGCAGCCCTCGCGCCTCGTGCGCCACCAGCGCATCCACACTGGCGAGAGGCCCTTTCCTTGCACGCAGTGTGGCCAGGCCTTTGCCCGCTCTTCGACCCTGAAGCGGCACCAACAGATCCACTCCGGGGAGAAGGGATTCCTCTGTGCCGAGTGCGGCAGGGCCTTCCGCATTGCCTCTGAGTTGGCCCAGCACATACGAATGCACAACGGAGAGAGGCCCTACCAGTGTGAGGACTGCGGCCAGGCCTTCACCAGGTCCAATCACCTCCAACGACACCGAGCCAAGCACGGCACCTGCAAGAAGGAGCCCATCCCTTCCTCCTCTGACGAGTGAAGATAGCATCGTCGACCTCACTACTTGGAACCTTCCCAGGTGGGCCCACTCACATGGTATTGCCAGCCTCACTGGTCAGCCTCGCCTCCCAGCAGGTCGCGGGTCATCAGTGGTCCATTTGATTATTTATTTGATCCCTTGAACAGAAAGTCACCACCGAGAGAGCACCCAGGTGGGTGGTTTCACATCAGTGGTTCTGAGTGTCCGAGGTCATAAGCAATTGGAAAAGGGAAAGACAAAGTAGTGGGAGCTGATCAAACGTTGAGTTCCTTGGGTTGGGGAACCTGAATCAATCAGAAACTGCTTCTAGAATTACATGCTGGGCACTGGGCCGGGCTCCAGGGATAAGGTGGGGAAAAAGACTAACCTGTCCTACCCTCAAAGCCATATGCAAATACTGAAAAGAAGGCCTGAGGGGCTGGTCCTCTTTAGAGAAAGATGCTTTTTGGTTTTTATATAAATAAAGGAATCCCCAGAAGTGGTCCCTATGATGAACTCCCCCAAAGCAACGCCGTTTTTGGAGGAACTCAAACCCAGTCCAACATCCCATCATTTCACTTGACTGCAGAAATGGCTTTACCCTTAGGATATATCTTTATGAGTCTTGGCTTTGAAGTGGAGAAGGGCTTTATCTTAGAGAAGGTGGTTTATGTCATATTCCAGTTATTCTAGAAGTTCAGGACAGCCTTAGCATCTGAAAAAGAAGCCCATTCCTCTTTATAGTGGAATTTAGTAAGTAGATCTAACCCGAGTCTCACCCACAGAATTCATATAAATTCATATATGCCTTCTCTCTGGCTGCCTCTTTTCCTGTTTGCACTCTGAGGGCTTAAGTCATATGTGATATTTACAAAGCAATTGGCCCATTTACAGAGAGACATATATAATTTCTCCACAAAGCCTTGACCATGGTTCATGAAACCGTTTGGGTTCATTTAAATTTGTCTGAATCATTAGTCTTGACTTGAAGTGAACAAAACACCCTTTGCCCAAGTGCCATTGGCTTGTCTGCATTTCAAAATCATTAAAACCAGGTATGGAAGCCTACGTGCTCACAGTTATCTAATGAGGTTATTTCAAAGTTTGCATTACTAACAGCCATTCTGCAAAGTGTATTGATGTGTATAGTGATCTGTATAAAGTCAGTAGTTCTTAGCTGAACCTCAACTGTGAGGAATCTATGACTCCACAGATGTCCTTGGTGCACATAGGCAAACGGCACTTCTCATCTTACTGAAGTTAAATAAGATATTCCATAAGAAGGTATAGTGCCCTTTTTGGGGGAGTACCTTTAGTATATTCCTAAAATTGCCACCAAAGAATGCCAAATCTGAATTTCTCTTGGTTTCCACCTGATTTGGAACTAGGGTGTGACCTCTAAATAGCATTCTCATGACACATGGGGGCGCCAAAGAGAAGTAAGAGAGATAGCTAGATAGCTAGATAGCTAGATAGTCTTGTGTCTTGTTTGACCAAGGTAACCGTAATAAAAGAGTCCATCCCCATCCTTTACTGTTGATGTGACCTTGGGCTTCAGTTTCTGCATCTGCATTGGCAAAATAGAAGTGATAGTAGTAGGTAAAAGTTAGAGTGATCCTACTATATGACGGAAACTTTGGCTGGATGCAAGAGCTTTAAATTGGTAGAAAAGTCACAAGATGAGCTTGTGACTATGAAGAGAGCAAAAGCTAACTTTTTTTTCCTAGATAATCAATAAAATATTTGAAGACTGAAGGATTACTCCTTTTCATTGTATCCTTTCTTGAAGATGGTCATTAGTATAGTTTTTACAAATTAAAAAAATTGGTTTTGTTTTATAATTTTTATGGAGTTGTTCGCCAAAACCTGGTTGCATAGGAGTCACCTGCGCTGTTTGTTAACCATATAACTTGCTGAACCCTAACCTTGAATACTGATAAAGGTCTGCAGTGTGGTATCTAGGTATGGCTTCCACATGGGCATAGCTTTGGAGAAGGAGTGAGCGTACTTGTTAATAGGCAGAAACGCTGGATTTGCTTGTGCTGGGTATCTTTGGTGCTGTATACTATGTTTCTGGAATATAAGGGGTAGAATGTACTGAACAGGTCCAAGAGAAGTTCATTAGTCCTTCAGGCCTTTCACAAAACAACTCAGATTTTAAGGAAAATTGTCCCAACCAGTCTTTTCTCACATCAACTGCAAGGGTCATTCTGAGTAGGTATTAGAGAAGAAAGGAATCCCATTGGAACCAGTAGTCACAGATCACTGGACCAGACAGTGGTACACAAGTAGAAGGCAACAGTACATGGAGTGGACAAAAGAGAAGCCAACCAGCTGTGAGGTGGCTTGGGACAAATTCTGCCCAGTAGAGTCTGTCCATTCAGAGTAGGGGTAGTTGAGTCACATCTTTGGAAAAGAATCAATGCTTGAAGACAGGTTATTCTGTCTTGCATTTGTGCCCCAAATTATGCCGAGCTACTTTCTGGTTTTCTGTTAACCTACTGTACATCACAGCAGACAATCTTATTTCTCTATTATGTAATTAAAAATCAGGGTAAAGCCAGGTGTGGTGGCTCATTCCTGTAATCCCAGCACTTTGGGAGGCCAAGGTGGGAGGATTGCTTGATCCCAGGAGTTTGAGACTAGCCTGGGCAACATAGTGACACCCCCATCCCTTTAAAAAAAAATTTAAAAATGAGCCAGGTTGGCCAGGTGCGGTGGCTCATGCCTATAATCCCAGCACTTTGGGAGGCTGAGGTGGGTGAATCACCTGAGGTCAGGAATTCGAGACCAGACTGGCCAACATGGTAAAACCCCATCTCTATTAAAATTACAAAAATTAGCTGAGCATGGTGGCAGGCGCCTGTAATCTCAGCTACTTGGGAGGCTGAGGCAGGAGAATCGCTTGAACCCAGGAGGCGGAGGTTGCAGTGAGCCAAGATCACACCATTGCACTCCAGCCAGGGTGACAAGAGTGAAACTCCATCTCAAAAAACAACAACAAAAAAAATGAGCTAGGCGTGGTGGCACACACACATAGTCCCAGCTACTGGGGAAGCTGAGGCAAGATGATTACTTGAGCCTAAGAGGTGGCGGCCGCAGTGAGCTGTGATCATGCCACTGCAATTCAGCCTAAGTGAGATGCTGTCTCAAAATAAATAAATAAAATAAAATAAGGGCAGGGCCTTCTTCGTGACAAAAAGAATTTAAAGCTTCTCTCTGGGTTAATGCTGTTTCCACAGTACAGGGTGCCAAAATTAATTTGAATATACTCAGTAAAAATGTTCATTTATATGTTTCCACTTAATAAAAATTCCCCTGATGGGTTCACCAGTCTATGGTGCTCATGACTTGTATTCTTTAGACCATAATGATAATAGCCAACACTTACATTGTGTTCAGTTTGTGCCAGGAACTGTTCTAAATGTTTTATATATGTTAACTGTTTTTTAAAGCAAACTTATGGTGATTCTTATCCCCATTTTTTTAAGATTAGGAAATCAAGGGAGAAAGATACCACAGCTAGAAAGTGGCTGGCATAGTAATGATGTGACATTTAGACATGCTTGCTCCAGAGACTGTTCACAGGGCCAACTGCCTCTGTTTGGAATGGAGTTGTTGATGTGCATTTTTAAAGTGGATGACAATAAATTTAGTTTAAACGATGATAAAAATTGAAACACAGCACAGCAGAAATCATGGCATGACTCAGGAACAAAGACCTGTGAATGACTTAATGGATCTGGGAGAGTCTGGGTTGGCAGCTCTTAATCATTGATGCCTCGGAAACTGTCAATAACCTAGCCAGGGGGAATAAATTGGAGTTAAAGGAGTAATACTTCCTTGAAGGCCCACTGTTGTTTCCTATCACTGGCTAAAGAAACATTCTGTGCCTGTGCCTTACACAGAAAAATATACCAGCAGTTAATCTTGGCAGTCAACATTTACACACTCTATACTCTAAATGCATGCACATTGAAAAGCTATATTAACCTGATATGAACACAATAGATCACCCAGGAATTCCAACTAGAGCTTAAAAAATCTTGCTTGGAAGAAAATTTTGTGTAAAGCATTAGTTTAATTGCCAGAACACTCAAGCAGATGTCATTGCTAGACTCAGAACTAGAATACGAACTACAAACTCCATGACCCATGAACATATTGCCAAAGATGGAGTGACTCAATGTTTCATCAAACCAGAAGAGGGCAGCTGTTTAAGTTGACAGGAAAGCTCATTTTTAACATCAATTTCCCTCTTTCCATTCTGCATTAAACCATGCCAGTACAATTTTTCCACTGTCTAGATAATGTTTTTATCTTTCTCTCTCTCCTCCTCATTTTTCTCCTTAACCACCCCCACCCTACAACTTTCAGTCAAATTGGTTCAGAGTTTCACTGTTTAGGAGTGTCAGGAACTCAGCAGATTGGTTCAGCAAATGAATAGAACTGCTATAAAATATAAGTTATCACTAAGATTTAAAGAAAAACACCTCTTGCTAAAAACAAATAATACATGGAGGAGGCCAAAAACAGGGATAGAGGGAATCTCTTGTGGTAGTTCAGATGAAGTCAAGGACAAGTGGGGACAGAGGTAAGATGAGAAGATGCCAGAGATTTCAGGGGTGGAGTTAATAAGGCTTGGTGAAAGGATAAAAATAGCTACCATTTAGTGAACACTTTTTAGGGATTGGGCACTACATTCATTATCTCAATTAATTCCTACAATAATCTGTTATGAAAGGTCCTTGAAAAATATTCCCACATGGGGTCTGCAACAATTTTCCTTTCCAGGAACGCAATCAAGATTAATAGGTCATGCTATTGTCTGTTATTGTTAAGCAAAGGTCAATAAGGTCTACGTGTCCTCTCTAAGAATAGGCTGCCTGTCTGCAACAAGGAGAATATGTAGCAAATTTCTTGCCTTTTGGTTTAGAAGTTATGCCTGCTTACATTTTTATTTTTCATCATCACTGTGGTGGCTTTAAAAATGTGTTCACAAATTCTTTGACATACCTCCCTTCGAGAGTGGAGCCTAGTTTCCTTCCCTTTTAGTGTGGGCTGGACTTAGTGACTCGGTTCTAATGGATAGAATAAAGCAGAAGTGATGGTGTGTGACTTTGGAGGCTAGGCATAAAAAGTACTGTGGCTTCCATAGGATACTTTGTTTCTCTTTCTCTCTCTTTTTCCCTCATTCACTTGCTCTGGCAGAAGACAGCCACCATGTCATGAGTAGCCTTGTAGAGAGGCCCTGTGGTGAGGAACTGGGTGTTCCACCAACAGCCACATCAGTGAGCTTGTAAGTGGATCCTCTATCCCCAGTCAAGAGTTCAGTTGACTGGAGACCTGGCTGACTACTTGATTGAAACCTCATGAAAGACCAACAGCCAGAACTGTGCAGCTAAGTGGCTCTCAAATTACTGATCCTTGGAAACTGTGTAAAATAATAAATACTTGTTTTTTTTTAAGATGTTGAATTTTGGTTGGTAATTTGTAATGCCACAGTAGATAACAAACAATAATATAAAGAACAACTTCCTCCTAACGAGTAAGAGACTAGTCACCACAAGCCCTGATTTCTACCTTAAGTAAATTGCCAGAAGGTTTGGAAACATGTCTGCTGCCTCTTGCCACATTCTCTCCAATGGCCACCCACTAAGGCTGGTTGAGGCCCAGTTGTTGCATAGGTACCCTTGTATAATCTGTCCCATTGCCAAGTGAGCCTTAATAGCTCCAGGGCCCAGGAAGAGGGAGCCTTTGAGAAGGGGGCAGAAATACCTGGACACCAGTATCACATCTGATAAGGAATCGTAAGTATGAATCCCTTTTGGTCACTCTCTTTCTTGGTATATTTCAATTCTTAATTCAAAGATAAGTAAATTAATGTATGGTCTTTCCTAGAAAGGGGAGAAATTCCTAGTTCTCCAGAGCCTAAAACACAGTCCTTTGAGGGCAATATTATAATATTATCCCCATTTTTCAGAAAAGGAAACACCATGCAAAGGATTACTGCCAGTAAAATTACAAATGTGAAGGAAAGCATTTATTACAAGTATACTAAAGATGGTGCTTTTGTATTGATATACCAGTCCTGAGAAAAGTAGTAAAGAACTAAGGATAAGGATGAAATTAAAGTGAGTCTGAAAATCACTCCAGAGTTTCCAAAATGCTATAACCAATTAGATCTGCAGCTGTTTCCTAAATCTTTATGATGAAAATGCTTCTGAACCTTTTCTTGAATCACAAGCTACTTGAGAATCCAATAAAAGCTGCGGACCCTATCAAAAACCCCTCATTACTGATGTTTTGTGTTACAATTTCAAGGAGTCACAGGCCTCCTGAAGCCCATCAACTGGCCTAAAATAAAGATTCTCTTTTGAATTCCACTTCCAAATGTGTCTCCAGCACCAAAACCCAGGAACTGAAGTCAGTTATAATAGCAAAAGGGCTAACACAGACTTGCAAAGTAAGCCCTATCAAAGACTATCTTTTGGATAATTTTTAAAAGAGAAAAACAAACAAGGTAACTAAGACAGCTTATACTCCAAAGTGGTAAACAAATTTCTTCAAATACTGAAATGAATGTATTGCTGATACAGGAAATCAGTCATGTTATGTCTTATAAATGTAACGATTACTCTTGGAATATATAAATGGTATATGTAGTTTGAAAAATCATCCAAATAAGTATTGTTACAGCTTTTAAGAAAAATAAATACTTTCTTTTGAAAAGTACAAATAATTAATGACAAAGATAAACCAGACTGCAAATGGACTTGAGGAAAGAGGCTACATTTACATTCAGAACTGCATGCCAACCATCACAGGGATTGCAATTACGGAAAACTTCAATAAAGACTAGTCCTTAAGAAACCAAGTAGAACACCAGATTATGAAAATGGCTTGGCTCCTTGATAAGGCTTATTTATTTGAGAATTAAATAATTTTTACAGTTGAGTTTATCAACTATAAAAATTTATATATATAAATATATTTATATATAGCTTATCAACCATAAACTCAACTGTAATAATTTATTTAATTTTCAGCCATTAATAACAGTATTATCTATACCTGTAAGTACCTATCTTATTCTTGCTAGAAATAACCACAGCATTTCTGAGGGAGAAAAACTGCATTCTTAGATTTATTTCAAGCCATTCATGAGGGGCAGGGCCTGGAGGAGAAGCCTGAACTGAGTAAGTTAGTGACAGAAAACTTGTTTTATTGAATAGATCTTAATAGACATAAAAACAAAAGGTGGAGATAAACTTGACAGCTCAGCCACTAGGGTCCCTCCACTTCATGAGTCCATCATGCCTCCTCAAGGTCCCTGGCTGAGTGACAGCATGAGCAGAGGAAGCACAGGAGACTGCTTTCTCTCCAGAATGAATCCGCTGATAGGGTTGCAGGGATACCAGCTGAGTGAAAGTCCCCCACACTCATCTCGGTAGAAAGGCTGCACTCTAGAGTGCATTTATTGGTATCTTTTTCACCTGTCCACATGGACAAAGGCCACACCACACTCTTGGCATTTTTGTGGCTTGCTCTGCTGAGGGGCCACCTTAAGTCTTGACAGCAGGTTTGATTTGTGAAACTCCTTACAGCAGAGAGGACAGATGTGTGGTTTGCAGTCTTCCTTCCCTGTGTTTTGTTCATCTGAACTGTGCTGGCTTTGGTGTACCATGGACTAGGGATCTCTCACAGTACACTTTCCATAGTCATTTTGGAGCACTCCATCTCATGCACATTACACAGGTGCCTCCAAACATCCGCTGTGCAGATGAAACCTTTATCACTTTCAGGCCCCTTACATGGCTGGTCTCCAGAGTGAATCAATTTGTGCATGCATAGGTTGGCAGCCCAGAATAATTCCTTGCTACAGGTGGGGTGACAGTAGGAATCCTCCCCTAAGTGGTTCTGCTTATGCTCCTGAAGTCCTGTGAGGTCCTAAAAAGATGTCCAACAATTGTGCTGTTGATCAGAGCAATCTTCTCTAGAGATCAGATCTATGTCTTCATCATAAAATGTCAACAAGGATCATATTTTCATCATCCTCAATAGACTCTCCCTGAAGTTCTTCTGAGTGCTTAGAACAATATGATTCTATGCCTTCATCCTCATACTGTAGGTTAAAGTTGGTTCTAGAAGTGACCGAGATCCCTATAGGGGTTTCACTCTGGGAGTGGTAACAGATTTCATAAGTTTCCTCATCTTCACACTAAAGTTCTACCAGAAGCTCCTGCCAACCTGAGAAAACTGCTAAGATACAGCCAGCAAGGAGGGTAGCCAGTACTCCTCCTGAATATCCATATGCAGCCTTAATTCCTGATTTATCTTTCCTGAGCTCGGGCTGGAGTCATCTGAAGATGCCTTCTCTGTGTCCTGGGCATCATCTGACTGCCTTGCTACCTCTATGTCCATTCTCAGGCCACTGGGCTCGGTATTTGTTTTTGGCTTTTTGGTGAAGGTCCTTTGGCCCTACATACTTCCTAAACAGTTTTGACATAGCTTTATTTTAACTTTTAAACATCCTAAAGGAAAAGAAAATAACTTTTATTCATATAATTTGCTAAAATCTACTCAAAGAACTCAAAATTATTTACATTTTTCTCAATAGATAAATGGTTTCTATTTATTTAATTTGAGACAGAGTCTTAACTCTGTCACCCAGGTTGGAGTGCATGGTGTGATCTCAGCTCACTGCAACCTCCATCTCCTGAGTTCAAGCCGTTCTCCCAAGCAGAATCAGGCCTCAGCCTCCCGAGTAGCTGGGATTACAGGCATGCACCACCATGCCTGGATAATTCTTGTATTTTTAGTAGCAATGGGGTTTTGCCATGTTGGCCAGGCTGGTCTCAAATTCCTGGCCTCAAGTGATCTGCCTGCCTTGACCTCCCAAAGTTCTGGGATTACAGGCATGAGCCACCACACGCGGCCAATAGTTTCTAATTCTAAAAAGAAGTAGAACAGTAGTTGCTTGACCTTCAGTCAAGATGGTGTTGGAAGTTTACACTTTAACCACCACTCCTAAAATACATAGCAATGCAATTGTAGATAAGATATAACAAGAGAAAATACTTAAAATATAGCTGTTCTTAAAATTAAGATTAAAGCCCTTACGGACTATAACTAAATAGAAATACAATGCAGTAGTTGAGACTAAAGATGTAGGCTTGTTGGGTTCTGTGTCTGAGAATTGGCAGAAGTGGCTGAGAGTACAGTTCCCAAAGTATAAATAAAATAAAAATGAAACTTAGGTAGAAAAAGTTGTGCTCACAACCTGTGAGATGCTTATACAAAGCTGCATAGCTGGAATAGCAGTTAGAAGAAGATACATCCTCTGAACCAGGATGTGGTCACAATAAGAAGAAATTAGTAATCTAGAAGACAAGCAGGAGAGAAAGGGATTACAATGAAAAGTTGGTTCTTTGTAGACACTAATCAAAAAGAGAAAGCACTAGCAGGACTGTTAAAGGGAAAAGGGAGAAAGGCACCAAAATATTAGAAATGAAAAGGGAGGCTAAGCATGGTGGTTCATGCCTATAATCCCAGCAGTTTCAGGCTGGTCTCAAACTCTTGGCCTAAGTGATCCTCCTGCCTCCGAGGTAGCCTGAGGCTAGAAGGATCACTTGAGCCTAAGGCTAGGAGGATTTTTGAGCCTGAGAGGTCAAGGCTGCAGGAGGATCACTTGATGCCAAGAGTTTGCGACCAGCTTAAGCAACACATTGAGACCCATCTCTACAAAAAATAAAATATAAAAAATTAGCTGAGTGTAGTGGTGTACACCTTTAGTCCCAGCTACTCAGGAGGATGAGACAGGAGGATCACTTGAGCCCAGGAGGTCGAGGCCACAGTGAGCCATCATTGCACCGCTGCACTCCAGCCTGGTGACAGTGAGATCCATCTTTAAAAAAAAAAGAACTAGAACAGAATAAATAATATTTGAATAAACTAAACCACCTAGTGCCTGTAAATTTAAAAACTTCAATGAAATGGAAAAGTTTCTGGAATAATATAAATCATCAAAATAGCCCTGGGAATATAGAAGTTCAAATCAGGCTGGGTGTTGTGGGAAGTCAGGGACCCCAAATGGAGGGACTGGCTGGAGCCACAGCAGAGGAACATAAATTGTGAAGATTTCATTTTAATATGGACATTTATCAGTTCCCAGTAACACTTTTGTAATTTCTTATGCCTGTCTTTAATCTCTTAATCCTGTTATCTTCGTAAGCTGAGGATGTACGTCACCTCAGGACCACTGTGATAATTGCGTTAACTGTAAAAATTGATTGTAAAACGTGTGTTTGAACAATATGAAATCAGTGCACCTTGAAAAAGAACAGAATAATAGCGATTTTTAGGGAACAAGGGAAGACAACCATAAGGTCTGACTGCCTGCGGGGTCAGGCAAGAAGAGCCATATTTTTCTTCGTGCAGAGAGCCTATAAACGGACGTGCAAGTAGGAAAGATATCACCAAATTCTTTTCCTAGCAAGGAATATTAATATTAATACCCTGGGAAAGGAATGCATTCCTGGGGGGAGGACTATAAACGGCCGCTCTGGGAGTGCCTGTCTTATTTGGTTGAGATAAGGACTGAAATACGCCCTGGTCTCCTGCAGTACCCTCAGGCTTATTAGGGTGGGGAAAAACTCCGCCCTGGTAAATTTGTGGTCAGACCGGTTTTCTGCTCTCAAACCCTGTTTTCTGTTGTTTAAGATGTTTATCAAGACAGTATGTGCACAGCTGAACATAAACCCTTATCAGTAGTTCTGTTTTGTCTTTTGTCCTGTTCCCTCAAAAGCATGTGATCTTTGTTACGCTTTTTGCCCTTTGAAGTATGTGATCTTTGTACCTACTCCCTATTTTACACCCCCTCCCCTTTTGAAACCCTTAATAAAGTCTTGCTGGTCTGAGACTCCGGCGGGCATCACGGTCCTACCGATATGTGATGTCACCCCCGGTGGCCCAGCTGTAAAATTCCTCTCTTTTTACTCTTTCTCTTTATTTCTCAGTTGGCCAACACTTATGGAAAATAGAACCTACGTTGAAATATTGGGGGCAGGTTCCCCCAATAGCTGGGTGTGGTGGCTCATGCCTATAATCCCAACACTTTAGAAGTTAGAGGTAGAAGTGTTAGAGGTAGGACGATCACTTGAGCCCAGGAGTTTGAGACCAGCCTGGGCATCATAGGGGAAACAATGTCTCAATAAAATATTAAAAACTTAGTCAGGTGTGGTGGTGCACACCTGTGGTCCCAGCTACTTGGGAGCATGAGGTTGGAGGATCGCTTGAGCCTGAGAGGTCAAGGCTGCAGTGAGCTGGGATCACACCAGTGCACTCTAGCCTGGGTGCCAGAGAAGACCCTGTCAACAAAAGAAAAAAGAAAGAAAGAAAACATTCAGGCCAGGCACAGTGGATCACATCTGTAATCCCAGCACATTGGGAGGCCAAGGCAGGCAGATCACTTGAGGTCAGGAGTTTGAGACCAGCCTGGCCAACATGGTGAAACCCCATCTCTACTAAAAATACAAAAATTAGCCAGGCATGGTGGTGCCTGCCTTTAATCCCAGCTTCTCAGGAGGCTGAAGCAGGAGAATTGCTTGAACCTGGGAGGCGGAGGTTGCGGTGAGCCAAGATCATGCCACTGCATTCCAGCATGGGCAACACAGTGAGACTCTGTCTCAAAAAACAAAACAAAACAAACAAAAGACAAACAAAAAATTTCAAATCAATAAGCACTAAAAATTATTAATCTATTATTTAAAATTTTATTCCCTTTCCCTCAACCTCCAAATAACTTAGGCTTACATGGTTTTACAAGTAAATTCTATCTATCTATCTATTCTTCAAGGAATAGATAATCATTTTCTAATACAGACTATCCTAGAAAATAAAATGAGAGAGGGCAACTTTTACATAAGACTGGATTAGGAAGATATAAGGGAAGAAAATTATGACTGCATCTCACGTGTAAATACAAATATAAAAATCCTAAATAAATGTTAGCAAATAAAATCCAATAGGGAAAAATAAATCCTCAAAACCAAATAACAATGAAACAAAAAAATATATGACTAAGGAAGATTTATCCCAGGAATAAAAAGATGTTGCAATATAAAGAAATTCTACTGAAGTAATTAACCACATTAACTGATTAAAATCAAAGAAACAGGATAATCGTAACAGACATGATAGAAAAAGTATTCAATAAAACTCACTAGAAATTCATAATAAAAACTCTTGGAAACTATGAAATTAAAAGACACCTCTTTAGATTTTCTTGACAACAGAGGTTAAGACAGAGACCAAAGTACTAAGTACTCTTTTTGGGAGATGATTCCAGGAAGTAGGAGTGAGGCCACAAGGAGGATGAAACAAGCAAGGAAGGCAAGCCAATATAAGGGTGTGTGTTATCAAGATTGCTGCTCTAAGCAAGAAGGTCTCAATACCACTGAGACTTCTAGGAGTATACAAAGAATTGTCCATCAGAGAAAAATAAGACTAGAGGCTGAGGCATCTATTCATAAGCTCCCATCCACCAAAGATTGACAGATGCCCACAGGCAACATTAACACCCCCAGCCCAGGACTCCCAGGTTGTACCCACACTAGGACTGAGTGGGCTCCTGTGGTTTCTGAGAAGGCCTGCTATTGCAGAGAAGTCATTGGGCAAAAGAGAAAGACACGTGGCATATGCTTGAGGTGAGATGCTGTTAGCATAAGCCACCAATGTCTGCTATAGCTGCGGCTATAATTAGAGGTGGACAGAGGGGATGTGATGCTGGGTACCAAAAATGTCTATCATAGCTAACTAACAAAAACCTACAACTGACTGGGTGTAGTGGCTCATGCCTGTAATCCCAGCATTTTGGGAAGCCGAGGCAGGCAGATCACTTGAGGTCAGGAATTTGAGACCAGCCTGGCCAACATGGTGAAACGTCATCTCTACCAAAAATATAAAAATCAGCCAGGTGTGGTGGCTCACACCTGTAATCCCAGCTACTTGGAAGGCTGAGGTGGGAGAATCGCTTGAACCTGGGAGGCGCAAGTTGCAGTGAGCTAAGATCATGCCACTGCACTCCAGCCTGGGCAACAGAGTGAGACTCTGTCTCAAAACAAAACAAAACAAACAAAAAAACCTACGACCAACATCATAATGGTGAAATGCTTTAAAGTCAGAAACAAGAGAAGGAGCCTCCTGTTATGAAAATTACTGTTCAACATTGTATCTGAAGGCCTACCTGATGCTATAAGGACAGAGAAGTATAAAAATTTAAAAGGAAGAGAGAAAACTGTATTTGTAGATAAAATAACTGCCTACAAAAACAGTCTAAGAAAATTTACAGATAATTCATTAGAACTAAACACAAGATTACCCTATAAAAATTAATAGATTTCTGTACAAGCAATAATCAATTTTTAAAATGTAATTAAAGTAATATTCACATTAACAGTAAAATCTCTGTGATCGTTGGGAATAAAATCCAATAAAAGATTAACAGAACTCTTATGGACAAAATTATAAAATGATATTGAGGAACATAAAATAGAATCTTATAAAATACAAGATAGATCAACTTTATGCTCATAGATGGAGGGACTCAGCACTATAAAGATTAAATTATCTGGAACTTAAAGTCAACACATTCCCAACAAAAACTCCAATGCATATGTTTTAAGGACCTTGAATAAAATGGTTCTCAGATTCATGGAAGGGTTGAAGTCCCATAAATGGCCAAAATAATTCTGAGAGGGAAAAAATAAAAAAGAAACATGGAGGGGTAGCCTGACCAGTTAGTAAGATGTATGCCACGGCAAGTCATTTTAGAGTCATTGAGTCAGTTTTATATTGACAAAACATTAGACAAATATTTTCATAAAAACAGACTAGAAAATCCAGAAAGAGACCCAAGCATACATATAGGCTCTTGGTATATGATAGAGCGGGCATTACAAATCAGTGGAGAAAGATCAAGTTATTCAATAATGGTGTTGGAACAACAAGATATACATACAGAAAGAAATAAAATTCGATTTCCTCCTCATGCCATAAAAGATTAAATATCCAAGTGTAAATAACAAAATGTTAAAACTCTAAGAAGTAAACTTACATACCTTTATAGCATAGGAGATGATTTTCTTTAACAAGACATTAAAAGGAAGTATAAAGGAAAATAGGCTGGAATTAGACCACATTAAAAACTTAAAGTTCTGTAAAACAAAGGGTGACATGACTAAATATAAAAGACAAGTGACAGATTGAAAGAACATTTATGACATATGTACTTGTCAAAGGAGGACTATCCATAATCTATAAATAACTCAGACAAATCAATAAGGAAAACATATCAAAAACATTGGCAAAGACTAGGAAAAAAATCTAGAAGAAACATGAATTACCAGTAAACATGGGAAAAGATGCTCAACCTCAGGAATAAACAAGGAAACCCAAAATAAAGTGCAACTCCATTTAACTTCCATTAGATTGGCAAACATTTCACAAATTTCACAACCTCCTTACGCAATTCACTGAGGACGCAACATCTCTTGTATAATATTCCTGACAAAAATGCACAACCCAATCAAATCACGTGCAAACCATTAAGCAAACCCAAATTTAGGAACAAGAAACAAAATAACTGTCCTGTAAAATTCAAATACATCAATGTCATGAAAAATAAAGAAAATCTAAAAAACTGTTCCAGATTAAAGGAGATTAAAGAAACATGGCAGCTAAATACATCGTATGTTCTGGGTCAGAAAAAAAATTGCTAGAAATAACTTAATTGGGAAAACTGGTGAGTTTTATAGTTCTACATCAATGTAAGTTTCTTGAATTTGATAATTTTATCATGGTTATGTAAGAGAATACCTTTGTTCTTGGGAAATACATGTGTGAATATTTAGGACTGAAGGGTCATGATGTCTGCAATTTATTCTCAAATGGATTAAAAAATTGTATAAGTAAAAAATAAATATGTATGAAGGGAAGAATGTAATAGAGGCAGGAGACAGCCAAGGGTCCCAGGCGAAAGCCCTCCTTCAAGCCTAAAACAACGCTAAGGCTCAAAAACCAGACTGCTGGTCCGGGATGGATGAAACCTGCCCTTTCCTGACTGATTCTCCCTGAATAATGCTCACCTGTGCACTGGGGGAAAGGGGTGGAGCCAGGGGAAGTTCACTCCATTTGAAGGGGGAGGAGCCTGACCTCTTCAGTTCCTGTGTGGTGGCCTGGGATTCAATCTGTAAGGTGGGGGCCTGCTAGCAGGACTGTCTCTAACTTTGCTGAGAGTTCCTCTTTCCTTTTTTTCTTTTCACCCAATAAACCCTGCCCTACTCACCCCACAATGTGTCTACGTGCCTGAATTTTCCTGGTTATGTGACAAGAACCCCATTTTTTCCTACATTTTTGGTGCCCAGAATGTGGGATCTGAGGAAGATTCAGTAAAATGCAGACCCAAAACCTCTCACTTTCATTTCTGAGCCTTTTGGTCCTATGGCATTTTTCTTCGTTTTTCAAGACAGTAACAGCACCTATCTTTTAAAATATTGCTGGTGGTCCACACCCACGTCAATGGCGGCAGGCATGTGCAGGACGATTGGGTGAGCTGCAGCTCCCAACACCCCTTCTCTCCCAGGGGGATACACGGCTGTGTCTGCAGCATGTGTGTAAGGTGAGGTCACACAGAATGGGAATAAGCCACAGCCGCTGCCCAGGCCCCAAGGCAGCCCCAAAGGGCTGACTGGCCAGACTCAGTCCAAACCCAGGGGAAAGGAACCATTTGCATTAAGAATAAGAGGTTCTTTCCCCAGGCGTCTTTCCAACCCTGCACTTTAAACTTCTCTCCTTTTCTCTACCCTGTCAGCAGTTAACTTTTAAGGAGTTGTTTTGTTTTGTTTTTGTTTTTGTTTTTTGCTTTTAGAAGATGTTTTACTAGGCCAGGAATGATAAGGATCACTGTTTATATTCTCTGCAAAGTTTTTTTTGTTTGTTTGTTTGTTTGTTTTTTGAGATAGAGTCTAGCTCTGACACTCAGGCTGGAGTGCAGTGGTGCTATCTCAGCTCACTGCAACCTCTGCCTCCCAGGTTCAAACTATGCTCCTGCCTCAGCCTCCCAAGTAGCTGGAATTACAGCCACGCACCACCACGCCTGGCTAATTTTTGTATTTTTAGTAGAGACAAGGTTTCATCATGCTGTCCAGGCTGTTCTCAAACTCCTGACCTCAGGTGGTCTGCCCACCTCAGCCTCCCAAAGTGCTGGCATTACAAGTGTGAGCCATTGTGCCTGGCCACTCTGAAAAGTTTTAATTAGGTAAAAGGATTTGTGAGGTTGGTCTTAAGCTGTAGCCAATCTGGTGTGCTTTGCATGATTTTCTGTATAGTCAGTAGCAAACTTTGCTGTAGGCCTCCATCTTTTTCCATGTGCCTGGGAGCATGACCTGTAACCACGTGGCAATATTTTGTTTATCCTGTAACACTTTACAATGGCAGCTGATTCAGTCCTGGCTTAGGGAATGAGTACTTTCAGGTTGATAGCTGTGTGGCTTTTGCCATTTACTGATTGCCATTTACATTAAAGGTAACCTTTAAATGTTCTAAATTTTGTAAGAACTGCTTACCCCCTTTGAAAATACCTCATACACTTGCAGTTAAATCATAACCTTAATTAAGACTTGCTGGTTTCACCTGTGAGGTTACGTTTAGTAAAGTTTGAAAGCCGGAAATATTGGCAGCTTGGTGAGGCTAAAGTAGGATAATAATGGAGTTAAAAGGATTTTCTTAGAGCATGCTCAGCTTAATTAAAACTGGATATCCAAGTTATAGGTATATTTAAAAGGCCTTTATGTTTTTTTTTTCTTCGATCTTGTTTTGCTGGAAAATTTTTTTTTTTTTCTCAGCCAAACGAATTCTTTTTCTCCATTTTGTCTTGCCACTCTTAATGCACACATGAGAAGCCAATAATCCAATTAGGAGACTGGCAAAGGAAAACTCGTATGGCTGCTGGGTTTTCTTCTGCCTATCTGTGTAGTTACATATGTGTTGTGATTGTGATGTCTATTAAAAAAAAGCTCTAATTAATTGACTTAAGGATAAGTGCTTGGATCAAAAAAATTTTTAAAGGTTAGATAAAAGCTGTGGTACCCTTCAGTTCACATGATTTTAATCTTTGAGAAGTAAAAACAGCCTTAAAGATTATTGGTAAAGTGCAGATGTCCTCAAAATGTAAATAGGTGGACTAGATTGTGCAGGTCAGATACTAGGTTTGCTAAATGTTTTGGGGTTATAAACTGCTTTCTTGGTTTTTGAGAACTGCTCAACTTCCTGCCTCACAATTGGTAAGGCCTGGGGACATACAGAACCAACCACACCCTTAATTATGCTGGAAGGAGTCAAACCTTGGCTTCACTTAGTACATAATTAATACAATTTACCAGGTTTTACATTAAAGTTAAAAATTGTTAGGAATTACCATTATAACATGTAATAGAAACTACTGGAAATAGATTTACATGCAATGTATGTAAGAGCAGTAAAATGTGTTTTTAATAAAAGATTATAAGAAGGTGTGGAAATGTAAATTCTTTCTTAGGGTTAAAGGATTGTTTTGAATTAGATAAGATAAAATTCAAAGTTCAAGCTGTGGAAAGGCTGTAAAAATTCATCTTGCAAAAGAAATTCTGTGTGTGAACATATTAACTAAATTCAAAAGGTTATTATATGGTTTTTATGTAAATTGAGCATTGAAATAAAAGCACAAGAAGATACTCTTAAGGTACTAATCTGCTCTTTAGCAAAATTTGTAAATGGTTATAAAAGGTTTTTGCTTTTTTAAATTTTTGAATCATTTTGGCAAAATAAATAACTTATGGTAATCTGGAATTCTGTTTCATAACATCAAGTGTTTTAAACCTCTCACATATTTAATCGGCTTCCCCAAATCAAACTTCAGTTTCAAAATTGTCTTTCCTGATGCCTGGCTTTTGGATGCTACAGAGGGCCCCTGGAATACTCAAAAGGGAGGTAAACGGGATTAGTTGACATGTTTAGGTACATGGGTTTGCCAAAATGATGTTCAATCTTCTTTAGGTTATATTTTAGTGAATAATATTAATATATATTCCAGAATTGTATGGGATTTCTAAAATTCTAATGTCTAAAGTATATACTCTCAATCCTAATTAAGGTTGTTATATTAAGTTATTGTAAACCCCAGAGATAACCAACCTTCTTTGTCAACTGTGTTTCTGACTGTAACTACCCTGGACATTTTGTTATTCAGAAAAGTGTTGTCTTGCTTTGAGCCTTTTCAAAAGATGGTTTATAATAAGCTACAGGACTCTGCCAGGTGCACTCAAATACAGGTTTCTGATAACTTTGGAGATTGTAACATTGAAATAAAGGAAAAACTATTTATGGCCTTTAATAACTGATAAAGGCATGAACAAAATTTGGAGCATGTTTGTTTCTTTCTGCCTGGTTCCTCTAGAATTTGGAAACTATCTGTGAATATTCTTAACTTATGGCAATATAGTTATTTCCATCAGGACTCATGAAGAGCTGAAATGCTCATGAATATCAAGCAAAACAAGACTCATTGAATGGACTGAACTAATAGAAAATTTCAGTAATCTTTTTTATTTTTGCTTGGAGCATTGTTAATCCTTGTTTTGTTTTTCAGAGTTATAGAAACTTATTTTGAACTATTTATGGCCTTTAATAATTGAGAAAGGTGTGAACAAAATTTGGAGCATGTTTGTTTCTCTCTGCCTGGTTCCTCTGGAATTTGGAAACTATCTGTGAGTATTCTTAACATATGGCAATATAGTTGTTTGCATCTAGTGCAATAAGAATCCATTTTCTGTTGCAACAGGATGCAATTAGAGAAACTGGTTGTTTTACCAAGGCTTTGACTGGAAGGGCATGCTTCCCTTTAAAGAGTCAAGCTCGACTTGCAGAGCTGATAAAACTAGGTCTCATACCCTTGTCTACACAGTCTCCATACACGGTTCCTAACCTGCAGTGAGTAAAGAATGTCACTTTCCAACAGGCCCAGGAACCACATGCTCTTGGGACCTCAAGAAGAGCAGAGTTTACCCAACTCACAGGTATTTGAGGATACAAACCCATGGCTGGGCTCAGCTTTAAAAGGTCTTACCAGAGATTCCTTGTGGAACAGTTCCACCAAAGCCAATCTAAAAGGCCTATGTAGAAATAATTATTCTTGTTGCACTTTATGCAAATAATCAGGCCAAGTATAAGACTAACATCTATTTCGTAAATAATGCAGTCCTATCCTGATTTGTTTTTAACATAAATGAGGACTAAAGAAAGAGAAATTATATTTTAAAACTTACACATTTATCATTAAATTCTAGACTCATTAGTTGTTTTTAAATTTTTGCCTACATTTTAAACTAACTCTGTTTATTCCTATAAACCGACCAGTGATCTCCAGCTGCAGCTCAGAGGGAACAAGAGGGATAGGTGATATAAAAATCTGGATCGATATTCTAGTTCTGAGCAATTATCCTGCAATTCCTGCCAGGTGATGGGAATAAATAGGGTGCCCATAACCCGGAGGTTTCCTTTTTGGGAAAGTAAGACCAAGAGAGCTAACCAAAGCCAAGCCCCATGCATTCCAAACCTTAGCAAGCATATCTATAGTCACCAATTATCTGGATGTCCTTTTCTCTCCCTTGTTGGAGGAGGACTCAATCCCACAGCTTCATTGTAGCATTCGGCTTATGATAAGGAATCCATGCAATGCCCCAGAGACACACTCAATTCCAGGCTCGGGTAAAAGCCCTAGGAAAGAAAACTGGATCTGAGGGATCCAGAGGCAGACAATAGCAGAAATTAAAAGGCACAGCACAGGTGAACATGACTAATTCCTGCCGATTAAACCAAGCTTCCGGTTTCATGGATAAAAGTCATGCTAGTATCCATGGCATAAGTGAGGTCTAAGGAATTCAAAGGCTACTGACAGCAGGGTAGATAGGGCATATGTAGGTAAGAGCAGATACTCCCACACCATCCTGGTCCCCCTGATAAAATGGGTGAAAGCCGCTTTGACACCCATGGGTGGCACCCTGTCATGGTTACTGGGACTTGGGGATACAAAGAGCAATGCCCCACTTTCTCTCCCTCATGTACCCTGAGTATTTTCCAGGGAAAGAAAGGAAGCAGGGACACCTGCTTCTCTCTTTCTAGATGAGTAGCCATTTATCTTCAGTCTGTATCCCTTTCAAATGCATCCTGAACCCCTGAGAGTCCTCTGAAAAAAATGCCTTCTTTTTTCCTTTTTCTTCCTCTGTCCTCTCTTCATTGAAAAGTAATTGTGTCTTCATACTACAGGAAACTCCCCTTGGATGCATCCTCCAAACTGGAAAAAGTTAATTTCCCAAACCTTAAACTCATTGGCATAGGATTGGGCTTGGGGAAAGGGAACCCAGAAGCCTGAGATGCTGGCACAAGGGTAAAAGTTTTTTTTTCCAGTTGGGCTTTTGGCCTCCTTCTCCCAGTGCAAACTGGTAAAAGGCCTTAGGATTTTTGAGCTGTCCTTACTCACCTTGTTTCGTTTTAATACATATTTTCTAACAACCTGATTTGTTTCTTCTCGCCTCAGGCCATCAAACTCTAAAAGGTCATGCATCCAGAGCCTCGGATGATGGCCCCTTTTGCCAGAAACCGTTATATAGGCCTTTGAGGGAGATCTGACTGCCGTAGTCCCAAAACAGCGCCCCCTGTCAGCAGGAGGCAGTTAAGATTGTCTTACTGTCCTTATCCTTATCTTTAACCCTTATCCTTATCCTTATCCTTATCCTAACAGCAGTTAGATGTACTTCTTTAGAAGGGGGAATGATAGAGACAGGAGACAGCCAAGGGTCCCTGGTGAAAGCCCACCTTCAAGCCTACAACAGCCTGAAGGCTGAAGAACTGGACTGCTAGTCCCGGAAAAAGCACACCCTTTCCTGACTGATTCTCTCTGAATAATGGCCACCTGTGCTCTGGGGGAAGGGAGTGGAGCCAGAGGAAATCCCTGCATGGGGAGGAGCCTGGCCTCTTCATTTCCTGTGTGGTGGCCTGGGATTCAATCTGTAAGGTGGGGGGCCTGCTAGCAGGACTCTCTCTCACTTTACTGAGAGTTCCTCTTGCCTTTTTTCCTTTTCACCCAATAAACACAGCCCTATTCACCCTACAATGTGTCTGCATGCCTAAATTTTCCTGGTTGTGTGACAGGAGCCTAGCTTTTTCTACAACAGAGGGAAGGGAGGAAAGAAAAGAGGGAGATAGACAAAGAGAAAAAAAGGCAACTGCAGCAAACTGTTATTAATTGGTGAATCTAGGTGGAGGTTATACAGGATGTCATTGTATTATTCTAACAACTTTTCTGCTAGTTTGAAATTTTTTCAAAATAAAATGTTAAAAGTACATATTTACATCAAGTGTTGGTAAGGATGTGGAGAAATGGAAATTTTCATACTCTGATAAAAGGAATGCAAATTATTGGTACAGTTCTTGGAGAGTAATATAATGATGTTTAATATTACATTGATATAATACTATTAATACAGTATGATGATGATGATATGATAGTAGTATCAGTAATCATCAATATATCTATACCTTATACCTTAGCAATTCAAATGGGATATGGGAAGAAAATAGTAGAATTTTGTACTTATCTTTTAAGAAAAAATTTACATTTGATAATGGGTATTACATGTTAATACAATAGGACATTTATATAATTTATAAATAGAGACATATTGAGGATAAGCAGTTAAGCTTTTTTATTGATGAGGCAACACAATCAGCATAGCAGGAGACCACTCCCCCTTAAGAAATTTAAGTATACATGAGGAGATTATAAATATATGTAAGAATATTAATTGCAGCATAATTTGTAATGGCAAAACTTTGGAAACATTTTAAATATTCATCAGTAAAAGAATACATAAATCAATTGTGTTTTATTAATATAATGGGATGTTAAATAGCAGTTAAGATGAATGAAGCGAAGCTGTAAGTACAGGTTTAGAAAATGTTGAGTGAAAAAACCAAGTCACAGAACCATAAGTCTATTCATATAAATTGTCTTATTCATTTGGCTGTTCCAACAAAGTACCATAAACTGGATGGCTTATAAACAACAGAAATTTATTTCTCACAATTCTGAAGGCTTGGAAGTCTAAGATCAGGGCACCAGCAGAGTCAGGGTCTGGTGAAGGTCCTCTTCCAGGTTGCAGACTGCTGCTGACTTCTAATTGGATCATGACACGGCAGAAGGAGAGCTAGCAGTTCTTGGACCTCTTCTTATAAAAGGCACTAATTTCAATCATGAGGCTCCACCCTTATGACCTGATCACCTCCCACAGGCCCCACCTTCAAATATTATCCCACCGGGATTAGGATTTCAACATATGCATTTTAGGGTGGACACTTTCAGTCCATTGCATAAATTTGGGCACAGAGAAAGACATGAATAGAAGGATAACAACGTGGAGAGACATAGGGAGAAGATGGCCATTAACAAAGCCAAGGGGGAGAGGCCTGGAACAGACTCCCCCTCACAGCCCTTAAAAGGAACCAACTTTTAAGACACCTTGATATCAGACTTCTAGCCTCCAGAACTGAGAGGTGAAATTTTTATTAAGTCATCCAGCTTATAGTACTTTATTATTACAGCCCTAGCAAACTAATACAACATTTATAACTTGGCAATTTTGTTATTTTTTTAAAAAGTATGTTTTCAACCAGAGGGAAAAAACCCTTCTTCCCTCAAAAATGTAAAATGAGGAACTAGAAGGGGTGAAGCTGATCTGCTATTTAATAGAATATCTTTATATATTTTAATAGTAAAGTTAAAATTTTGATCTGTTATCAAAGAGGTTTTTGTTTAATAAACCTGGTGGGTCAGTCTCATGGAGCAAGGGAAAACAATTCCCATGTGCTCAGAAGAGCATTTTGTAATTTCCTAATTAGGGATAAGAAAGACAATTCCCAAGTTTCCTTCAGAAAAGACTGGGGCAATAAACATAATTAACTCTAAGAGGTTTAATAATAAATCACCAAATCTCATGAGCATAATAAATACAACTAGGGAAGTATTTTAATATAGTCTCAATATAATAATCACAAATTCAACTTCAGAACAGTGTGAATTACAAATATAATGTGGATATTTTCTTGGCATAGATCTCAGGCCATGCTATTTTTAAGGTCATTTGTTATTGGAAGCAGAAGGGGCATGATAATATGTAACCTTAGTCCTGCTGACAGAATTTCAGCAAGAGTAACAATGTCCTCCTGCAAACTCTTGATGATACCTTGCTAGAGAAAAAATATGAAGCTGAATAAAGCACAGAATATGAATATGGCCCATGAGAAAACTTCTTTAAGACCACCTGTAGAATTCTGCAATCACATACGCAGGTTTTCTTGTTAGCAACATGCTGGTCTCTCTAATTCCCAATAGCATCTTGCTGTGATATTGTGAGCCTTTAGCATTTTGAATCTCTTGTCCTCACATGTTCAGAACAGTGCCCGGGATATGCCTTTGATAGGTGTCAACTGATGAATAAGGTGAGACAAACAGTTTGATATGAATCCATATTTATTGGATCTCATAAACCCAAAGCAAGCTTACTGACAAGTACAGCAGATGGGGTCAGGGTGGGGGCAGGAGGGTTGCTTTGTTGCCCAGGCTGGAGTGCAGTGGTGTGATCACAGCTCACTGCAGCCTCAAACTCCTGGGCTCAAGCAATCCTCCCTAGTAAGTCTATCGAGTTGCTGGGATTACAGGCATCAGCCACCATGCCCAACCAATCAGGTGATTCCTCTCCTCTGCTTCTGTGTTGGGCCTATAAAAGTCCATTGCTCACACTGTGCAGCACTCTGAACTTTTGGTTCTCAGTGATGCATGATTCCTGAGTCATTCTTTGCTCAAATAAACTGGTAAATTTAATTTGTCTAAAGTTTTTCTTTTAACACATGTAAAGTATTATTACAGAAAAAAGTGTAACTATTAAAACAGTGTTTTCAAGGACCAAAAGCACAGAAGTCAATTAGTTTAGGCAACAACAATAAAATACTTTAGACAACTTTTTTTTTTTTTTTTTTTTTGAGACGGAGTTTCATTCTGTCACCTAGGCTGGAGTGCAGTGGCGCGATCTCGGCTCACTGCAACCTCCGCCTCCTGGGTTCAAGCGATTCTCCTGCCTCAGCCTCTTGAGTAGCTGGGACTACAGGCGCACGCCACCACGCCCAGCTAATTTTTGTATTTTTAGTAGAGACGGGGTTTCACCATGTTGGCCAGGATGGTCTCGATCTCCTGACCTCGTGATCCACCTGCCTCGGCCTCCCAAAGTGCTGGGATTACAAGCGTGAGCCATAGCACCCTGCCGACAACTTTTAAGAATAACCACACTGATGAGAATGTCCAGATATTTACTATAACAAATAACTTTTAAATAATGCTTACACTAGAGATTAAGAAAGAAATGGAGACTAAATAGGAGAGGGAAATGTTAGTCCTTTACACTTTAAATACTAAGAATATCAAACTAATATCATCTTTTCCTCACAAAGTAGCATTTATTAACTTTAGTACATGTTTTCTCAATATTTTTCCAAAAGAAATAATGGTTTCAATGACCGATCCTCAACTATCCCCCACCCCTTTCCATCAACCTCCTTGAGTTCATCATATCAAGATCTTCTTGTTTCCCAACAAGTCTTCATCAAGATTTACTCTCCAAGCTTTAGTTCCATCCACTCACCTACCCAACCTTAAAACATCTATTTATACATTTGTCCGTCCCTTTTCTCCCACGTATATGTCCATCCTTGTAGCTATTCCCTCGCCCACCTGTCTGTCCATCATCAATCCGTCCATGCTACATTTACAGAATATTGAGATAAAGGCATTGCCCTAACAACTTGATACAGGAATAAGTAAAGAGAGAATTATATCACGGTATAAAAAATGCCACCAAGGAGAAGCATCCCAGAACTCGATGGTAGTACAGTGGAAAGACCTGTACTTGGAGGAAAGATAATGGAACTTTCTAGGAGAGTTGATACATTGGCTGAATTTCGAAGGTAAAATAAGCATTAGGAAGGTAAAGGAGTATTATGTACAAAGACAAAGAGATATATGAAAGCAATATGAGTCTGGAGAAACTGTAATTTGACCTGACTAGAAGGTAAGTTGAATAATGAGAGATGACTGAAGAAGCAGACAAAGTGGAGATGGCAGATAGCCTTTCCTTCAGTTATGGTTTCAAACCCTATGAAGAAAGCTGTTGAGTTTCTATCCACCTGCATATTTTTTATTATTATTTTAGTTAGGTGTGCTTTTTTCAAAGATAAACACTCTATTCCTTTTGCTTCTTCCAGTTTTCAACTGAAGATGTGGAGACCTCTCCTCACAGATGTGTTTTGAAAATTTAAAAGCATTTTAAACAGCAACCTAAGTAAATTAATTATTCAAGACAAGACACAGACCTCTTTAATTGCTTCAAAGAAAGTAAAATACCGGGTAACTTGTCAGGTATTTGTCCAAATCTTCTTTTCCCACAACTTCTGCTCCAAAGATTATGCATTTAGTAATAATACAAAAATCTATTAACAATATTTAGATTAATACTAAAATTTAGTAATAATTTAGAAATCTCTAGTTTGAACTATTCATGAGGAAATTACAAACTACTACACATCTCTAACTGGTAGCATTCACATGCCAGCTGTGGTCTATTATTTGGTGACATGCGGGGACTGCTTCTAAGTTGTTTGAGGGGCTTCTATTTTCTGAATATATCAAGGACAAGATGATGTGACCTGCAGCCCATTGGGGGTCAAGGGGAAAGGTGGTAGAGGTGAGGGATAAGAGAAGTAAAATGTAAGTGCAAAGGCTTTATTCTCTCTGCTTATGGATCTTTCCTCATATCCCCGAACGGAGTCCACCAATTCTGCTTCCCAGTAAACAGCCTATGGGGCACCTGCCTGTAAATACCTGGAGCATCATCAGGTTGGGGGGCGGGGAATTAACAAACACCCTAAAGCCTTTGAGGTAGAAGCAACGCAGGCCCTCTTATAATGTGGGCCAACCGCCCGGCCCCAGGCTCCGCGGATCCCGCCCGGAGTGGTCTCCTGGATCCTCTCTCCTCGGGCGGGCGTCCGGTTCCCGCGCGCTCCAAAGGGCTGCCCGCAGGCCGAGACCACAAGGGGGCGGCGCCTGACCCACTCAGCGGGCAGAAAGCGCTGCCTGCTCCGCTCTCCAGGCGCCGCCCCGGCTCCCGGATGTAGGGTGCTCTCCGCCCGCCCCGCCCCCCGGGGGGTGTGGTGCCCTCCGTCCGCCTCGCCCCCCTCACCCGCAGGCCACCCGGCTTCCCACCGGATGGCGGCGGCCGGGTCCTGGAGGCCCGCAAGGCGGGCGCCGCTCAGCGATCTTCGCTGATGGGCCGCGGCGGTAAAACCTGCCCCGCCCACTCGCGGTAAGCAAAGGTACGGCCCCCCAGGCCCCGCCCCCTGTCCTGACAGATAAGCCTCCTGGCCAACCAGGCTTCTCATCTTCCTCTTAAGTTTTGCTCCGTATCCCCGCCCCAGCTTTGAGCCCCACCCCCAGCGGACAAGCTCCGCCTCCAGCCCGCCTCAGAGGAAAGTGAGCTACAGGATAGGAAGCTGCGGGTCTGCGCAGCCTGAGTGCACAGAGTACCTGTAATGCCTGTGGTGCCGGCCGGGAGGGTTGGGCCCAGAAGAAGGCAGACTAGCCCCTGCCCTGCCCAACTTCAGTCCAGCCAAAGAGAAGTAAACGAGGGAGTGGGTGTTAGGTAAGGAAAGTACCCTGACCGGACGGGTTAGGTGAGAAGGTTTCTTGGAGGAACTGAGACCGGAAGATGGAAGGAATTCGCTAGGCCAGAGGCGGGAGGGTGCCCAGGGGAGGGGACAGAGTTCCAGTAAGAGAAAATAGCAGGCCTCGGTGAGAGGATCACCATAGGTTCCAGAAACTAAAACAATTTTTGACCAATATGGCTGGAGCATAGAGTAGTCCAGCAAGAAATAAAGCTGGACAGAGAATGGAAGTCAGATTCTAGAAGACTCTAGAGGTTCACACCTCTAGAGGCTTTTAAAGTGGGAACGTGGCATAATCAGATCTACATTTCATAAAGGTCACTCTGCAGAGTGCATTGGGAGAAGATCAGACTAGGGACAGGAAAATCAGAAGACTGGCATTGATGTGGACTAGGATGGGGGCAGTGAGGATGAAGAGAGAGGGGTGGATTTGAAAGATGTTTTGCACATAGAATTAACAAATTTTGGATGAGGTGGCAGGGTAGGTGAGAATTCAAGAGAATGAAGAGTAAAGATGATTTATTTCTGCATCAGCAAGGTCAATGGTGACCATACAAGTTATCGCTCGCTCCCCTCCATATTTTTAGCACTTTCAGAGCTGTTACCTTACTGCCTTGAGTGTTTCTCTTTTGCGTAGAGAATTTATTGCTGTTCCAGATTAGAGCTTCCTTGAAGAAATGGACATCTTCAGGTTTTCCTTTGCTTAGATTGTACCGCAAATTACCCATTTGATCATTTGCTGAATGATCCAATGAATCAATGGCCCCAAGGGTTTGATCCTCAAAACTAAAAAAAAAAGCTGTCAGAAAGGCCAGTCCTCAAGAGGTACATTTATAGTCATGTGCCCCATAATGACATTTTGATCATCGATGGACTACATATATGACATTAGTCCCATAAGATTATAATGGAGCTGAAAAATTCTTATCACCTAGCGACAAAGCCATTGTAACACTGTACCGCAATGTATTACTCACATGTTTGTTGTGATGCTGGTGTAAACAAACCTACCATGCTGCCAGTCATATAAAAAGGTAGCACACATGATTATGTGCAATACATAATACTTCAAAATGATAATAAACGACTGTTACTGGTTCATATATTTACTGTATTATACTTTTTATCATTATTTTAGAGTGCATTCCTTCTACTTATAAGAAAAGTTAACTGTCAGCCTCAGGCAGGCCTTTCAGGAGGTATTCCATAAGAGCATTGTCATCATAGGAGATGACAGCTCCGGGTGTGTTATTGCCCCTGAAGACCTTCCAATGGGACAAGATGTGGAGGTGGAAGACAGTGACACTGATGATCCTGACTCTCTGTAAGCCTAGGCTAATGTGTGTGTTTGTGTCTGTTTTTAACAAAAAAGTTTAAAAATTAAAAAGTTAAGATATAAAAAGCTTATAGAATAAGGATATAAAGAAAAAAAAGTTTTGTGTATCTGTACAATGTATTTATGTTTTAAACTTATTATAAAAGAGTCATTTTTTTCAAGTTTATAAAGTAAAAACATTATGGTAAGCTAAGGTTACTGATGAAAGAAAAATATTTTTTCATAAATATAGTGAAACCTAAGTGTACAGTGTTTATGAAGTCTATAGTAGCGTACAGTAATTTTTCTAACAAAAATATATACTATTCACAGAATATTAAAAAGACTAGAAGATAAGGAATCACTTTTCTGATATGAGTCAATATTTGATCCTACATCATGTTATCACAGTAAAATAGAATCAAAGATTGACTCACCCCAGCATTATCAAAAGACCATGGAGGCCAGGCGCGGTGGCTCACGCCTGTAATCCCAGCACTTTGGGAGGCTGAGGCGGGTGGATCATGAGGTAAGGAGTTCGAGACCAGTCTGGCCAACATAGTGAAACCCCATCTCTACTAAAAATACAAAACATTAGCCAGATGTGGTGGTGTGTGCCTGTAATCCCAGCTACTCAGGAGGCTGAGGCAGGAGAATCGCTTGAACCCGGGAGGCGGAGGTTGCAGTGAGCTGAGATCACGTCATTTCACTCCAGCCCAGGCGACAGTCTGAGACTCCGTCTCAAAAAAAAAAAAAAAAAAAAAAAAGACCATGGATTTGGGGGCCAAGCAGCCCTGGGTTTGAATATTGGCATATTGGCTCTATCCCAAACTAGCTGGGCAATTCTGGACAAGTGAGGAATTCCTTAAGACTCAGTGTTAGTTTCCTAGGGCTGACATAAGAAAGCACCAAAAACCGGGTGGCTTAAAACAACAGAAATGTATTACATTACAGTTCTGGAGGCTGGAAGTCCAAAATTGGTGTCAGTAGGGTCATGCTCTCCTGAAGGCTCTGTAGGAGGATCTCTTCCATCTCCTAACTTCTAGAGGCCCAGGTGTTCCTTGGCTTGCTGATACATCACTCCAATGCTCTGTCTTCACAGGGTGTTCTGGGTCTCACCATCTTCTTATGAGGGCACCAGTCACATTGCATTTGGAACCCACCCTATTCTAGTATGAACTCAAATTATTGTATCTACAATGTCCCTATTTCCAAATAAGGCCACATTCTCAGGTACTGAGGGTTAGGACTTTCACATGTCACTTTTCGGGGGACAAAATTCAATCCATAACACTCAGTATCTTCATCACATAGTTGCGAATAAAGGTACCTTCCTTGGAGAGCCATTATGAGAACCGTGTATGAACTTATTTTTAAAAATTCCTAGCACAATATCTGACACATGATAAATAAGAAAAGTGAAATGTAATAAAAACCAGTCCATTGGAATGATACATTCTTTTTTTTTTTTTTTCTCGCTCTGTCACCCAGGCTGGAGTACAATGGCGTGATCTAGGCTCACTGCAAGCTCTGCCTCCCAGGTTCATGCCATTCTCCTGCCTCAGCCTCCTGAGTAGCTGGGACTACAGGCACCTGCCACCACACCCGGCTGATTTTTTGTATTTTTAGTAGAGACGGGGTTTCACCGTGTTAGCCAAGATGTTCTCGATCTCCTGACCTCGTGATCCGCCTGCCTCGGCCTCCCAAAGTGCTGGATACATTACTTTTAATGGTGAAAAGCACAATTACTTTTGCACCAATCTTATAGTTATCAATACTGTCTTTAAACAGTGTTTCTAATATTTTCTGCTATTATCCTTTACAGTCACAAGCAATGAGTTCTGCTTTTCACCCTCTTCTTGCCTTACCCTATTTGTGTTTCTATTTTCACTTTTTTAAAGTAAACCATCTTTATCTATATGTGGGATATACCTTTTAAAAACTCTAGCACACACCTTAATGAAGAGCTCCCAAATATAATCAACAAATGTCTCAGGTGATATGTCCTAGAAGTGAGGGAAGGGAAGGTGAGAAAAAGCAGTGTTTTGCACTAATATATTATTTCTAATTCTCATTCCAACCCCATGAGACAAGCATTATTAACCTTGCTTTTAGAAGAAGAAACTCAGGCTGAGAGAAGGTTAAGTAACTTGCTTAACGTCAGAGCTAGCATGTGGTAGGGACAACATTCCCCCCAGGTTTGCTTGGCTCCAAAGAGCACATGTATTATTCTCCCCTCCTTCCATCACCTTGTGGTATTATTTCCAAACTCACATTATCTTTTCCTATTTCCTTTCCAAGTAGTCACTTGGAGCTGTCATTTTCCGTATTCATATATTTCATTAAATCCTTGCTTCTCTTTCCCAAAATTGGCCAGAAGTAAAATTGTGAAGTATGTAGAAATCTTCTTTTGATCATTTGGTAAACTTTGACAAGGCCTTGTGGAATACTTTGGAGACTGACAATCATACCCAGCCTTTTCTCTTTTTCTGCATTCTCAGAGGCCAAGATCCTTCTGTGTAAGACTCACCCCTCCTTTGTGCTCTTAATCTCATCCCTTTTAGTCTCTTTGGGGATCTTTATCTCAGAACTGTATCTTTCATCATTCCCACTTCCTCTGCACTTACTAATATTCCCTATTTTTAAAAAAATCCCTTTATAGCATCCACCCCCCGAGTCATCACCCAATGGCTTATTTTCCATCTTTTTCTTTCGAGCCCTGGAGAGAAAAGTATAGTATACAGTTGTCAACTCCATTTCTTCTTCAACTAATCTACTGTAGTCAGATTTTGATCCCACCTTCCACTGAAACTGCTCTAAGATTACGCGAAAGCCTTTTAAATACCAAAGCCAATGAATGCTTTGAAATCATCATCTTACTCCATTTCTCTGCTGTAGCAGACAGTTTTTGTTACCTCATTCTGTTTAAAACTCTTCTTTTTCTTGGCTTCTGGAAGATTGCATCTGTCTGTGCTCCTCTTAGTTTTCTTGGGTTTTTTCTTCCTCTACATTGTAATATGGCCCACAGCCTGTCTCTCATTGCATGCCATCCCGAGAATTCTTCCACTCTGATAGCTTCAACCAGTACCTTTATACATAGCTACGCACCAGAGATGTATAGCTGATTCTGTCCTCACCTGACCTCCTCTTTAATATTTCCAAAGGACTTTCTCTTAAGATGAATATTGAAGAAAAAGTGAAAATTTGCTGTGAACCTCTCAGAGAGAGAGGGCATTCTAATCAGGCAGTTTCGACATCATGTGCAGAGGTACAGAAGTATGAAAGACCAGTAAAAATTGAGAGGTCTGTGGTAAGTTCAGTATTGCTGCAGGGTGAAGTGGAATAGGTGTGGTCAGGATGTGTGGAGAGATGAGAGGTGAGGCTAAGCAGATAGGCAGGGGTCAAGTAATATGAAGGGTCTTATTAGCCGTACTAGATGGTTTCAAATTTTGCCCTGTGTATGGTGAGCCATTGTGGGATTCTGAGAAGAGTAGTGTAATTGGCTCTAAGTTTTAGAAAGCTTACTGTTAGGAAAGTAAAAGAAGTCTAAGACTAGAAGCAGGAGGCCAAGGAAGAAGCTGTGGTAATAATCCAAGTGAGAGATGGTAATGAGGTGAACTAGGACGATGGACATGGTTTGGAGAGTAGAGACAATGGATGTTTCTAAAGTGGAATCAGGAGAATTTGTTGACAAATCAAATAAAAGGGAGGAAAAAAGGTGGACTCCAGGATGATGAGGTTTCTGGTTTGCGTAACGGGGTAGATGAAAAACAATTTAGCACAATGGATTATAGGAAGTGAAGTGTATTTATTGGAAAAAATTCATGTATTGATTCATTCATCAGACAGACATTTAAACATTTTCTACATGCTAGACACTATGCTAAGCCCCAGAATAATTTCTAATTTGGACATAACTTTGAGAATGCCTTCAAACATCGAGATGGAGATGTTTAGCAAACAGGTAGAGATAGGCATCTAAAGCTCAGCAGACATGTCTCCATTTTGTTGTTATTATTAACAACATTGTCACATATGTTCTTGTGGGTAAATTTTTGCCCAGATGCTTAATTATCTACACTGTGCAGAAGATATTAGAGAAATGAGAATGGCTGAAATTTATAATCCCATGCCATGTCATTTATATTACTTTGTTTAATAATGTCCTTATCAACTTTTGTTCTTCTATGATTGACATAACTTTCTAAAAGGAACAAATGTGCAACTACATGACTGAGCAGTGTGATATAACTGATTTCTGAAAAATTTGGTATAGAATCAAAGGGTTAAATATCCTCTTCATAAGCATTTTTATTACTCTCAGAGAAATTTACTACCTTCTTCAGTTTAACATTTCAGTGTTCTTGGACTTAACGTTTTAGATATGATTACTACTTATATATTGTGATAGCATTATGAATAAGCATTATCCTTTTTGGAAAAGGGGAAAAATTTGGGAAGTCATAAATATATATACCTTTTAACTCAGTAATTCAACTTTTTGAAAATTCAACTGCTCTAAAATCATCTAAGCAATAGAAAAAGCTGTATGCATGATGATGTTTATCACAGCTTTATTTATAGCTTTTAAAGGAAAGGAAGCAACCTTGGTGTCCCTGGGAGTAAATTATAGTTATTTTATGTGTAACCATTAAAATAATGGTTGGAAAATTATAGAGAGACATGAAAAGTGTATATGATAGAATGTTAGACAATTCAGGAGAAAATTTTAAGTAGACTATAATTATAACCATGTAAAAAATACATATGAAAAATAATGTAAGTATATTGCCAAAATACTAACAATAGTTATATTTGGATGGGGAAATTATAGTGTGTTTGTTTGTTCCCAAATTATCTGCATATCAGAGATTGATCATTTTCATTTTCCCAGGGATCACTTGCCCTTTCTCTAATAAAAGCACCCTGACTCAACAGAGGGAATTGCAGGTTCCTTCTCCGAGTTCATGTGGTTTCAGTGGGGTTGACTCCACCCCGCCAGAGACATAGCCCAAGCCAAGATCATCAAAAGCAATTAGACCCAATTCTAGGATTTTTATTGGAACTTTAGGAAAAGATGCAAGTTATTTCCACTGCGGATTGGTAAGAGGATAGAGTGGAAGCTTGGAGCTGTAGGCAGCCATATAGTCAGAGTGGGGGTACAATCTATCTGTGAAAGGAGCCAAGACAGAGGAACACAAAGACAAGAGATGACTACAAGGAGACTGGATTCTGAGAACACTCTTTGAACCCCAGGACCTAACTGTGTCTGATGTGAAATTATCCCTGGAATTTTCAGTTATGTGAGCCCATAGCTTTATTTTGGCTTCAGCCAGTCTGTATTTTTTCTCTTTTAATAGACAACAACAACAAAAAGAGTCCTAATTAATTAGATAATCAGATTTTGTCACCTTTTTGTTATTTTTTTTAAAGCATATGCATCGAAAGCATTCCAAACCATCCTAAACATTCTAAAGTTTATATTCATTTCTTGACCTGCGCTAGAAGCGCAGGTGAAATATTGATTTTAACTTCAGGATTCCAGAAATTCCAGAAATCTTGACTCAGCCCAGTCACATTGCCTTCATAAAGTTACCGAAGGTTTTAAGCAGAGGGAACAAAGTAATACAGAAGGACTTTGTTGTTAGTTGGGCTAGTATTTGATAATTACAGTAATGTGTACTTTTTGTTTTGTGTCTCTAGAACCCCTCCCTTCTCCTGCTGACAGCATTCCCTACTTCTTTTTGGGAACTATTTCTTTACCCAGCTCTGCCAGGGATGGGCAGATTATGTAACTGTGGTCATTCAGGATCCTTTTGAGATTTTCCAAATAGAAATTAAGAAAAAAGACTCTTTTACCTGAAGTTGAAGCGGAAAGATGCCAGTGCCCATGACTCCAATCTTCTAGAGGATGCTGGTCTGAGAGGAGGCCGTCTTGCTGAGGAAAGCAGAGGCAAGATATAAAGTCCAAATGGTAAATAATTCAGTTCTAGTAAGTCTCCAAGAATAGCTACATTCCCGCCCTTTGCATTATTTGATTATATGAGCCAATAAAATTTCCCCCACCCCCTAAGGTACTTCCTATTAGATTTGTTCACTTGCATCTGAGAGTCCTAGCTAAATATATGTCTAGTGCCCCAGTAAACCTAGGTAGGGACATGTAGCCTAACCTAAAGGTCACGTCAGATCTCTCTGTTTTTCCCTAAACATGCAGATCTTGGGATTTCCACTTTCTAGTCAGTGGCATGTTGGAGATCAAGCCAAGGATTTTTACTTTGTGTATGAATGAGGAAGATAGTACAAGATGGCAAGGAGTGTTTTGAAGCAGGAAGTTCTTTTTTTTTGTTTGTTTGAAACGGAGTTTCGCTCTTGTCACCCACGCTGGAGTGCAGTGGCGTGGCTCACTGCAACCTCCGCCTCCTGGGTTCAAGCAATTCTCCTGCCTCAGCCTCCCAAGTAGCTGGGATTACAGGTGCCTGCCACCATGCCCGGCTAATTTTTTGTATTTTTAGTAGAGACGGGGTTTCGCCATGTTGGGCAGGCTGGTCTCAAATTCCTGACCTCGGAGATCGAGACCATCCTGGCTAACACAGTGAAACCCCGTCTCTACTAAAAATACAAAAAAAAAAAAAAAAAAAAAAAAAAATTAGCCAGGCATGGTGGTGGGTGCCCGTAGTCCCAGCTACTCGGGAGGCTGAGGCAGGAGAATGGCGTGAACCTGGGAGGCGGAGCTTGCAGTGAGCCGAGATCACGCCACTGCACTCCAGCCTGGGGGGGCAGAGCGAGACTCCGTCTCAAAAAAAAAAAAAAAAAAAAGTCCTGACCTCGTGATCCGCCTACCTCGGCCTGCCAAAGTACTGGGATTACAGGCGTGAGCCACCGCGCCTGTCCTGAAGCAGGAAGTTCTAAATCAGCTTACCCACTTAAGTGAAAAGGAGTAACAGAGAGAGAACAAGATGGCTAGTCATCTGTGAGGAGGCAGTTCATTAGCTGTAAAGAAAAAGGAAATGGAAGAGAGAGTATCTACATGGCACTGAAAAAAGAAGGAAGCACCCACTAAGAAATGTGGTCCAATCAGTAACTTGAAACCCAACTGGATTAGCAATTCTTCTCCCCTGAGAAGGGGAGAAGAGCAAAAACTTGGTGGAAGGAAAAACAGGAGAGTTGAGAATGGGATAAAAGTTGCATGTTGGTTTAGTACTAGGAGAGTTTTACAGAGATATACTATACTATTCCAGTTTTTTTAAAAACAGAAGGAGTGCTTGCTAAATATTCAATCATCAAAGATAAAACATGGCAGTATATTATTTCTGATTTCTCATTGATATTATACTTCTCATATGAACAACTAAGTTTGAAACTCTAAGGAAAAGAAAAGCTCACATAAGACCCGGCTAGTCAGGTATGTATATTGAAATTCAATCTTTTCATAATAAAAAATAAGGATTCTTACATTTTCTCTAATATGAATCAAAATGCACAAGATTTTAGTTGTCATCAGCAATGTTATATAAATTAGCAAACACAAGAAAAATATGAAAAGGTTGTTAATATTTATAAATTTAGAGATGCTATTTATATCCTATCCCTTTGAATTTGATGCTAATATATAAGAGTTGGTGAGTTAACTTGGACAAACAGCTTGGAAGATGAAATACATTTACTTCAAAGTCAAAGCCATTTTTCTAAAAGGATAAACTAGTTTTGCAAATGTACATGCAAATTTTAAAGGGAGCTGATGTGTTAGTACATGATTCAGTTATTGGAAAACTTCTAAGTATGTTTGAAACAATTTGGGCATATAAATCTATTTTTTAAACTGTAAATTTTATGAAATCTTACTACAAGCATTTCTGATGAAAATTTAACATCTGCACTGAGATGTGCTATAAGTGTGAAATATACACCAGATTTCAAAGACTTAGTATGACAAAAAGAATAGAAAATATTGTAACAATTTCTTATATTGATTACATTATGATATTTGAAATATGCTGGAATATGCTGTTCTATCTCAGCGTGAAATTTAAGAAGGACGGTGTGGAGGAGGTGGGAGTAACCTTTCTGAGCTTACATTTCAGCTTATTCCCTTTTAGCCCACCACTGCATTTCTCAAGGGTTCCTTTGGAAATTATTTTGCCAATGAGCCTCCACTGGAAAACAAATGACAAACATGGAGGAAATGTTTATGTAGTAACATATAGAAAAACATTCTCACTAATAATCAAAATGATGCACAGTGAAACAGTGATGAATACTCTTTCTTGGATCTTCAACTCAGCTGTGTACATACCCTAAATATGCATGTTCCAATTCATAAGGGTGAGCCACTGATTCCAGCTTGAGTTCAAGGGAATTGCCTGGGAATTCACAGCTCTCGTTTTTCCTGTCTGGAAGTCTTTATGAGAGCAATTAGGCAAAAAAAGAAACAAGACATCCATAGAGAAAAGGAAAAGGTGAAATTGTCACTGTTTGTTGATGACATGGTCTTATATATAGAAAAATCTAAAGACTCAAAAAAACTATTGAAACTAATAAATAGATTAAATAAAGTTGCAGGATGCAAAATCAACACACAAAAATCAGCATTTCTATACACTAACAACAGTCTATCTGGAAAAGAAATCAAAAGAACAATCCCATTGACAATAGCCACCAAAAAAAAAAAAAAAAAAAGCTTAGGAATAAATTTAACCCAGGAGAAGGGCCTATACACTGAAAACTATAAAATGTTAATGAAAAAATCAAAGACACAAATGGAAAGATACCCCTTCCAATCAATTCATCGATTGGAAGAATTATATTGTTAAAATGTCCATACTACCCAAAGCAATATACAGATTTGAAGCAATCCCTATCAGAATTACAATGTCATTTTTTTTATAGAATAGAAAAGATAGTCTAAAACTGATATGGAACCAGAAAAATTTTGAATAGTAAAGACAATCACTAACAAAAACAGCAAAGCTGGAGGCAACACAATACCTGATTTTAAACTATACTACAAAGCTACGGTAATTTAAACAGTTTGGTACTGCCAAAAAAATACACACATTGACCAATAGAACAGAGTAGAGACCCAAGAAATGGGTACATGTATGTAAGGTCAATTGATCTTCAGAAAAAAAAGTCAAGAATACACAATGGGGAAAGGATAGTCTCTTCAATAAAAGAGTCTTGTAAAAACTGGGCATCCATATACAGAAGAATTAAATTGGACTCTTACATCATATGCAAAAATCAACTCAAAATGGATTAAAGACTTAAATGTAAGACTCGAAATTGTAAAAGTACTGCAGGTTGAGTATCCCTCATTCAAAATACTTGGGAATGGAAGTGTTTTGGATTTTGTTTTTTTTTATTCTGGAATATTTGCATTACATTTAATGGTTGAGCATCCCTAACCCAAACATCCAAAATCCAAAATACTCCAATGAGAATTTCCTTTGAGCGCCACACCAAAACTAAAAACGTTTCAGATTTTGGAGCATTTCAAATTTCAGATTTTCAGATTAGGGATACTAATTTTTTTGTTTGTTTTTGAGACGGAGTCTTGCTCTGTCGCCAGGCTGGAGTGCGGTGGCGTGATCTCAGCTCACTGCAACCTCTGCCTCCTGAGTTCAAGTGATTCGCCTGCCTCAGCCTCCCAAGTAGCTGGGACTATAGGCATGCACCACCATGCCCAGCTAATCTTTTGTATTTTAGTAGAGACGGGGTTTCACCATGTTGGATAGGATGGTCTTGATCTCATGACCTTGTGATCTGCCCACCTTGGCCTCCCAAAGTGCTGGGAGTACAGGCATAAGCCACTGCACCCGGCCTAGGGATACTAAATATAGAATAAAATAAAAGGGAAAAACTACATTACATTGATCTGGGCAATAGTTTTTTGGACTTTTTTTAACCCCCAGTGCTCAAGCAACAAAAGTAAACATAGACAAATGGGACTGTATCAAACCAAAAAGGTTCTTCACTGCAAAGAAAACATTTAGCAGTGTAAAGAGACAACCTATGGATTGGGAGAAAATATTTGCAAGCTGTACTTCCAATAAGGGGCTAATATCCAAAATATGTAAGGAACTCAACTCAATAGCAAGAAAACAAAAAAAACCCAACTAAAAAATGGGCAAGGGACCTGAATAAACATTTCTCAAAAGAAGATATATAAATGGCCAACAGATATATGAAAAAATGCTCAACATTGCTCATCATTCAGAAAATTCAAATTAAAATCTCTGTATCATCTCACACTTGTCAGAATGGCTATTATCAAAAAGCTGAAAGGGAACAAGTGTCAGGAAGATTTGTGGAAAAAAGGGTCCCTCTTGTATCCCTCTTGTATACAGTTGGTAGAAATGTAAATTAGTACAGTCTTTATGGAAAACTGTAGGAAGTTTCCTCAAAAATCTAAAAATATAATTACCATATGACCTAGCAGTTCCACCTCTGGGTATTGACTCAAAATATTTGAAATCAGTTTGTCAAAAAGATGTCTGCACTCCCATGTTCCTTGCACTACTATTCAAAATAGCCAAGTTACAGAATTAATCTAGATGTTCATCAACAGATGAATGGATTAACAAAAAAGTGGTGTATATATACAAAATGGAATATTTTTCAGCCTTAAAGATTCTGTCATTTGTGACAATATAGATGGAATTGGGAAACATTATGCTAAGTGAAATAAGCAGGCACAGAAAGATAAATACTGCATATTCCCACTTACATGTAGAATCCAAAACAATTGAACTCAGAAGCAGAGAACAGAATGGTGGTTACAGAGTCTGGAGGGTGAGGAGAATGTGGAGATGATGGTCAAAGGGTACAAAATCTCAGGAGAAAATGTTATTTTTTCTTGAGAGCTATTGTACAGTATGATAAATATAGTTAATAATAGTGTATTCTACATTTCAAAATTGCTAAGAGTAAATTTCAAATGTTCTCATCACAAAAAAAATTTGAGGAGATATGTTAATTAGCTTGATTTAATTATTGCACATTATATTCATAAATCATAATATCACTTTGTACCCCATAAATATATGCATTTATAAATTGTCAATTTACAAAAAAATGGAAAGATACGTTTGGTTTGAGATGAACCTGTAGTGGGCTCCCCTCCCCACTCCCACAGAAGGAAACTAGATATTTGTCTACTAATCAGTGAGGAAAACTGCATGTTTATAGGGAAGTGAGGTTGGCATGTTACAGTTACGAAATCTGCTGGGTGGCTTGGATAGTATCTTGTTGGAGAAAGGACTCCTAGTCAAGTTTTAGGCCTAATTCTGCTCCTAAGATACTTGCCCTGGAAAAAATCACTGATGTCCCTAAGTCTCTTTTCTATAATTTGAAAATTGGGCATTAAAACAGCTGAGCTTCAGAGTCCTTTTCAGGTCTATCATCCTAAAATTATGTAATTCGTGAATCACAATAATTTCAGAAAACATAAGTACATTTTTCCCCCATATGGGGCCACCATCCATAATTCTCAAACACTATTATTAAAGAAGATAAAATAGAAAAAAAAAAACAGGTTCTATGGCTATTTTAAGGGTCTATTGGCATAATTCCATGAAGCATTTTGGTAAGTGACCTTGTTTTAGTTCTGCAGTTTTAAATTTCAAGAAAGTTTTCAGACCAAGCTGTATCACCCTTGGAGAGGGAGTGGCTGAAGGAGAAAAATGGTTATTATGTCTAAGCCTCTGTACACTGCACTGAACTCGGAAGTGACGTTGTACATTGGCTGGGCCAGAGATTGATGAGATGCACCTGACTCAGATGAAGACATATCCTGATTAGTCTATAGACAGAACTACTGGAGGGGATTAATCAAGCTTCACATGACCCTCACTTACTTGGACTTAGCAACATCTGTGCTTCCTTCCCCTCCCCTCCAACAGAATCAGGGAGGGGGTTCTAGAAGCTTGCCCCTGCATGTTTGCTCTAAAAAATAATGCTAAATTCTGTATCCTTCCTTTTGTACCCTTTAGAGAATTGAACTTTATCTAAAAAACCCAAGAAAAGACTGTCAGATATTTCCTGTAGTCTGAAACTGTAATTGAACTTAACAGTACAGTGGTTGTTTATGTAAAAATGAAGGAATCCAGCCTGGCACGGTGGCTCATGCCTGTAATCACAGCACTTTGAAAGGCCAAGGTGGGTGAATCACGAGGTCAGGAGTTTGAGACCAGCCTGACCAATATGGTGAAACCCTGTCTTTACTAAAAACAAAAATTAGCAGGGCGTGGTGGCGTGCACCTGTAGTCCCAGCTACTTGGGAGGCTGAGGCAGAAGAATCGCTTGAACCTGGGAGGCAGAGGTTGCAGTGAGCCGAGATCGCACCACTGCACTCCAGCCTGGGTGACTGAGATTCTGTCTCAATAAATAAATAAAAACAATCCAATAATTTATTCTTAGTCTAGTATAGAAAAAAAGCATATGTTGAGGCAACCAAGAATTGAGTAGCAAATGAAACATTAGAATTTCCCGTGAAAACAAATACTACATGGAATGAAACTGGGCCTCCAAAGCTTTATCTTAAGGATAGCAAGAAATAACCAACAGTAAATCCCATACATTGAGAAGAGCCAGCAGGAGGCAGCAGATCTCATTGACTAGGGGAAGCACTTGCCCTACAGTAGATCTGAGGTCGTATTTCTTTTCTAAGTCATATTTTTTTTTTCATTTCAATTATATGAATTGAATCAATCTACTTCATGGGTTTCTCTACTTTGCATTCACTTTTGAAGGATATTCTCCCTGCATGTGAAATTTTAGGAAGTTTTTTGGGAGTTTTTTCAGCACTTTACACATGTTGTTCCTTTGTCTTGGGTCCTCCATCATTTTTTGTTTGCATTGTGTTTTTGTTTTTGTTTTGTTTGTTTTTGTTTTTGACACGGGGTCTCACTCTTGCCAAGGCTGGAGTGCAGTGGCATGATCTTCACTCCCTACAACCTTGGCCTCCTGGGCTCAAGCGATTCTCCCACTTGAGCCTCCCAAGTCGCTGGGACTACAGGTGTGTACCACCATGTCCAGCTAATTTTTGTATTTTTTGTAGATGAGGTTTCACCATGTTGCCCAGGCTGACATTGAACTCCTGGACCCGAGCAATCCACCTGCCTCGGTCTCCCAAAATGCTGGGATTACGGGTGTGAGCCACCATGCCTGGCCAGGTCCTCCAGTGATTCTGATGAAAAATCAACTGCCATTCTTCTCAATGTTCCTTTTTATGTATTGTGACTATATTTTTCAGGTTATTTTAAAGACTTTTGTTTGTTTCAAAAAAGGCTTTGGTCTTCAGTAGTTTGACATAATGTGCCTGTATGGTTTTCCTTGTGTTTATCTTGCTCAGGATTGTTGAAATTTTTGGATTGTAGGTTGATTTGTTTTTAACAATTTAGAAAAATATTTGCTATGATTTTTTCAAACATTTTTTTTTGCTCCAGTCTATGTCTTCTCTCTCTCTTTTCTCTTCAGTTATATGTATATATTGCTTTATGTTGTTCCATATGTCTCTGGGATTCTTCTTATTGATTTTTTTCTCTTTGTAAATCAGTTTGAATTGTTTCTATTGTTTCAGTAAATAATCTTTACTTTTACAGTATCCAATCTGCTATTAATCCCTTCAAGTACATATTTCCTTTCAGATGTTGTACTCTCAATTCTATAATTTCCATTTGATTTTGTTATAGTTTCCATTTTTCTGCTGAGATTTCCCCATCTGCTCACTTATTATATGTATAGTTTTCTTGAAACCCTTGAGTATATTTATAATAGTTTAAAAATATTTTTCTGCTAATTTAAACATCTATGTCATCTTGAATCTGTTTTCATTTAGGTGTGTGTATGTGTAATTAACACTAATTTTGCTATTCTTGTATTTAGTGTTTTTTTTTTTAATCATACATTAGATGTATCAATTGCTATGTTAAAGAAAGTCTGGATTATGCCATCTCCTTCAAAAGGTACTGAGTTTTGTTCTAGCAAGTAGTTAACTTACTAGTGAGTCATTTTGATCCTGGGGTGACTTGGCTTTAGGCTTTGTTAGAGCAAGTCTAGAGTAGCCCTCACTCTATGCTATGGTCTTCAGTCCTAAAGAGTGGCCTTTCTAGCATTCAATTGTTTACATTGAGTGTTCAGCAAAGCCTTTCCACTTTGGCTGGTAGGAATCCCAACATCTCCCAGTTTTGTGCAAGCTCTTGCATTTTCTTCTGGCTAGAGCACTGCCCCCCACAACCCCAGCAGCGATTCCATGCCATGTCCTTATAGAGTCTTCCTACATGTTTGTGCAACTTAGTTTTCACCCAAAAAACCAAGGAGACTTCTACACATGTTTCTGGGGCTGCTTGTTTACAGAGCTCCTGCCTCATTAGTACCACAAATCTGAGCTACCCCAGCATTACTAACCTCTAGTCTGTGTTTTCTCCATCCAGCATGACCACTGCCTTTTGTGTTGCCCTCAAGCAGAACCTGTGGTGAATATTGAGCTCACCTCCTGTGTTTTCTTCTTAAGGATTACTGCCTTGTGCTACCTCTTATCCAACACCTAAAAATTGATGCTTTATGTATTTATACATTTTTAGAGTTATTCATTTGGAAAGTAAGTCCAAAATTCATTATTCATCATAGCCAGAGCCATAATATTATGTGCCTCTCTAGATCTATCTCATTTATGCCTTGTGTCTTCTATCAAAAGCATTTGGCTTTGATACTAGACCTTGTCCTGATACAAGACTGTGCTCATCACTTAGAAACCTGGAAAATAAATATCCTTTTTCCTTTCAGCTCTGATTCTTTTACTTTTTTATTTACATATAGATATTCAAAGTGATCATATTTTTTTTGCCCTTACATACTTGAGTAGGATTGGTATTTAATTGTGGAGCTTATTATAATGATTCTCAATGACTTCAGCAGAGGTTTTTGTTTTGTTTTATTTTGTTTGTCCTAGAATATTATGTGGGCACTTACTAGAAATAAGTAAACCATGGCCCAGGTCTTGAAAAACTTTTTGCTAGTGTTTGATGAAATAAAAATTAACCTGGTATATCTTTTTATTTTTTATCAGTTTTTTTATTTCAGTAGGTTTTTGGGGAACAGGTGGTATTTGATGAAATGGACAAGTTCTTTAGTGGTGATCTCTGAGATTTTTGTGCACCCATCACCTGAGCAGTGCACACTGTACCCAATGTGTAGTCTTTTATCTCTCGCCCCACTCTCACCTTTCCCCTTGAGTCCCCAAGTCCACTGTGTCATTCTTATGTCTTTGCATCCCCATAGCTTAGCTTCCCCTTATAAGTGAAAACATACGATGTTTGTGAGTTACTTCACTTAGAATAATGGCCTCCACTTCCATCCAGGTTGCTCCAAATGCCGTTATTTCATTCCTTTTTATGGCTCAGTAGTATTCCATGGTGTGTACACATATTTCTGGGTCTGCTTTTTTACATATATATATATATCACATTTTATTTATTCACTTGTTGGTTGATGGGCATTTGGACTGGTTCCATATTTTTGCAATTGCAAACGGTGCTGCTATAAACATGCTTGTATAAGTGTCTTTTTCATATAATGACTTCTTTTCCTCTGGGTAGATATCTAGTAGTGGGATTGCTGGCTTAAATGGTAGATCAACTTTTAGTTCTTTAAGGACTCTCCACACAGTTTTCCATAGTGGTTGTACTAATTTACATTCCCACAGCAGTGTAAAAGTGTTCCCTTTTCACCACATCCATGCCAACATCTATTATTATTATTATTTTTAAAATTATGGCCATTCTTTTAGGAGTAAGCTTGTATCATATTGAGGTTTTGATTTGTATTTCCCTAATAATTAGAGATGTTTAGCATTTTTACATATGGCCACTTGTATAACTTCTTTTGAGAATTGTCTAGTCATGTTCTTAGGCCACTTTTTGATGAGATTTTTTTTTTCTTGCTGATTTGTTTGAATTCCTTGTAGATTCTGGGTATTAGTCCTTTGTCGGATGCATTGTTTGCAAATATTTTCTCCCACTCTATGAGTTGTCTGTTTACTCTGCTGATTATTTCTTTTGCTCTTCAGAAGCCTTTTAGTTTAATTAAGTCCCATCTATTTATCTTTGTTTTTGTTGCATTTTCTTTTGGGTTCTTGGTCATGAAGTCTTTGCCTAAGTCAATGTCTAGAAGAGTTTTTCTGATGTTATATTCTAGATTTTTTATGGTTTCAGGTCTTAAGATTTAAGGTCCGTGTTGAGTTGATTTTTGTTTAATGTGAGAGCTGAGGATCCAGTTTCATTCTTCTTTTTTTTTATTTTTTATTTTTTTATTTTGAACCATCCTTTTAGAGTAACAGAGATTTATGATACTTGTTAATATTTGGCAGAGCAAGTCACTTCTTTTTTTTTTTTTTTTTTTTTTTAGTATTTATTGATCATTTTTGGGTGTTTCTCGGAGAGGGGGATTTGGCAGGGTCATAGGACAATAGTGGAGGGAAGGTCAGCAGATAAACATGTGAACAAGGGTCTCTGGTTTTCCTAGGCAGAGGACCCTGCGGCCTTCCGCAGTGTTTGTGTCCCTGGGTACTTGAAATTAGGGAGTGGTGATGACTCTTAACGAGCATGCTGCCTTCAAGCATCTGTTTAACAAAGTACATCTTGCACCGCCCTTAATCCATTTAACCCTGAGTGGACACAGCACATGTTTCAGAGAGCACGGGGTTGAGGGTAAGGTTATAAATTAACAGCATCCCAAGGCAGAAGAATTTTTCTTAGTACTGAACAAAATGGAGTCTCCTATGTCTATTTCTTTCTACACAGACACAGTAACAATCTGATCTCTCTTTCTTTTCCCCACATTTCCCCCTTTTCTATTGGACAAAACCGCCATCATCATCATGGCCCGTTCTCAATGAGCTGTTGGGTACACCTCCCGGATGGGGTGGCGGCCCGGCAGAGGGGCTCCTCACTTCCCAGATGGGGCGGCGGCCGGACGGGGCGGCTGGCCGGGCGGGGGCTGCCCCCCACCTCCCTCCCGGACGGGGCGGCTGGCCGGGCAAGGGCTGCCCCCCACCTCCCTCCCGGACCGGGCGGCTGGCCGGGCGGGGGCTGCCCCCCACCTCCTGGACGGGGCAGCTGCCGGGCAGAGACGCTCCTCACTTCCCAGAGGGGGCGGCTGCCGGGCTGGAGGGGCTCCTCACTTCTCAGACGGGGCAGCCAGGCAGAGATGCTCCTCACCTCCCAGACGGGGTGGCGGTCGGGCAGAGACACTCCTCAGATCCCAGATGGGGTCGCGGCCAGGCAGAGGCGCTCCTCACATCCCAGACGGAGCAGCGGGGCAGAGGCGCTCCCCACATCTCAGACGATGGGCAGCCGGGCAGAGACGCTCCTCACTTCCTAGATGGGATGGCGGCCGGGAAGAGGTGCTCCTCACTTCCCAGACTGGGCGGCCGGGCAGAGGGGCTCCTCACATCCCAGACGATGGGCAGCCAGGCAGAGACGCTCCTCACTTCCCAGACGGGGTGGTGGCCAGGCAGAGGCTGCAATCTCGGCACTTTGGGAGGCCAAGGCAGGTGGCTGGGAGGTGGAGGTTGTAGCGAGCCGAGATCACGCCACTGCACTCCAGCCTGGGCAACATTGAGCACTGAGTGAGCGAGACTCCGTCTGCAATCCCGGCACCTCGGGAGGCCCAGGTGGGCAGATCACTCGGGGTCAGGAGCTGGATACCAGCCCAGCCAACAGGGTGAAACCCCGTCTCCACCAAAAAATACAAAAACCAGTCAGGCGTGGCGGCGCGTGCCTGCAATCCCAGGCACTCGGCAGGCTGAGGCAGGAGAATCAGGCAGGGAGGTTGCAGTGAGCCGAGATGGCGGCAGTACAGTCCAGCCTCGGCTCGGCATCAGAGGGAGACCGTGGAAAGTGGGAGACGAGGGAGCGGCATCAGAGGGAGACCGTGGAAAGTGGGAGACGAGGAAGAGGGAGAGGGAGCCAGTTTCATTCTTCTACATGTGGCTTGCCAGTTATCCCAGCACCATCTGTTGAATAGGGTGTCCCTTCTCCACTTAAATGTTTTTGCTTAGTTTGTCAAAGATCTGTTGGCCGCAAGTATTTGGCTTCATTTCTGGGCTCCCTATTCTGTTTCACTGGTCTGTGTGTCTATTTTTATGCCAGTACCATACTATTTTGGTGACTATAGTCTTGTAGTGTAGTTTGAAGTCAGGTAATGTGATGCCTCCAGATTTGTTCTTTTTACTTAATCTTCCTTTGGCTATGCAGGTTCTCTTTTGGTTCCATATGAATTTTAGGATGTTTTTCTAATTCTGTGAAGAATGATGATGGTATTTTGATAGGAATTGTTTTAAATTTGTATATTCCTTTTGGCAGTATGGTCATTTTCATCATATTGATTCTATCCATCCATGAGCATGGGATGTTTTTCCATTGGTTTGTGTCATCTGTGATTTCTTTCAGCAGTGTTTTGTAGTTTTCCTTGTAGAGGTATTTCACCTCCTTGGTTAGGCATATTTCTAGGTTGGTTTTTTTTTCAGCTATTATTAAAGGGGTGACTTTTGTATTTGATTCTCAGCTTGGTTACTGTTGGTGCATAGCAGAACTACTGATTTGTGTACATTAATTTTTTATCCCGAAATTTTGCTAAATTCATTTATCAGTTCTAAGAGCTTTTTGGAGGAGTCTTTATGATTTTCTAGGTATATGAGCATATCATCCACAGACAGCAACAGTTTGACTTCCTCTTCACCAATTTGGATGCCCTTTATTTTTTTCTCTTGTCTGATTGCTCTCGCTAGGACTTCTAATACTATGTTGATTAGAAGTAGTGAGAGTGGGCGTCCTTATTCCAGTTCTCGGGAGGAGTGCTTTCAACTTTATTCAGTGTTATGTCAGCTGTGGGTTTGTCATAAATGGCTTTTATTACATTAAGATATGTCCCTTCTATGCCAATTTTGCTGAGGGTTTTAATCATAAAGGGATGCTGGGTTTTGTCAAATGCTTTTTTTTGCATCTATTGAGATGATAATGTGATTTTTGTTTTTAATTCTGTTTATGTGGTGTATCACATTTATTGACTTGCATATGTTAAACCATCCCTGAATCCCTGGTATGAAACCCACTTGATCATGTTGGATTATCTTTTAGATATGCTGTTGGATTCAATTCACTAGTATTTTGTTAAGGATTTTTGCATCTATATTCATTAGGGATAGTGGCCTGTAGTTTTCTTTTTCTGTTATGTCCTTTCCTGGTTTTGGTATCAGGGTGATACTGGCTTCATAGAATAATTTAGGGAGTATTCCCTCTTTATCTTGTGGAATAGTGTCAATAGGATTGGTACCAACTATTCTTTGAACATCAGACAGAATTCAGCACCAGCTGTGAATCCATCTGGTCCTGGACTTTGTGTGTGTGTGTGTGTGTGCGGCAATTTTTAAATTACCATTTCAGTCTTGCTGCTTGTTATTGGTGTGGTCAGAGTTTCTATTTCTTGCTGGCTTAATCTAGGAGGGTTGTGTATTTCCAGGAATTTATGTATCTCCTCTAGGTTTTCTAGTTTATACACATAAAGGTGTTCATGGTAGCCTTGAATGATCTATTTCTGTGGTATCAGTTGTGATATCTCCTGTTTTGTTTCTAATTGAGCTTATTTGGATCCTCGCTCTTCTTTTCTTGGTTAATCTCACTAATGGTCTATCAATTTTATTTATCTTTCCAAAGAACAAGCTTTTTGTTTCATTCGTTTTTTGTATTTTTTGTTTGTTTATTTCAGTTTCATTTAGTTCTGCTCTGATCTTTGTTATTTCTTTTCTTCTGCTGTGTTTTGGTTTGGTTTGTTCTTGTTTCTCCAGTTTCTTGAGGTGTGACCTTAGATTGTCTATTTGTGCTCTTTTAGACTTTTTGATGTAGGCACTTAAAAATATAAACTTTCCTCTTAGCACTGCCTTTGCCATTTCCCAGAGGTTTTGATAGGATGTGTCACTATTATCTTTCAGTTCAAAGAATTTTCAAATTTCCATCTTGATTTCATTTTTGATCCAATGATCATTTAGGAGCAGGTTATCTAATTTCCATATATTTGCTGGTTTTTAGGGTTCCTTTTAGAGATAATTTCCATTTTTATTCCACTGTGGTCTGAGAGAGTACTTGGTAGAATTTTCTTATATTTATTGAGACTTGTTTTGTGGCCTATCATGTGGTCTATTTTGGAGAATGTTTCATGTGCTAATGAATAGAATGTATATTCTGCAGTTGTTAGGTAGAATGTTCTGTAAATATCTATTAAGTGCATTTGCTCTAGGGTATAGTTTATTTTTATTTTATTTTAATTTTTTTATTTTTTTTGAGTCGGAGTCTCACTCTGTCACCCAGGCTGGAGTACAGTGGTGTGATCTTGGCTCACTGCAACTCCGCCTCCCATGTTCAAGCAATTCTCCTGTCTCAGCCTCCTGAATAGCTAGGATTACAGGCATGCACCACCATGCCCAGCAAATTTTAGTATCTTTAGTAGAGACAGGATTTCACCATGTTGACCAGGCTGGTCTCGAACTCCTGACCTCAAATGATCCACCCTCCTTGGCCTCCCAAAGTGCTGGGATTGCAGGTGTGTGAGCCGCTGTGCCCGGCCTGTTCTAATGTATAGTTTAAGTCCATTGTTTCTTTGTTGACTTTCTGTCTTGATGACCTGTCTAGTGCTGTCAGTGGAGTACTGAAATCCCCACTATTATTGTGTTGCCATCTATCTCATTTCTTAGGTCTAGTAGTAATTGTTTTATAAATTTGGGAGCACCAGTGTTAGGTGCATATAAATTTAGGATTGTGATATTTTCCTGTTGAACTACAAATTTTGTCATTATATAATGTCCCTTTTTGTCTTTTTAAACTGTTGTTGCTTTAATGTTCCTTTTTTCTGATATAAGAATAGCTACTTCTGCTTGGTTTTGGTGTCCATTTTCATGGAATATTTTTTTTTCACTCCTTTAAGTTTTTGTGAGTCTTTATTTGTTAGGTGAGTCTCTTGAAGATAGCACATACATGGTTAGTGAATTCTTATCCATTCTGCCATTCTGTGTCTTTTAAGTGGAGCATTTAGGCCATTTACTTTCCATGTTAATATTGAGATGTGAGGTACTTTTCTATTCATCATGCTAGTTGTTGTCTGAATACCTTGTTTTGTTTTCATTTTATTATTGTTTTATAGGCCCTGTAAGATTTATGCTTTAAGGAGGTTCTATTTTGGTGTATTTCAAGGATTTATTTCAAGACTTAGAGCTCCTTTTAGCAGTTCTTGTAGTATGGGCTTAGTAGTGGTGAATTCTCTCAGCATTTGTTTTTCTGAAAAAGACTGTATCTTTCCTTTATTTATGAAGCTTAGTTTCACTGTATACAACATTCTTGGCTGATAATTGTTTTGTTTAAGGAGGCCAAAGATAGGACCCCAATCCCTTCTAGCTTGTAGGGTTTCTCTTGAGAAATCTCCTGTTAATCTGATAGGTCTTCCTTTATAGGTTACCTGATGCTTTTGCCTGAAAGCTCTTAAGATTCTTTCCTTCATCTTGACTTTAGATAACCTCATGACTGTGTGCCTAGGTGATGATCTTTTTGCAATGAATTTCCTGGGAGTCCGTTGAGCTTCTTGTATTTGAATATCTAGATCTCTAGCAAGGTCAAGAAATTTCCCTCAATTATTCCCTCAAATATGTTTTCCAAACTTTTAGATTTATCTTCTTCCTCGGGAACACCAATTATTCTTCGGTTTGGTCGTTTAACATAATCCCAAACTTCTTGGAGGCTTTATTCATTTTTTTAAATTCCTTTTTCTTTGTCCTTGTTGTATTGGGTTAATTCAAAAGCCTTGTCTTTGAGCTCTGAAGTTCTCTCTTCTACTTGTTTGATTCTATTGTTGACTTTTTGGTGTATTTTGCATTTCTCTAAGTGTGTTTTTCATTTCTAGAAGTTGTGATTGTTTTTTATTTATGCTGTCTATTTCTCTGGAGATTTTTCTGTCTATATCCTGCAACATTTTAAAAATTTCTTTAAGTTGGTATTCACCTTTCTCTGATGCTTACTTGAGTAGCTTAATAATTGGCCTTCTGCCATCAGAGAAATGCAAATCAAAACCACAATGAGATACCATCTCACACCAGTTAGAATGGCGATCATTAAAAAGTCAGGAAACAACAGGTGCTGGAGAGGATGTGGAGAAATAGGAACACTTTTACACTGTTGGTGGGACTGTAAACTAGTTCAACCATGTGAAAGACAGTGTGGCAACTCCTCAAGGATCTAGAACTAGAAATACCATTTGACCCAGCCATCCCATTACTGGGTATATACCCAAAGGATTATAAATCATGCTGCTATAAAGACACATGCACACATACGTTTATTGTATGCTATAAAGACACATGCACATATACGTTATTGTGTCTTTACTATTCACAATAGCAAAGACTTGGAACCAACCCAAATGTCCATCAGTGATACACTGGATTAAGAAAATGTGGCACATATACACCATGGAATACTATGCAGCCATAAAAAAGGATTAATTCATGTCCTTTGTAGGGACATGGATGAAGCTGGAAAACATAATTCTCAGCAAACTATCGCAAGGACAGAAAACCAAACACTGCATGTTTTCACTCATAGGTGGGAATTGAACAATGAGAACACTTGGACACAGGAAGGGGAACATCACACACCAGGGACTGTTGTGGGGTTGGGGGATGGGGGAGGGATAGCATTAGGAGATATACCTAATGTAAATGACAAGTTAATGGGTGCAGCACACCAACATGGCACATGTATACATACGTAACAAACCTGCACATTGTGCACATGTACCCTAGAACTTAAAGTATAATTTAAAAAAATATATATATATATATGTAAAATGCCTGGCACGTAGTCAACCCACGTGTTAGTGATTGCTACAATTTAATTAATTTGATAGCGTGTTCAGAGCTAGATTTAGGGTGTGGCTATCATGGGTGCTAAAATATAACAGGTACATAAAAATATCCCTAGAAATATCATGAGATGAATAAAACTGTATTTATCAGAAAAAACAATTGGCCTTCTGAATTCTTTTTCTGGAAATTCAGAGATTTCTTCTTGGCTTACATCCATTGCTGGTGAGCTACTGTGATCTTTTGGGGGTGTCAAAGAACCTTGTTTTGTCATATTACCAGAATTGTTTATCTGTTTTTTTCTCATTTGGGTAGACTATGACAGAGGGAAGATCTGGGACTCAAGGGCTGCACTCCAGATTCTTTTGTCCCATGGGGTGCTTCCTTGATGTGGTGCCCTCCCCCTTCCCCTAGGGGTGGGGCTTCCTGAATGCAAAACTGCAGTGATTGTTATTTCTCTTCTGGGTCTAGCCACCCAGCGGGCCTACTGGGCTCTGAGCTCGTACTGCGGAGTGTCTGCAAAGAGTCCTGTGATGTGATCCATCTTCAGGTCTCTCAGCCATGGATACCAGCACCTGCTCTGGTGGTGGTAGCAGGGAAGTGAGGTGGACTCTGTGTGGGACCTTAGTTGTAGTTTTGTTTAATGCTCAGGTGTTCTCGAATGCTGGTTTTGCTGGCAGTAAAGTTGTCACGTGGACAGACTCAGGACCTCTAGTTAGCCAGGATGTCACAGGCAGTGGAGTTAGCTATTGTTTTCTCCTTTCTTGGGGAAGGGTTATTCTTTTATGAGTTGCTGTAATGGTTTGTGTTGGTTGGCCTCCAGCCAGGAGGTGGCGCTTTGAAGAATGCATCCGCTGCAGTATTATAGGAAGGATACAAGCTTGCCCTAGGGTAGCCTAGATAAATACTGGGGTTTCTCAGGTGGTGGGTGGTGCCATAGAGCTCTCAAGAGATTATGACTTCGGCTGCCACAGCGCGTAGAGAAAGACCATAGGTGGGGGAAGGGTTAAGTGTGTCTGAGCTCAGACTTTCCTTGGGTGGGGCTTGCTGTGGCCACTGTGGGGATGGGGCTGTGTTTCTCAGACTGACGGAGTTATATCCCTAGGGGGATTATGGCTGCAGGTCACCAGGGAAGTGGGAGGTTGCCGCAGTGACAGGCCCCACCCAGCTCCCACACAGCCAGTTAGGCCAGTCTCACTCCCACCATGCTCCCCCAACAGCACCGAGTTTATATCCAGGCAGCTGGTAAGCAGGACTGGGAACTTGCTCCAGGCTACAAGCGCCGCCACCCTCCCCACCCCCCCAACCCCGCGCCCAAGAAAGCAAGCAGGGTTTTCAGGTTTTGCCCCTCCTCACCATGGCTTCTGTGATTGCACTTCCCATTCACCCCCAGATTCTGCCCTGGAAAATTCATGCTTGGTTGAAATTATTACAAAGCAGCTGGAAGTTTCCTTCTCCCTGTGGTCCTTCCCCAACTCCACTGACAGCCCTCCTCAAGGACTTCTGTGAGATAAAAGTCAGAAATGGGTTCCCTGGGCTTTCTTGGGGCCTGGGAGTGCCTACAGGGCTCTTCATGCTGCTGCTTCTACTTTTATATTTCTCCCAGCTTTCTAAATTCGTTTCAGCTCTAGGTAAGGTTAAATTCTTCTCCTGTGATCTGGATTTTCAGACTCTCCAGTGAGGATGTGTGTTCAGAGGTAGCCTCTCCCGCCTCGCGCTTTGGGCACCCGCAGTTTTTCAGCTGCCTCCTGGAGTTTACAGCAGCAAGCTGCTTTTTTCAAAGGGTCTGTGAATTCTTTTGGTTTTCATGGTATGTTTCTCCAGTGGTTCTTGGAGCAAAAGTTCACAATGTGAGTCTCCACATGCTATTCTGTCCATCTAAGTGGGAGATGCAAGTTAGGCCTGCCTCCTATTTGCCATTATCCCCTGCCTAGAGGTCAATTATCATATTGATCTAGAATGGCTGGGATCCTGGCCAAACCCCACCCTTAAGCCTGGAACCATCGCCCTAAATGAAAACAGCTGACCCTGTTTTTCCACCCAAATGTTGCTTTTTTGGCCTGCCACGCCCCTTTCCTGTGTTCACAAAAATATTTCAGCTGGCAGAGTTATACAATCTGCTGAGCGTCAGGAACACAAGCTGCTGAGCATCGGGGATACAAGTGGCTGAGCGTCAAGCACAGAAGCAGCAACTGAACATCAGAGACTAAGGATAGACATGGCTAACTTCAGATGGTGTGGCTTCAGGGAAACATCACCTTCTTCCTGCACTACCTCCTTTCCAATTCCCCATCCCACTGAGAGCCACGCTTATTGCCCAATAAAATCCTCCGTGTATACTACCCTTCAATCCGTTTGTGTGACCTGATTCTTCCTGGGCGCCAGACAAGAACTCGGGTGCCAAGAGGGCAGGGGCTTGGATGCTGCTGCAGGACCTGCACAGAGCCTGCTTCTGCCAGACAGGAGTGACCGGCTGGTTCCAGCATTTGTTCCCTCTGTTTCCTGCGCTCACTTTCTCACACACTCCCTCTTGTGAGGAGTGGCCAGTGGCAGGCTGAGTGAACCGAGCCACCCTAGTTCCCGCCCATGAAGGGAGTCAAGGTCAAGGGAACAATCCCATCTCAATATTTTTTGACGTATCTTTTTAAAAAGGTAAGTCTGTGAAATAAACTTTTTATCTACTGATACCTGGATTCATTCATTTTGTTTATTTTAATTTTCAATACTCACTATACATAATTTTAAAAAAACAAACTTTCTTTACTGGAGTCAGATAAAATATCAGAAGAACTCTTATAGGTTCAAAATTCAGAGATCCTTCTGCTCAAGCCGCAACTCTAGGCTGCCCTGAGGGACTCTAAAACAATTACTGATGAAATTCTACACATGCTTTATATAAAAGGGTCTATAAGACAGGTAAGATTTTAATCACTGAGGGACAATACAGCAATAATGGGTTGAAATCATAAAAGCTATACAGTCTTAACCCAATAGCAAAAGGGGCAAGGAATTTGAATAGGCAGTTCACAGAAGAGAATACTAAATATCCAGTAAACATGAAAAGGAGCTCAAAATCATTAGTCATCCAGAAAATGAAAAAACCATAATAAAGCACCACTGTACATCTGCTAAAATGACTGTAATGAAAAAGACATACAATAATGAGTGTTGGTGAAGACAGAAAACACTTGAAATTCTATATTCTGTGGGGGTGTAAACAGATACAACCACTTTGGAAAACTAGCAGTATTCACTAAATTTAAATTAGGCATACCCTATGCCTAGCAATTTCACTCCTATATATAGCTCACAAAAACATGTACACATGTAGACAAAAATATCAATATAAAAATGTTCATATCACATTGTTCATTATAACTCCAAATTGGAAACAACCAAAATGCCTGTTAACACTATAAAATGGTAGTAGTATTTTTATGTGACTGAATGCTATGAAGCCATGATAAATAATGAACTGCTATATGTAAAAATATGAATACATATCATAAACACTAGTCAAAATCATCCATACACAAAAGAATATATGTTGTATGATTCCATTTATATAAAATTTTTAAAAATACAAAAGCCAACCTATGATATATCACTACAACACCTACCTTTGAAGAAGGGGGTACAGATTAGAAAGGGGCACAAGGGAGGCTTCTTGGGTATTTCTAAAACTCTATTTCTCGATCTGGGAGATAGTTATATGAGCATGTGTACCTTGTAGAAATCCATCAAGTTATACACAGATGGTTTGATAACATTAAGAAACATTCTTAAACTGGAGTTTCGCCCACAGCAAATGATAAGTTACATTGATGGAATGAAACACTATTACCCATAACTATTCCTGAAATTTGATTTATATAGAATTCCCACATTCTGAGACTAAACTGGTAGATAAGATTTAGGCAAAATTTAGAGAGACTGGTGCAAGTAGAGAGAAAGGTATGAGAAAAGCATAAAGGTCAGCAAGTGCAGATCATGTTCAGTGACTAGCGAGAGATGCAGCATCATGGGAAAGGTAGCTGAGAAGGGAATCCAGGACTGGACCAAGGAAGGTCTTGAATATTGGACAGGGTTTGTTCTTAATCTCGTAGGCTGTAGAGAATCAATATGAGTTTTGAACAGGATAATAATATTCCCTTCCTTCAGTTCTTCTACTTTTAATAAAGTGAGGTATGGGGAGAGTATCTGAACTTATTCAGAAATGTTTTTGTCCTAGACACGCATGTATGTGCATGCGCACACACACAAAATAGTGTTGTGTGTGCTATTTTGTGTGTGTGTGTATAAAATAATTTCATCCCCACAACAATCCAAAGGAGTGAACTATTCCTACTTCACAAATGAGGAAATTGATGTCTAGAAAGGTAAGTAACATCTGAGGACAACAGGAGTAGACTTCTGCCAACAGAGGGACAGCTTTGCTTCCTTTTTCAGAGTAGCCTCAGGAGACAAAGCACAGAGGGATTCAGCACTTGTCTTCTCCATTGGTGGTAGGAGGTGGTGAGCAGAAAAGAAAGCAAAGAAAATCTCAGTAGCATTCTGGGGAAGCCACCCTTGAGGGCAGGTGGCTGGCATGGTTCCTATAGTAATAGATACGAACCCCTGCACAAAACTTCATCCTCCTCTATGCCAGAGAACCCAATTTGATGATTTAATCCAAGCTGTGGAGTCAGAGTCACTCAATTCTGTGTCAGCTCAGGGCACTGCCTCTAGAAAAATACTTTTTATTTTAGCAAGTCATTATTAATGATTCTTCTTTCTTGTTTCAGAAATGTTCTCCTGCTCAGTGATGTGCTGGGTGAATGAGTATTTTTTGAAATTTTCCATCTCCTTCATAGCCTTCAGATTTGGCTCATGTGAAAGAAAGCTGAGAAGGTGGAAAATTTCCTTTACCCATACTGATCTCTCTTATCACCAATTGTGTCTATATATGTGAATCTAAGATAAGCCATTTTCTCATTAAATGTCCAATATTAGTTTTGGTGTCAGATAGTAGTTTTAGTTTCATTCTCAGACCCATCCCTTCCTAGTTCAGTGATTTGAAAATAGTTAACAAACCCCCTAGAGTCTCAGTTTTCTTATCTGCATTGGGATGTGATGCTAGTACTTACTTCATAATGAGAAAATGGATGTAAAGTGCTTAACACACAGCCCAAAGCCAAATAAATTATTAATCCCGTATGGAGACTTGTTTTCTGGCCTTTTTATTACTTAATGGAGAATTTCCTAGTAATTTTTAACAATGACTATCCAAGGTAATTGGTAAATATAGTGTTTCAATTAATTGAATATTGCCAGTAACTGAGTTGATACACACACACATAAAACCAATACGTAAGATCAACAATACTTAGGGAATAAGATTCACAATTGAATTCTAAGGGCACTATTATTGTAAAGCACTTAAAACCCAGGATATGAATCCAGTTGGCTAACCTTAGTGTCCCTACATTAAGATATAAACAGAGATAGGTTCTGCATGTACCCATTTAAAACATGCAGAAACTGAGATATGCCTTTTTATCTATGATATTATTACACCTGAATACATGGCCCTTCATTGTATAACCATGAGAAAGTCACTTGAATTCTCAGGATTCATTTTCCTTGTCTCTAAAATGGATACAATCATAATACCTCCTTCATGGAATTGTTGTGAAGTTTAAATGACAGAGTCAATTTTTAAAAAGCTTATCATTAGGCTACCTATAATCCCAGTGCTTTTGGAGCCCAAGGCAGGTGGATCTCTTGGAGTCAGGAGTTCGAGACCAGCCTAGTCAACATGGTGAAACCTCATCTCTACTAAAAATTAGCCAGGTGTGGTGGCACACGCTTGTAATCCCAGCTACTCCGGAGGGCTGAGGCAGGGGAATTGCTTGAACCCAGGAGGCAGAGGTTGCAGTGAGCCGAAATCATGCCACTGCACTCCAGCCTGGGTGACAGAGTGAGACTCTGTCTGAAGAAAAAAAAAAAAAAGGAAAGAAAGCTTATCATATAGTACATACTCATTAGTGTAAAGGATTAGCTTTGTACTCCACCTAGATCCTCTTTATAGGCCTCTTTATATCTCCTGGTTGCTGTTGTTTGTGTTGGCTGCTGATAATTCTCAGCTGTGCCTCCACTAGGAACTAGCCTTCAGCCAAACAGAAGCCTCCTTTCCTGGGAGGAAACCCCCCCACCTCCCAGGACAGCCAATTGTAACAGACACAGTAGTACAAAAGCCTGCCCACCGAGCTCTCTACCCGCTACCTCAAAGTGGGCTTAATATGTGGTGCAACTTGCGCTTCCCTGTAGAATCAAACCAAAACTAGTCTTCAGCCGTGACCACACTCTTGTTTAAGTTTCCTATTCCTGTCCTGTCCTGCTGCCTTCACTCCTCTTATCCTGGGAGCACTTTCCCAATCAAGCATAAGAATCTTCATCTCAGTCCTCACTGCTTAGGAAACCAATTTAAGACAACTGGCATTGGAGATGGATTCTAGGGTTAATTCACTTGCTGGCTGGATGGCAATGAGGACCCCACTGGTGGAGGTAGGTGGAGAATTAATCCCTGGTATGCTATACAGTGTGATTGCTAAGATTTCCATTGTAATGAGCTGGTGTGGGTTTGGGTGGAATGTCTGGTGCAGTGTCTCAGGCATTTGAGAAATGAGGGAAAATAGTTATAAGTTACTTGGAGTTGAATGAGTAGTTGAGAGAAAATTACAGACTCAGATAAATTAGTCAAAATTTTAATACAAAGCATGAGAGTAGAAGGCTTCAATTCCTGCAGCTGGAATGGGGTGGGGGCACAGGACTTGATTGCAATAGTGCAAAACTCTGAGAAGGCAGAGCTCTCAGGCTAGGCAAGTCTCTTAAGCCAAAGTCATGATCTTAATAGGGAAAGCATGTGATTTTGACTCTTGGAATAGATCTTTGCATATATGCACTTCGAACTTTAATTTCCCCTGAACCCTCCCCGTTCCTGAAGAAATGGCCTATTCTCCATTGTTGAAGATTGTCCCCCATTCTCCACCTTGCTTGAAGACTATAAACAGACTTCAAATAAGGCCTTACAAGACCATGAAGGGTCCTCTTCAGGATATACCCCCACTTCCCCTCTTAGCCACCTGATGCGTAACTAGCATCAAATCTCAGCTCAATCAGAAAAGTGCTGGGCCTTCGTAATGGAAGATGACATTATTTGTTCAAGGAACCTCAGGACCTAGAGAAAACTTACTAAGCAGAAGCTGAGAGAGTGTGTCTAAGAGAGGACCCTAGGAGTGCCTAACCAAAGGGAACAGAGTATAAGTTTGTTAAGGGAAAGCTTGGAGATTTGGGGCACTCCACCACTGCTGTAAGCTAATTCCCTAGCAAGGACTTGGGAGGTGACTCAAGCTGATGCTAGGAAACATTTTGGAAGACTGAAAAAGGCAATGAAGCAAAGTGAAGTAAAAATGCAGGAACTTTTGTGACAAATAATGGAGAAGGTATTAGAAATTTCAGAGAAGTGGGTATGCTGGATTACATCTGCTAAATAAGGCAAGAAAACCACTAGATGACCAAATTCTTAAGAGAACTCACAGGGCAATCCATTTAGAAAGAAATGCACTGGTGAGGGGGCTTCAGCATCATTGAAAACCTCAGCAGTAGCTGTCTTTTGTAAGCCAGTTCTGGTGGTAGGGCATGCGGTTACAGAATTGGGTGCCTAATAACAACGGAGATGATAGAAGTCTGGAAAACCAAGTCAGGTGGCAGCACTTAACTGTCAGAAGCAAGGTGGGTGTAATAACCATAATGGGCAGCAGGCTCAGGATGGCAGCCAGAGAGGCCTAACCTACAGATATCAAAGGAGATGGCTAGAACATGGTGTTCCTAGGGACAAAATAAATGGACAGCCAAAAAGGGTACTGCTTATTATATATAATCAAGAGATCAAGAATGGTTGGGTAGAAGGCTGAAGTCAGCCACTTCTGTAGAAAGTCATAATCTCCTAATCAGTTTTTGGCTCTCTGGTTAGAACCCATTTACTGAAGGAGAGGCCAGGTCCCTATGAGAAAGAATGCTGCAACACCATGGCAATTGTAGATGGTAGTTATTTCTCCAATCTTCCGCCCCAAAAAAATCTTTGACCATTTACCCAGATCTTTCTAGAGCTATTAGATACATATTTTGGGTTGATGCTGATACCCAGGGGGCTCAGAGCACCAACGTGGCACCGCTGTTAGAGTAGGGGCACATTTGCGGCTGAGACAGCAAATGGAATCTTGGCCCAGATCCACCTCACGGTGGATCCAATGGGTCACAGTCCCACGCTGTGCTCATTTTCCTGCTTCCAAGCTTGGTAATTGGAAGAGACATATTTAGCATTTGGTGGAAACCTCACATTCATTTCTTGATGTATACAGTAAGAAGTCCTGTAGTAGAGAAGATTAAGTGGAAACCCCTGAAACTTCACACCACCTGTCCCCTTTCTGCCCACACCAAGACTAAAAATATTTTATCACAAAAGAATGGCAGAGATTAGCGCCACCCTGAGATCCAAAGGATGCAGGTATGATTGTCTTCATTGCATTCCCCTTTAATTCACCAGTTTGGTCCCTGCAAACAGATGAATTATGAACAATATTGGATTATTAAATATGAAACCAAATAGTATTCCTAATTGCAACTGCTGTGCTGGATGTGGTATCATTACTTATCATAAACTTATGACAAAATTATCTTCCCCAAGAGTACCTATGTCTTTCATGAAAGACATTCATGAATTCATGAACTTGGGAATTTTTAAATAGACCAATTAGACATAGAGTTAATTTCTTAAAATGGGTTGGGTGTCTGATTACATTTTGGGTTGTAGAGTAGAGTGAGAATGTAAGTAGCTAGTAGATTACTTTAAATTTCTACTATTAAGCAGGGCTTTCAAATAATCATGCCAATTAACAAATTTATACATTTCGGTAAGAGCTTATAATATATCAAATCTTGTTTTTAAATGGTTTAAAATAGATACCTTACAAACAATAAGTATGACTCACAGTTGGGGATAAAAACAGATTTAAGCTTTGTGGAGAAATGTGGGGAACCAGAAACTCCCCCTATTCTGACTGGAAAGTATAATCTTTCTTCCCCCTAAAAGCTTGTTTGCCAGCTGGCTCTTCCTGAGTCCAGCTTTAGGAGAAGACTGAGAGGGAGCAAAATCTCTGCACAGAGAGAGGGAAAATCTAATCTGAATTATACCAAGTCTTTGAGAATCTACTCCTCTCCCTCATGTTCACACAGATCCTTAAACTTCTCCAAAACATTCCAGGGATATATCACCAGGAGGAAAAGAAATGGAGCAGGGGAGAGCTCCACTGCTGCATAGGATTTTTACCCTCCCCAGAAGGCCACCTAAGGCCAGCAGCCCAGAACAGAAGCAATCTGAAAAGAGGTTAATCTCAACCAGTCTCCATTTTAATTGTGTAAAGTACTTTCCTGTGACTGAATGCAGAGTGAGTCTCTACAAAAAGACTACAGCTGCCTTCTTGCAGTCCCCAAGAACAAACACATAGCCTTTTGTTTAAAAGGTTGTAGTGCTCTTTACTACTGGGTCACAGACTTGGAAGAAGTTAAGAATTGATGAAGTTCTTGTCATCACTCCTTTTCCATGTCCTGAACTCCTTGCCTAGATGATAGCAGAAACCCCACTGATCTCCTGTAGGCTTAACTATTTACAGAGTGCTTGTCTTACTTCTCTACTTCCTCGTATCCCAATCTTCCCTTGGTCTTATGGATCTTTCCTCTCCAGTTCCTTCTTTCCTACATGAGTTCGTGGTATCATTGGTCCCAATTCTTTGCCCCATTATCTGCATTCTCTGCCCCATTCACTGCATTCACATCCTTGTCATGGCCTCATTGTGAGTGGGGCTTGACTTTGGGCTTAGTCCTGTTGCTTGCTTTGCATTTCCATTTGCTCTCTTGCACTTTCACCATTTGCCATGAGAAGGACATGCCCAGGGTAGGGAGGATAAGACTCATGTGATACAAATCTGCTCCCACCACTGGCAGCTTAAAGCAGACCTTGCCTCCTCTTACCCTGCCAGCTGATCTGTAGAGCTGTAGTGAGAAGCAGAGCCCAGTCCAGATCTGCTGAACCCCAGTTGACAAACTGAATATGAGCAACAGTAAATTATTTTTGTCTTAGGCCACTGAGTTACAAAATGCTTTTTAGTTAGCAATAGGTGGACAGGTCTCAGGATTCCACCAGAATCAACAAGTATAAACTGCAGCCCTTCTTCTCAGTTGGTTAATATTATCTCTGAATCTCAAGATATCACTGGCAGACATTGCCACCCCTGCATGCCATAAAACACACACACCTCTGAATGTTAAATAAACCAACAACAAAACAAAATCCAATAACTTTGCAAGAGTCTAAAACTATTAAAAAGGTATAAAAGTTTAGGATATTTAACTGGTTTATTAAAAGTTACAAAGATAAATGTAGTACTCACACCTACCTTTATTTTCCTTTGTTCATAAGTTGGCCTTTTATTCTCTCATCATTGAACTTGGATACAATACCACAAAGACAATATTAAGCACTATTAAACAACAGGCAACACTTTGCCAGATACTCAACAAGTATTAAACTATAAACTTAAAGGCCGGGTGTGGTGGTTCACACCTGTAATCCCAGAACTTTGGGAGGCCAAAGCGGGTGGATCACCTGAGGTCAGGAGTTCAGGACTAGCCTAACCAACATGGTGAAACCCCGTCTCTACCAAAACTACAAAAATTAGCCAGGCATGATGGTGGGCGCCTGTAATCCCAGCTACTCAGGAGGCTGAGGCAGGAGAATCGCTTGAACCCGGGAGGCAGAGGTTGCAGTGAGCCGAGGTCACATCACTGCACTCCAGCCTGGGCAACATGAGTGAAACTCCGTCTCAATAAAAAAATAAAAAAAAAAACTATAAACTTTATAAATAGAGAACCCTACCATACTGTGAATTGAAACATCCAAATAATGTAAGGACTTCAACTATTTTCTACCTACTTGACATTAATACACGTCCCATAAAAATTCCAATATTTGGGGACTTGAAAAAATGATTTTTAATATTTGTTTAAAGAAATGAACATCTGGCCAGGCACAGTGGCTCATGACTGTGATACCAGTACTCTGGGAGGCTAAGATATGTGGATCGCTTGAGGCCAGGAGTTCACAACCAGCCTGGACAACATGGTGAAGCCCTGTCTCTACAAAAAAAAAAAGAACATCAAATAATGAAAAACAGGAAAAACTTAAATTCACAGATGTCAAAACAAATTACAATAATTAAAACTATAGTTCTTACACAAGAAAAAACAGGAAAAACAGCTAAAAATAGAATGCATTTACATATAAGAATTTTTTACATGAGACAGCAGTGGGAAAAGCATTCTGCTCAGTGATGGAGCTGGGATTAACAATTTGTAGGAAGCATCAGTTCTGTAAACTGCTGGAGGCAGGACCATTTCTGCTCATCTTGTACCTCCAATGCCTGAAATGTAGGAGGCACTCATCAAATAATACTGAGCATATTTTACTAAGGACCTGCATTTACAAAATTTAATCACAGTGAAACAAGTAATTGTGAAATTTCTAGAGAAATATATGATTAGTAGTAATCATTAAAAGGGGATCAACTGATTTAAAGATTTTAAGGACAGATCTATTAAAAGGCAAATAAGTAACTGATGGATCAATATAGAGTATTTCTACAAAGTAATAGGAAAAGCACTAAGCACTGAATGGATACATAAGTGATGTTTACAGACAGATAATTCATTAAAATGAAATTATATGCAAATATACAGAAATGTATACAAATCCATTTCCTCCTAAGTTAGCAAAATATTTTTCAATAAAAACAATGCCAATGACTGCATGTGCATTTATGCTTGCATGCGTTAGAAGTTGGTATAATAATTGTAGAAGTTGATTTCTGTAAAATCCACCAAGAATCATGGAAATGTAATAAGGTTTGCTCCCATTCTTTACAGCTTTAGGGTGCCCCTCCTAAAGAAATCATTTAAAACTTTACTCAGATAGTCACAACGATCTTATTTAGAACAATAAAAGATTGGAAGCAACATTAAAGTCTAACTAGTGGGAGGGTTAAGTAAAATATGGCGTGTCTGTTGTATAGGATATTTGTAACCAATAAATGTAATAGTTGTGAAGGTCATCAAGTTCCATGGAAATACAATTATTATACAAAGTTAAGTGATAAACAAAAGGCATGACACCTTATACTAAACTAAACAGGCTCTGCAAGGTACTTGCCAGTCATCCCGCTTCCTTCCATTAAACCAAGTGCAGGCCATACCTCTGATGGTTTGTTGTTTCAACCACAGGCTGTTGGGTCATGTGTCACATGACTCCTCATCATAGCTTTTGCCCAAAGGGTGAGTGTCTGTGTTAGTGGACCTTTTTAATTTGGAGACTTGCATGTTTTAGTTTGTGGATGATTTTTTGGTATTTATAGAAAATTTCTTCCCATTCTTTTTGTCTGCAATCTTCATAATTCCTAATAATTGGATGGATTATAAACCTCTTTAAGTTTCTCTGTGATTTAAAAATGTATAGTCATCCCTCAGGATGCACAGGGGATCGTTTTCAGGACCCCCTTGTATGCCAAAATTCACATATATGCAAGTTCCACAGTTGGTCTTTTGAAATCTGCATACAGAAAAAGTGTAAGCACCTTTTGTATTCCTCAAATACTATATTTTCCATCTGCTCATAAGTGGATCTTCCCAGTTCAAACCTGTGTTGTTCAAGGGTCAACTGTATCTCCTGATAGGTTTTCTCAAGTTTATCTTCTACATTTTCTACTGAATCTTTAATTTCAGCTATCATTATTCATTTTCATGAGCTCTTTCTTGTTCTCTGATAGTTCCTGTTGCAGACATGTGGAGCTCAACAAATATTCCATGTGCTTTTCTACATTTCCTGGCTTTCGTTAGATTGGAGCCATGTGACTAGTTCTGGTGAGTGGTCTGTGAGAAGAAGTGACATAAGTCACTTTCAGGCTGAGGCAGGTAAAAGCTACTGTGCCTGGGTCCATCCCTCTTGCCTCCTGCTCTGGTGTCCTTGTAAGCCACATGTAAAAATGGTGGTGTCTTAAAATCAAGGGAGCTTGCATCTCTGAGTTCCAGATAAAGGAGAACAACTTATAATTGCTTTGGACTTGCTATAAATGAGAAATAAACTTTAGTTGTCCTCAATCATTGAAAATTGAGTGTTGCTACAGCATAGCCTATTATATTTTAATACAATGCTTTTTCTTTTGTTCATGGCATTCTGTCTTGCTTCATGAATGCAGTATTTTTTCTCCTCTCAGTATTATAATAATGCCTTGCTGGTATAATCTGTTTTTCTTCTAATTCCTTTTTCCTGTTTGTTGTTTCTCTTTTGGATGTTAGAGGCTCTCCTTAAGTATCCTATGCTTTTTGACCATTCAATTTAAAAATAAGGTATTAAAAATTTGATACAAAATTTCGTAAGCATGGATGGGTCTTGTAGCCCGTTAAGCAGGGGTTAGCTCTTTATTGAGAGACCCACATGTGTCAGTACACGAAATCCTTTGGGGGCTATTCAATATCCAAATAGAATAATCCTCCAATATTTTGGGAGGTGGGATGGCACATATATACGTCTGTATTGTGAGGGCAAGGTGTGGGAAGAGTCTCATTATTTAAAGTGCAAACTTTCACTAAATTCTGCATTTTCAATGCCTGGTGTCCCCACATTTGGAAGCCTTATTCGATTTTGTTAGAGAATCAACTTCTGATCTTTTGCAGGGTTAGTCATCTGGTTGTGCAGTTTTTTTGTTTTTGTTTTTGTTTTGTTGTTGCTGTTTTGAGATGAAGTCTTGCTCTGTCACCCAGGCTGGAGTGCAGTGGCTCAATCTCGGCTCACTGCAACCTCTGTCTCCCAGGTTCAAGCGATTCTTCTGCCTCAGCATCCCGAGTAGCTGGGACTACAGGCGTGCACCATCATACCCAGCTAATTTTTGTATTTTTAGTAGAGACAAGGTTTCACCGAATTGGGCAGGTTGGTCTTGAATTCCTGACCTCATGATCCGCCTGCTTCGGCCTCCCAAAGTGCTGGGGATTACAGGCTTCAGCCACCGTGCCCAGCCTGTGTAGTTTTGAGAAGGGGATTTGGGAGGATCCAACTACATACAGATTTCAACCAAGCCCTCTATTTTTAGTCTTATGCCTCATCCTCATCTTTGGCAGTGCCTGGGTCTTCCAAATGCTAAGTCCTCCCAGGAACCCATTGGGCAAGTTACCTTTCTGCTGTAGGCATGTGGGCTGGGCTTACTCCACTCTGCAGTCAGTCACTACTCCTCCATCTGGTATTTGGACTTGACATAAATGAGATCTTTCAAACTTGCCAAATTTTCTTCTTATCTGTGGTTTGCTTGTGTGTTCTCTTGTTTCTTGTGGGATTTATGTATTTTTATTCCTTCACTGAGACTTGACGGCATGTAGGAACAGAGAAGAAATTTCTTTTAGAAAATAAATGATAAATTACCTCTTTTACCTGGAGATATATTGCTTTTGTAATGGAAAAATATGAATAAAATAATTATAAGGAAGTGCCAACACTGCTCACTATGAATTACTAAAATCTATACAAGTACAGCAAGAAAGTGGCCAACAGACATGATTTGATTTTCTTTCCACTCACCTCCCTCTAATATCAGCAAAGATTTCATGGAATTCTGTAGGTGCTTATGCAATTCTTGAAATATTAAGAAGGTTTAGTAATTCAATTTCAGGAATACTTATTGATGAGAAAAATCACATCACATCACTAAAACTCCTTTCCAGAATTGTTTTCTGTGAATTGGCACCAATAGTACAAGCAAAAATTAATATTTTAGTTTTTGTTGCTTTGTTATTTGGTTTCTGAACAAAATTGTAAACTTAAAAAATTGACTTTTTTGGAGAAAGGAATAGATGTAAAAGTTATCATTTGGATTAACTGCATTGTAACATATAAACTCAGATATATTTGCTAAGTGTTATTCATGTTTTCATTGTAGCTTAGCTCTATTTTAAGTTTTTCTTTCATAAGGTTAATTTTTCCCTCTCATATGCAACAGTGAGCCAGAGATAGCTTATTCCCCTGATTCCCACTCCCCTCAGCACATACTATATTACCATGAAAATAGAAATATGGTTTGCCCTCATCCTTACATCTTTTTGGGAATCCATTCTAAGGAAATGATCCAAAATTCAGCATATTTGGCATTAAGTTATTCATAACAGTCTTGTTTATAACAGGAAGAAATTAAAAGCACACACAGTTTCAACACATACACACTCAACTTACCCCAGTCAGGTGTTCTTAATTATGTGAGGGAAAGATTGGCTTCAAAGAGGAGCATAGGGTTCATCTTTAGTAACAGCAGGAAGGCAGAATATATGGGTGCAGATGGTGGAAGGTGGGTAGATTGAGGGAGTGGGAGTTTGTGGAAGTTCTCTTCTGATTGCTCCAATTTTGCCAGGAAAGTAAGAAGCAAGGTTGTCTGCTGCGAGTGGGGGCAGAGGTGTTGGATGTGTGAGGAGAAAGAAGAAGGTGCGAAATACTCATCTAGTAGAGTGGGAGGGTGAATGTACTAGGGAAATACAGTGTGGTTGTCAGGCAGCTTTATGGACCTCCTTGAGGTCAAGAGTTGAATTTAAAGCAAGACATGCCAGCATGGTTTTTTATGTTTCCAGCCACTTCTAGCTGGACTGACTTCATAGGCCAAAGCAGCAAAAATGAGAAATAATCAAATTTGGAGTTTAGCCAAGCAAATGTAATGAAACAACAGGGACATGGAAAGTGAGGATATATACACAGAAGTGACTAATGACTGACTATGGATCTAAGCTGGTTTAGGAGGGAAGAGAAGAGGACATAAAGTGGGTGGGGACAGTAAAAAGGTGGCAGGATCAATGGATTATAGGTTCTGTGGAGGGGGGTGCAGAGGATTTTTTGGATCTAGGGCTTTAGAAAGAGCTAAAAATATAAGGGCGATCACAGAGGGAGTATCACGGAATAGTCACAGTAATTTGTTATGATAAGGCCCAGGGTGTCACCATGAGAGTAATGAGGGAGGGTGGAGGACAAGATCACCAATGCAGGGACATTTAGTGAAGTGAGTGGCCATGACACATGAAGTTTCTTCAGGTGGTATATTAAAATCACGAAAAATCGAGATAGAAGTAATGTTGAAGAAAATGACAGTGAGACAAATGTCAGTAAGTTATAGCTGCAATGAAGGGTAGTGGGTGATATAGTCGGATGACATATGATTCAAAGCAGGGGTATTTTGGGAGGAGAGAGGGAGAATGGTCTGGAAGTTGTGATGAGCAGCAAGGAGGACCTCATCCTGCCTTCAAGCCCAGAAGTCTGAGGGCCGTGGGAGGAAAAGCAGCCTCTGCGCTACTGGAGGCAGTGTCCTCTGGGGAGAGCCAAGTTTTGATTAGAGCAAGAAAGTGAATGTTCAGAGAAGAGGCTGGAGGCAGAGGGATTTTTTGCTAATGATGGATCATGAATTCAAGAGGGCACAGTGGAAGGTTTGGGGAGCTCAGGAGGGGTGGGATGTGGGGATAGAATTAGGTTGTAGAGAGTCATATAGGGATAAAAAGATGGGAAGTGAGAGTGTCCTGGGAACCAGCAGCTTCTTGGGGCAAGTAACACAAACAGGGACAAACGCCATAATGAGATTGGTTCCAGTGGACTCAAGGCAGATGTTGATGAGAAACTCTGAGTGTTGAGCTGTGAGCATTTGAGGGTATGGAGTCATGAGTGTCTGGGGCTTCCTGCTGGCCCCTGTCCTTGGCAGGTAGAAGAACTGGGATCTTAGAGCTGGGGTAGAGCTTTTGCTTGAGCTCTCTTAGGGAGGGACCATGGGGTTACTATCATACATTGTCTTTTAAACCTAACAACTCTAAAAGGGTTTTATTCCTCATTTTATAGATGAGAAAGTTGACCTTAGCTCAGAGAGGTTAAGCAACTTGCCCAAAGCCACACAGCTAGTCAGGTTTGAGTTCAGATTCAAAAGCCAAATCTGTTTTTTCTTTTTGTTTAGTTTTGTTCAGGTGTGTTTGTTCACGTTTGTTCTTTTTCTCTCAAATCACACTGCCTCTATACCTCTTCTTTGAGATGAATGAGACTGAGGTAACATAGGTATAGCTGAAGATACGTTTGTGGAATGGGGGCAAAGTTGAAGAAATTTACTCTTGAAGGCATGTTTTTTGTTTTTGTTTTTGTTTAATCCAGATATCCATTTGTGGGGGTCCTCTCTTTCCCTTTAAACTGAGATAAGAGTGCTTCAGTATTTCAAACAAGTGAAAGTTATTAAGGCCTTCCCAAAATTTCTACAGAGTCCCAGGGCTCGTGTTTTCATAGATTCCTCTGGGTCTCAATCATAGCGCTCTTATGTCTACGCTTCATTGCCCCAGATAGAAAAGTGTTCCTTCCTTAAATTCTACAAAACCACATTCTCACAAAGCGCTTGTATTTGTGGTAGACTGTACAGAGGCTTTTGATGGGAGGCAGACAAGGGGTATTTATTCACTCTTGTTCTTAAAAGCCTTTGTTTTCCCCACTGGGATTTTGCACTTGGGGCTTCTCCTGAGTGTCAGTTAACTTTGGCCAACTTGCCGACTCCTCCCTATTCCTCTCCTTGTTGTCCTTCAGAATGCGATTTTTTTCCACTCTATTATGTTAGGCAACTGTTCCTATCCCTTACTCTCCTTTCTGGTCTAAGCCTTCCTTTGTAAATCCAAGTTCATTAAGGCTTTCCACTGATGAAAAGATCTTCCATGAAACAAGATCCAGCTGCCTGGTTTCCCTTTCTATTGCCCTGTGTGCAGATAGAAGCAAGGCCATCTGCTAAGATGGGGAGCTAAGGTGGGGAAAGCAGGAGTAATAAAGGGCTTGGGAAGGGGGTAGGGTAATGCCAAGTGGCCTCTACAAGGAAAAGGGAGGCAGGAGTATCAAGGGAAAGGAATGCCAGGGATGCTGGGGAACTCAGCTGAAACAGATTCTTTAGCAATCAGCCATGTAAGCAGAAAAGTGAAACATTTGCTGGGTTTTCTTGGGGTTAAAGTCTGCAGAGTGAGCACAGGATAAAGACAAAGACACAAAGTTATGTAATGTGCTGACAAGACAGTTGCTGGCGAGACTGGCTGTGGGTCTGAGCGGGACAGTGAGAAAATGGGCCAAGAAGAGGAGAGGGAAAACAAAAAAGGAAAGAAAAATCCAACATCTCAACAAGATTGGAAAATGGGCTGTGAAAGGAGGGGCAAGACAGGAAGGAGGTAATGTTAGAAAGGGGATTCATAGAGGAGTTAAGATTCAGCAGTTGCTTGGCTCTCCTTGCACCCTAGGACCTGAGTGCCCACTGGGCCTCAACGCCATGCTGGCGCTGCCTGCTGGCTGTACTCCCATTTTCTCCCTGAAAGACATCAGCCTGCCAAAGCTGCAGCAGCATAAAGCAGCCCACCTCTCCAGCTTCACAGAAGCCTGATGAGAAGGCTAATCAGGAAATCAAGTGCCCCTCCCTAGGCAGGCTTAGCACGGCTCCCTGCAGCACCTGTGGTCATCCAGTTTAGGAAACACACAGTCGCAGAATAGCTCCTATTTCTCTCTCTCCCACTTCTCTAACATCCCACTCTCCTTTTAGGGAACAATGTTCTCTTCTGCCTGCTGCCACACATATGGGGGGTAGCAGGAGTGGGCATTTGATTTCCCTGGATTTGAAATTGAATCCATCTCTACTGAAATTCTCTCTAATTTACATGTGCTCAGTGTTATCACCTTGTGGTCTGATTGCTCATCAGTTGCCTTCCTCCAATCCCACAGTCTCCCCACATTTTTGTTTCATTTTTATTTACTCCTCTTCCAAATCAAATGTCATCTCTGTTAACACTATATTGGAAGAAGGGCAGAGAGAGCCCTTCTTTCTGCATTCTTGTTAGAAGCGAGCTGTGGTTTAGGAAATGTTCCACATGCCATAGGTGATCCATCTGTCATCAGTGTAGCACAAAGCAGCATTTCTGCCTGCTTTTCCTTTCTCTCTCTTCCCCCCCAAGCCATATCTCTAGTAGCTTGATATCATGTACTACTGTGCCTATGGCACAGTTAGGGACCACTTTAAAGTTAAAACAAATGTCCTTAGTCACGGGGCCATATGGAGACTTGGTGGGTGGTACCATTAGTGGTAAAGCTTGAGGCAGATTTGCATTTGCTTTGTCCAGAAGAGAGAATCCCAAATCAGAGAAATGTTTTCATAAAATATTCTGGAACAAATTTAAAGCTGCTCTACCACCAAACAAGAATCTTCCTGTTCTCTGTGCAATTTTTCCCCTCAAATGATTTCAGACATGCCCATCCTGGGCAGAAGCTCCCGACACTTACCTGCGTGATCCTTGGCGACCATCATTTTATCCCAATGGGCACATTTGATCATGGTCTTCTCCAAAATCAGCACAGAGCTCTCTCAGGGGATTTTTTGGGAAAACAATGACCCAGTTTCTCTTTAATATTTCATCATAGATTCACATATTTCTGGTGAACTCACAAGGAAACATCTAAAGCACAGAGCAAGCTATTAGCCAATGAACTATAAGCAATCTTCAGCTTCTGGGCATTCTGCTCACCCTTCAAAGTGATGTCCTCAGCTAATTAGACAACTTGCTCTTCTATCACAGGGACCGGAATAGACCATGACTGTGAGCAGCTTGGAGGCAGGGGACATGTCCCTTCTCATTGCACGAGCACATGTTTGGCAAGAAGTAGGGCCTTATGGCAGAACCAAATTGAATCTGGAGCTGAAAGGAGCCCACAAAATCATCTAGTTAATAGGTTCCTTAGAACACTAGGGCCCAATGAGATAGAGGTTAAAGGGTGTCGGGGAAGAGGAAAGAGAGAGGTTCAGGGGCTGTTTCATGGGCAAGTTAGTTTGGAAAATAATGTAATCAACAAAGTTTTATTACTATTATAGAACATACTGAGTCTTTAAAGTGCTATTGAGCCTTATGAATGACCAAAAGAAGGGACATACGTGTATATTGTGTATTCTCACTAGAGTTCTGTGAGTCGGTGTGGGAAGGGCTGATACCATTCAATCCTCTCATTTTATACATGAGGAAAATGAGGCTGTAAGAGGAAATAGCAAGGCCAGGTGTGCCACATGCCTGTAACCCCAGCTACTTGGGAGGCTGAGGCACGAGAATCACTTGAACACGAGAGGTGGAGATTACAGTAAGCCAAGATTGTACCACTGCACTTTAGCCTGGGCAACAGAGGGAGACTGTCTCAAAAAAACAAAACAAAACAAAAAACACACTCAGAGACATTTACTTTATTATCAGTGTTTCTGGGATTAGAACCTAGACCTCTCCTTGCTGTGCTTTTTTCCACAGAAAATCACCACAGCCTCTGCATCCCAGGCAATGGGGAGAGAACCTGCTGAATGAGCCAATAGCACTAATATGATGTCAAGAGCTTGTTTTTAGCTTGACATTTCAAAGATTCATGTCCTGTGACAAGAAGAATTACCCCAAACCTCCCCAGGCCTTTAGAGAACACATTTTCCCTCATGAACCATGCAGTTCCCAAACTTTTGATCCATGTGAGGAGATGTCATACGCTGCTTTATATTTTATTCATGAGAGCCCAAGCCATCACATCACCTGTAAAAAAAAAAAAAAAAAAAAAAAAAAAAAAAAAAAACGCAAAAATGATTGCTACAGAAAAAACCTTTATGGAGAGATGCAAAACCCTATACTGAAATTAGAAAAACATAAAATGCCAAGAAAAACAGTCAAACGTGCATGGAACACTAGACAGAGAGGTGTGCATGTGATGGAGTGGGGGTGTCTTCTGAATCATTTCCCTAAATATAGCAATGCAGTTTTAAAAAAATAAGCCTTTAAGTGCTGCTTCCCAGAAATCCTGTTATTTCTCTGCATATGCCTTATGTAAGTCTGTGCCACAGGCCTGCAGAACAGTCAAACGGGAAAGGACAGCCCTATCCCGAAAGAACCATCAAGAGAGATTCAACAGAAAATTTGAGAGACTATGAAGCTCAGGAAGCTTTGGCTTTTCCATCCGTGCAGCTGTGAGTGGTGCTGTCTGTTACAGCTGATGTCTGTCAAGTGCTTCCCACCTAGATATTGTGGGGTAGCTCTAATATTTATTCATTTCACTTCTGAATAGAGCTGTCACTGTTGTTAATCATTTCCAAAAGCCTTAATGTTATTCTTATTAAACTCCTGAAGGAACGTCTCTTTCTACCTCCTACTCTCATTCCTTTGGCATCTCTCTCCATTTTCCTTTTTCTATCTTTACCTTCTGAGTGGTTTTAGAAAGAGGCCTCCAGAGGTTTTAGAAATCCATTTCTTTAGATTCTTCTTCCAGCTTACATTTAGTAACTGCTTACAACAGTTCTCTGAACTTCCTCCTAGTAAGTGGTACAGGGTGGCAGGAATCCTGATGGCCAATGGCAGGCATTTGTATACCACACAGGTGAGTTGTTGAAAGAGAGTCACATTTATGTTGGAACAACTGTCCTGATGTTTCTGGCTCCACTCTGCCGCCTCCATAAATGCCCATGTTTGGGGTCAGCTTTGAGCACACCAGTGAACAGAGTGAGTTGTCATGATGGCAATCTCCTCTCCTTTCTAGAAGTCCCTTCTAATGTCATTGACCTGCGTGCACCCTCATCCTGGCAGTTTCTCCTACCTGGGCCTCTCTTTTTCCTACTTACCCATAACAAAGCCTCTTTACCTATCTGCAGTCCCATTTAATCCTTTTTAGTTTCTCCCCTGAACTGCTAGAGATAATCATGCATCCCTGCTAGCTGGAGCCCTGGAAATAAGCTGATAAACAATTTCCTAATAATCTATTAACTGATAATGACTATATGTTATTTGCCTAGGATACTTCACATTTTCTATTAAAATATGAAGTATCCTAGGCAAATAATATAGGCAATAATATAGGCAAATAATATAGGAAATGTGAAGTATCCTAGGCAAATAATATATTACTCATTAATTCACAAAAGTACTGAAATACCTATCATGTGCTAAGCCTTATTCTAGGGATCAATTTAGACAAGGTCCCTGCTTACCTTCTAGTGGGAGAGACAGACAGTAAGTACATAAACAAGACCATTTGTGATAGTAGTAGGTTCTATGAAGAAAATAAAGAAGGTAATATAATAGAATAATTAGTTGAGCTTGGGTAAGTAGGGAGGGCTTCACTGAGGAGGTGATATTTGAATCTTCCCCTGAATGAAGCAGAGCAAGATCTGGGAAAAGAGTGTTCCAGGCAGAAGGAAGAGCAAGTGTAGAGTTTCTGAGGTGGGAACAACTTGGATAGGAAAGGGAAGGAAGTGAGGATGGCTGTGGTGTGATGAGTAAGGGAGTGGAGGGAATAAGCCCGGAGAGGTGGGCTACAGTCAAGTCATGCAGTGCTTTGTAGTTCCTGATAAGAAGTTTAAATTTTATAAGTGCAATGGGAAGTCTTTGGAGGGTTTTGGAAGGGGACTGACTTTCAATTTAATTACTAAAAGGCCAGGCTCTAACTTAACAGAATGTTCCTCTACCTGTGGAGAAACTTTCAAGCCAGCAGAGGAAGAGCTAAGACAGTGTATTGAGAAGCAGCTTCAGGACATCTGGATCACAGTTCTAACTACCCAAAACAACTTAGGAAGCTCCTTCACCTCATTGCTTTCAGATTTTTCACATGGACTATGATGAGGTTGCACCACTTAGTACCCACAAGCCTTTTCCCATCATAACACACATAGAAAGTAATTTTTGTACTGCACCCCTGGGAATGAGGCTTCTAGAGTCTTCCCTAAGGGCTGAGGTACACCCATAACACACAGGGAGGGAACTTCTAGACTAGGTGACTTCTAAGGTCTGTCTTCGTTCTAGTAGTGTAAGAGTTCATGATATTTCCTTGTGATGTCCTTCAATTCATACCACACAGGCGATTGTCTATTCTAAAATAAGAGCAATACCGACCTAGGTGATAATGATTCATGTGGCCTATTATTTCACATTTCCCAAGCATCAAGCCTCAAATTCTAAATAAGCATTGTCATCTGGTACTTTCTGCTGCTGACCATACACATTTCTCTGACTCCGGCTTTTCTGCCACTTGAGTGATCAAGCCCTTCCTGAAGTGGCCTGCCCAGCTCACAGCTGGCGATGCTTCAGAATGTTTTACCTTTCTGATTTGCAAACTTAGATTTCAAACCAAGTGGCAAGATAATCCATCACAATGACTGAAGTCCAAAGTGTTTATTATGCCCTTTCCCCTTTTCCATAGTTTGAAAAAATTTCTTATTGCCTAAAAAGCTAGAGCCATAGTCTGATGTAATAGATAAAACATGGAGACAGGAGGTATCTGCATCAGAGGATCAAAAATCACTCTAAAACAATAAAAGGTAAATGTGTAAAGATTGCAAGTTATCCTCTACCCATAGAACATGTCCTTTGATTTACACATTCAGTCACACAGATGCCTTTGAATGTATCCCTCCTCATTTTTCTATCCTATCCTAGTATATACAAACTAATTGAACTCTACATTACTTACATTTATTGTACCTCCAGACTTTAAACATCCTTTCTGTTTTATGATTTACACCTCCCATACTCACCTTTGCTCTGCACCCCATCATGAGCTCAGTTTTTTTTTTATTTTACTTTAAGTTCTTGGATACATGTGCAAAATGTGCAGGTTTGTTACATAGGTGTACATGTGCCATGGTGGTTTGCTGCACCTATTGACCGATCCTCTAAGTTCCCTCTCCTATCCTCCCACCCACCAACAGGCCCTGGTGTGTGTTGTTCCCCTCTCCATGTCCATGTGTTGTCATGGTTCAACTCCCACTTATGAGTGAGAACATGCAGTGTTTGGTTTTCTGTTTCTGTGCTAGTTTGCTGAGAATGATGGCTTCCAGCTTCAACTATGTCCCTGCAGAGAACATGATCTCATTCCTTTCTATGGCTGCATAGTATTCCATGGTGTATATATACCACATTTGATTTATTTTTCTTTATCCATTCTATCACTGATGGACATTTGGGTTGGTTCCGTGACTTTGCTATTGTAAACAGTGCTTCAATAAGCATAAGTGTACTTTATAGTAGAATGTTTCTATAAATAATATTTATAAATATTTTTGATAAATATTTTAAAAAGATATATATAAAGGATATTTAAAAAAGAGTAGAATAGTCCACTCTTTATAGTAGAATGATTTATATTCCTTTGGATATATACCCAGTAATGGGATTGCTGGGTCAAATGGTATTTCTGGTTCTAGATCCTTGAGGAATCGCCACACTGTCTTCCACAATGGTTGAACTAATTTACATTCCCACCAATAGTATAAAAGTGTTCCTATTTCTCCACAGCCTTGCCAGCATCTGTTGTTTCTTGACTTTTTAATAATTGCCATTCTGACTGGTGTGAGATGGTATCTCATTGTGGTTTTGATTTGCATTTCTCTAATGATCAGTAATGTTGAGCTTTTTTTTCATATGTTTTTTGGCCACATAAATGTCTTATTTTGAGAAGTGTCTGTTCATATCTTTTGTCTACCTTTTCATGAAGTTGGTTTTTTTCTTGTAACTTTGCTTAAGTTCCTTGTAAATTCTGAATATTAGACCTCTGTCAGATGGGTAGATTGCAAAAACTTTCTTGCATTCTTTAGGTTGCCTTTTCACTCTGACGATAGTTTCCTTCGCTGTGCAGAAGCCCTTTAGTTTAATTAGATCCCATTTGTTAATTTTGGCTTTTGTTGCAATTGCTTTTGGTGTTTTAGTCATGAAGTCTTTGCCTATGCCTATTCCCTGAATGGTATTGCCTAGGTTTTCTTCTAGGGTTTTTATCATTTTAGGTTTTACACTTAAATCTTTAATCCATCTTGAGTTAATTTTTGAATAAGGTGTAAGGAAGGGGTCCAGTTTCAATTTTCTGCATATGGTTCGCCAGTTTTCCCAGCACTATTTATTGAATAGGAGATCCTTTCCCCATTGTTTGTTTTTGTCAGGTTTGTCAAAGATCAGATGGTTGTAGATAGGTGGTGTTATTTCTGAAGTCTCTGTTCTGCCACATTTGTCTATGTGTCTGTTTTGGTACCAGTACCATGCTGTTTTGTGTAGCCTTGTAGTACAGTTTGAAGTCAGAACAGCCTCCAGCTTTGTTCTTTTTGCTTAGGATTGTCTTGACTATACCGGGTCTTTTGATTCCATATGAAATTAAAAATAGTTTATTTCTAATTCTGTGAAGAACGTCAGTGGTTGTTTGATGGGAATAGCATTGAATCTAGAAATTACTTTGGGAAATATGGGCATTTTCATGATATTGATTCTTTTTATCAATGAGGATGGAATGTTTTTCCATTTGTTTGTGTCCTCTCTTATTTCCTTAAGCAGTGGTTTGTAGTTCTCCTTGAAGAGATCCTTCACATCTCTTGTTAGCTGTATTGCTAGGTATTATTTCTGTAGCAATTGTGAATGGAAGTTCATTCATGATTTGGCTCTCTGCTTATCTGTTGTTGGTGTAAAGGAGTGATTGTGATTTTTGCACATTGATTTTGTATCCTGAGACTTTGCTGAAGTTACTTATCAGCTTAAGGAGTTTTGGGGCTGAGATGATGGGGTTTTCTAATTATACAATCATGTCATCGCAAACAAACAATTTGACTTTCTCTCTTCCTATTTGAATACTCTTTATTTCTTTCTTTTGCCTGATTGCCCTGGACAGAACTTCCAATACTATGTTGAATGGAGTGGTGAGAGACGGCGTCCTTGTCTTGTACCGGGTTTTCAAAGGGAATGCTTCCAGCTTTTGCCCATTATGATATTGCCTGTGGGTTTGTCATAAATAGCTCTTATTATTTTGGGATATGTTCCATCAATACCTAGTTTATTGAGAGTTTTTAACATGAAAATATGTTCAATTTTATCAAAGGCCCTTTCTGTGTCTATTGAGATACTCATGTGGTTTTGTCTTTGGTTCTGTTTATATGATGGATTACATTTATTGATTTGTGTATGTTGAACTAGCCTTGCATTCCAGGCATGAAGCCGATTTGATCGTGGTGGATAAGTTTTTTGATGTGCTGCTGGATTCAGTTTGCCACTATTTTATTGAGGCTTTTCACATCGATGCTCATCAGGGATATTGGCCTGAAGCTTTCTTTTTTTGTTATGTCTCTGCCAGGTTTTGGCATCAGGATGATGCTGGCTTCATAAAATGAGCTAGGGAGGAGTCCCGCCTCTTCAGTTGTTTGGAATAGTTTCAGAAGGGATGGTACCAGCTCCTCTTTGTATCTCTGGTAGAATTCAGCTGTGAATCTGTCTGGTCTTGGGCTTTCTTTGGTTGGTAGGCTATTAATTACTGCCTCAATTTCAGAACTTCTCATTGGTCTATTCAGGGATTTGACTTCTTCCTGGTTTAGTCTTTGGAGGGTGTATGTGTCCAGGAATTTACCAATTTCTTCTAGATTTTCTAGTTTATTTGCATAGAGGTGTTTATAGCATTCTCTGATGGTAGTTTGTATTTCTTTGGGGTCGGTGGTGATATCCCCTATATCATTTTTTATTGTGTCTATTTGATTCTTCTCTCTTTTCATCTTTATTAGTCTGGCTAGCAGTCTGTTTTGTTAATCTTTTCAAAAAAACAGTTCCTGGATTCATTGATTTTTTGGAGGGTGTTTTTGTGTCTCTATTGCCTTCAATTCTGCTCTGATCTTAGTTATTTCTTGTCTTCTGCTAGCTTTTGGATTCATTTGCTCTTGCTTCTCTAGCTCCTTTAAGTGTTTTTGTTGTTGTTGTTTTTCTAAATTTTAGTTCTGGGATGCATGTAGAGAACATGCAGTTTTGTTACATAGGTATACATGTGCCATGGCCGCTTGCTGCACCCATCAACCCACCATCTACATTACATATTTCTCCTAATGCTCTCCCTCCCCTTGTCCCCCACCCCACTGACAGGCTCTGGAGTGTGATGTTCCCCTCCTTGTGTTCATGTGTTCTCATTGTTCAACTCCCACTTATGAGTGAGAACATGTAGTGTTTGGTTTTCTGTTCCTGTGTTAGTTTGCTGAGAATGATGGCTTCCAGCTTCATCCATGTGCCTGTAAAGGACATGAACTCATTCTTTTTTATAGCGTTTTAAATTGTGATATTAGGGTGTCAATATGAGATCTTTCTAGCTTTCTAATGTGGGCATTTCATGCTATAAATTCCCCCTCTTAACACTGTTTTAGCTGTGTCCCAGAGATTCTGGCACGTTGTCTCTTTTTTCTCATTGGTTTCAAAGAACTTCTTGATTTCTGCCTTAATTTGATTATTTACTCAGGAGTCATTCAGGAGAAGGTTTTTCAATTTCCATGTAATTGTGTGGATTTCTTAATCCTGAGTTCTAATTTTATTGCACTGTGGTCTGAGACTGTTACGATTTTAGTTCTTTTGCATTTGCTGGGAAATGTTTTATGTCCAATTATGTGGTAGATTTTAGAATAAGTGCCATGTGATACTGAAAAGAATGTATATTCTGTTTGCTTGGTCTAGAACTGAGTTCAAGTCCTGAATATCCTTGTTAATTTTCTGTCCTGTTGATCTAATATTGACAGTGGGGTGTTAAAGTCTCCCACTATTATTGTGTGGGAATCTAAGTCTTTTTGTAGGTCTCTAAGAACTTGTTTTATGAATCTGGGTGCTCCTGTATTGGGTGCATACAAATTTAGGATAATTAGCTCTTCTTGTTGAATTGATCGCTTTACCATTATGTAATGCCCTTCTTTGTAACCCCTGCTTTTTTTTTTTTTCTCGCTTTCTATTTGCTTGGTTAATTTCCTGCATCCCTTTATTTTGAGCCTATGTGTGTCTTTGCATGTGAGATGGGTCTCCTGAATACAACACACTGATGGGTCTTGACTCTTTATCCAATTTGCCAGTCTGTCTCTATCTTTTTTTTTTAATTTTATTATTATTATACTTTAAGTTTTAGGGTACATGTGCACAACGTGCAGGTTTGTTACATATGTATACATGTGTCATGTTGGTGTGCTGCACCCATTAACTTGTCATTTAGCATTAGGTATATCTCCTAATGCTATCCCTCCTGCCTCCCCCCGACCCCACAGCAGTCCCTGGTGTGTAATGTTCCCCTTCCTGTCTCTATCTTTTAATTGGGACATTTAGTCCATTTACATTTAAGGTTAGTATTGTTATGTGTGAATTTGATCCTGTCATCATGATGCTATCTGGTTATTTTGCACACTAGTTGATGCAGTTTCTTCATCATATCATTGGTCTTTATGTTTTGATGTGCTTTTGTAGGGGCTGGTACCAGTTTTTCTTTTCCATATTTAGTGCTTCCTTCAGGAACTCTCTTGTGAGGCAGGCCTAATGGTGATGAAATCCCCATCATTTTTTTGTCTGGAAAGGATTCTATTTCTCCTTCACTTATGAAGCTTGGTTTTGCTGGATATGAAATTCTGGGTTGAAAATTCTTTTCTTTAAGAATGTTGAATATCAGCCCCCAATGTCTTTGGCTTGTAGGGTTTCTGCTGAGAGGTCCACTATTAGTCTGATGGGCTTCCCTTTGTAGGTGACCTGGCCTTTCTCTCTGGCTGCCCTTAACATTTTTTTATTCATTTTGACCTTGGAGAATCTGATGATTATGTGTCTTGGGGTTGATATTCTTGTGGAATATCTTAGTGATGTTCTCTGTATTTCCTAAATTTGCATGTTGGCCTGTCTTGCTAGGTTGGGGAAGTTCTCCTGGATAATATCCTGAAGTGTGTTTCCCAGCTTGTTTCCATTCTCCCCCTTTCCTTCAGGTACTCCAATCAATCATAGATTTGGTCCTTTTATGTAGTCCCATATTTCTTGGAGGATTTCTTCATTCCCTTTTATTCTTTTTTCTCTATTCTTGTCTGCATCCCTTCTTTCAGCAAGGTGGTCTTCAAACTCTGATATCTTTTCTTCCACTCAGTCAATTCAGCTGTTGATACTTGTGTATGCTTCACGAAGTTTTCGTTCTGTGTTTTCCATCTCCATCAGGTCATATATGTTTCTGTCTAAACTGGTTATTCTAGTTAGCACTTCCTCTAACCTTTATCAAGGTTTTTAGCTTCTTTGCATTGGATTAGAACATACTCCTTTAGCTCAGTGTAGTTTCTCATTACCTATCTTCTGAAGCCTACTTCTGTCAATTCATCCATCTCATCCTCTGTCCAGTTTTGTGCCATTGCTGGAGAGGTGTTGTGATCATTTGGAGGAGAAGAGGCACTCTGGCTTTATGGGTTTTCAGCATTTTTTCATTTATTCTTCATGAGTTTGTCTAGTTTTGATCTTTGAGGCTGCTGACCCTTGGATGGGGTTTTGGTGGGGACTTTTTTTTGTTGTTGATGGTGTTGTTGTTGCTTTCTGTTTGTTTTTCTTTCAATGGTCAGGTCCCTCTTCTGCAATTTGCTGGGGGTTCACTTCAGGCCCTATTCATCTGGTTACCTCCTGCACCTGGAGATGTCACTCAAGGAGGCTGGAGAACAGCAAAGATGGGTGGGTGCCTGTTCCTTCTTCTGGGATCTCTGACCTCAAAAGGCACCAACCTGATGCCAGTAGGATCACTCCTGTGTAGGGTGTCTGACAACCCCTGTTGGAGGGTCTCACCCAGGTGGGTGGCATGGGAAACAGGACCAGTTTAACAAGCACTTTGACTGTCCTTGGTGGAGGGAGTGTGCTTTGCTGGGGGGTAACCCACTTGTCTGTGCTGCCTGGATTCCTCAAACACACCAGGAGGAAAGGCTAAGTCTGCTAGTCTGCAGAGACTGCAGCCACCGTTCCCCCTAGGGGCTCAGGCCCAGGGAGATTGGGGTTCTGTCCCTGAGCCTCTGGCTGGAGTTGTTAGAGTTCCTGCAGGGAGGCCCCACCCAGTGAGGAAGGATGGGTCAGGGTCAGGCCTGAAGAGGCGCTCTGGCTGCAGTTTCCCATATCTGGTGTGTTGGGCTGTGGAGGACACCTTTTGGGATCAAGCCGTCCAGCCTTCCTGGCTCCAGCAGGGGAAAAGCTTGGCCTGGAGCTACAGAGACGGAGCCCAGGAAGCTTAGCATATTAGGCAGTTATGAGTCCCAGTGCAGGTTGCTGTCCCTCTCCTAAGGAGCTCAAATGGCTTAGATAGGCAGCAGCAGCTTTGGTGCTGGTTGCCCCTTTCCCCAGGAACTTGCCAACCTTAAGCAGATTCTAGCTGAGAGGCTGTTGAGAATCTGTGCAGGTCCGGGATTGGGACCCTAGGCCCTGGTGGGGTGGGTTTGCAAGTGGGATCTTCTGATCCGTGGGTTGCACAGTTCCGTGGAAAAAGCATGGTTTACCCTGCCGGGTAGCACGCTCACTCATCACCTCCCTTGACTGGGGGATGGGGACTCGCCTGCCTCGTGTGGCTCTCAGGTGGGCCACTGCACCACACTGCCCTTCCTTCCTCTCTATGGATCACACCAGCCGTCTAGTCAGTTCTGATGAGAAAAGCTGGATACCTTGATTGCCAGTGCAGGATTCACATGGTATAATGGTTCTTTTCTTCTCTTTCTTTCTTTCTTTTCTTTTTTCTCTTTTCTTTTCTTTTGAGTTTTGTTCTTGTCACCTAGGCTGGAATGCAATGGTGTGATCTCGGCTCACTACTACCTCTGACTCTCGGGTTCAAGCAATTCTCCTGCCTCAGCCTCCCAAGTAGCTGGGATTACAGGCAGCTGCCACCATGCCTGGTTGGTTTTTTGTATTTTTGGTGGAGACTGGGTTTCACCATGTTGGCCAGGCTGGTCTCAAACTCCTGACCTCAAGTGATCTGCCTGCCTCAGCCTCCCAAAATGCTGGGATTACAGGCGTGAGCCACCATGCCCAGCCTAATCATTCTTTTCAGTGGGAGCCTCTGATCACTGCTGCTTCTAGTCGGCCATCTTGTGAACTCAGTTCTTTGACCTCCCTAATTCCACCATCCCATCCCACCTACTCCCAACCTCACTTATTTCCCTTCTCACTGTCTATGATGTGTTCACCATAATTTCTTGTGACCTTGACCTACTTTATCAGTTCTCAACCATAATAGCCCCCTGAAATCCCCAGCATTACCAGTTAGATAACCCAAACAATTGTGAGTTGATTTTGAAAGAGTCAACTCTGTGGCCACCTCTGGTTAACACTGGGTTCTACCTAGCTGGTCTCAGGCTTCCCCGTAAGTGTGTGTGCTTTTGCTTTCTTTTATGTTGGGTACAATTTATTTTTTATGTTGGGGGCTTTTTTTTTATGTTTCAGGTTGGGGCAGGGTTTCCTCAATCTTCACCCCAAGAATCTGGTGAAATTCCTTAAGGTAAAATTCATGAAAGTGTGGAGATCCACCCTAAAGTGAGGCACCCAAAGTTTTATCTCTCAAGCTGGTTTACATTAAGTCTCCAGCAATTAGTCAATTTTCCTTAAATACTCCTACCTGTCTCTAGCAGCAGCTTCTGCTCCAGGTAAGCTGCAGTTCTCTATATTCATCTGCCTCTCCAATTTTGAGGATGTATTTAATAGTTGGCTTTGTGACCTTAATTCTCTGATGGATCTAAGAAGAATTACTGGTTTTCAGTTTATTTCTTGTTGTGAGGACAGGAGTTACAATTGACAAGCTCCTTGCATATCAAACTGGCAACTGTGGGGCTTCTTAGTGATAGTCAAAGAATTTTATGGTGATACAATGCCTAGAAGATAGCAAATATTTAATAAATGTTTGCTGTGTCAAAGTCTAAAAACAAGGGCGCACTAATTTTAGGGGCAATTTCTCTGAAGATATAGGGCTTATTTTCAGCTGTCATGTGAGAAAAGGAGCTTTACTCCTTGGTCTTGAGCTAAGATTGTGGCTTTACTTGTTTACGTACTTTTTGGAATAAATAAGTGTTTTCCCAAAACTTCTGACCCAGAATCAGATCCTAGTTTCCCAACTAGGTACCATCTGTTGTATTATTACTATTATTATTTTATTTATTTATTTATTTTTGAGATGAAGTCTCACTCTTGTCCCCCAGGCTGGAGTGCAATGGCAGGATCTTGGCTCACTGCAACCTCCTCCTCCCAGATTCAAGTGATTCTCCTGCCTCGCCCCCAGGTAGCTGGGATTACAGGCACCTGCCACCATGCCTGGCTAATTTTTGCATTTTCAGTTGAGACTGGGTTTCACCATGTTGGCCAGGCTGGTCTGGAACTCCTGACCTCAAGTGATCCACCTGCTTCAGCTTCCCAAAGTACTGGGATTACAGGTGTGAGCCACTGAGCCTGGCAGCATCTATTATATTCTTAATGACTCTCCTCTAGAATTCTGACAGATTTTCTAAGTCTCAACTTGAATAAAATACCTCGTTTCCTACGTTGTCATCTACCATGAGCCCCCTGAATTTCTGTTCTCTCCATCTTAAACATTTATCCCTATCCTCCTTTAGGTCAAAGCTATTAAGCAAGTTAAAAACACCAGGTATTGTGCTGTGTGCTTTATAGAGATGATTTTATTGGCTTCTCATAACAAAAAATATGAGATGGGTATGAGTTCTGCATTTGGAAGATATGGAATTATGACTTAAAGAGGTTAAGTAAATTACCTAATTTACATAGCTGGTAGGTGGCAGAGCTGGGAGATATTCAACCTCTCCCCTTGTCTGTCTCATCTCAGCGCATCCATCTATCCTAC